>NC_000004.12:94072896-94375926 GCF_000001405.40 Homo sapiens | reverse complement strand
TTAGAAGGTGATATGTGCTATGGCAAAAGGAAAAAGTAGAATAGGAAAAAGGAAGTCAGGAATGCAAAGGCAGTGGGAGAGGTTTAGGTGGTTTGTAGTATTAATGTATTAATAAGACCTGAGCAATGCCTTAAAAGAGGGGAGGGGATGAGGCAAGTGGGAGAAGACTATTCCAGATAAAGGGAACTGCCAATGCAAAGGTCCTAATGTGGAAGCTCACCTCGCATGTTCAAGGGTGCCAATGTGTCTGCAGTGTGGTAAGGGATGGGAGAGCAGAAGAGGAGGTCAGAGAGGTATTAGGAGTCCAGATAATGAAGGGCCCTGAGCGCCACTGTGAAGACTTTGGTTTTAACTCTGAGCGGAATGGAGGAGGGGGCCCTCTAGGGTTTTAAACAGATAAATAACATGATCTGAACTACATTTTGAAAGGATCATTCTGGTTGCTTTGAGAATACAGTATGGATGCAAGTGTGGAACTAGGGAGACCTCTAAAGAGCTTATTGAATAATTCAAGTGAGAAATGACAATATCTCAGAAGAGACTGATGAGCAGTGGTCTGATTATCAATTTTTTTGAAGGTGGGTCACATGATTTCTAGATGCATTTGATGTGCAACATGAGAGAAAGGATGAAGGATGACTAAGGGCTTTTATAAATGTGTGTGTGTATGTGTGTGTGTGTGTGTGTATAAAATAAAATACATAATAAGCCTGAAGTTCAGGAGAGTGGACTGGGCTAGAAATATACATTTGAGAGTCATTCGCATATGGACTATGTTATTTAAGGTGATGAGATTGGACACGATCACAAATGGATTGGCTGTAGAGAAGATATGAAGGACTGAGCCATGTGACAGGTCATCATATTCAGGTTGGATTGAAAAGGAAGAAAAAAATAAGGACCTGAAAAAGAGAGACCAGTGAGGGAGAAAGAAAACAAAGAGTTTAGTCAAATGGAAAATCTCTATATTAAGGAGGAAAGATTAATTGACCAAATTAAATCCCCTAAGACAAAATTGATCATTGGGTTTAGTAACTGTGATGTGATGAGTGAAAACCTAATTTTGTAGCACATAATGAGTTAAAGAGAATGGGAGAAGAGGGCTGGGCATGGTGGTGCATGCCTGTAATCCCAGCACTTTGGGAGGCCAAGGCGGGTGGATCATTTCAGGTCAGGAGTTCACCTGGCCAACATAGCGAAACCCCGTCTCTACTAAAAATACAAAAATTTGCTGGGTGTGGTGGTGTGTACCTGTAATCCCAGCTACTCGGGAGGCTGAGGCAGGAGAATTGCTAGAACCCGGGAGACAGAGGTTGCAGTGAGCTGAGATTGCACCATTGCACTCCAGCCTGGGTGACAGAGTGAGACTCTGTCTAAAAAAAAAAAAAAAAAAAAAAAAAAAGAGGAATTAGGGAAAGCAAGTATAGATGATTCTTTTGAGGAATCTTGTTAGAAATGAGAACAAAAAGTGATTGTAGTTTTCTGAAGAAGTGAGGTTAAAAGGATATTCCTAAGGAAAAATGACAGCATGTTTTGATACTCATAGGAAATAATTGGTAGAGGGTGAACACTGATGATGCAGAAAAGAGTGGGAATGCTATTCTCAGTCCTTTAAAAGTTTTTAAAGAGATGGGGTCTTCTTCTGTCACCCAGGCTGGAGTGCAGTGATGTGATCATAGCTCACTCTTCCCAGTTCCTGAGTAGAGAAAGGTTGGGACTGGTACCAAGATGGAGAAATTGGATTTTGATCAGAGTATAATAGTTATCTTTACTAACAGGAGGGAATGGAAGATATGGTTACATTTCTTTGTGGGTGAGTACCTGTGGTGGTGAGAGACTCTGGAGGTGTTGCAGTTATTGTACATGACAAGGCTTAATAAAATATAATCGATAATCCTGAAAGTTGATGGCTGAGGTAGGATGAAGAAAAAGATCACTGGAGAAGAGGAGTTCAAAAAACTGAATTTGCTGACTGGATAAAATAAGGTGCTGTGGTGACATTTCATTTTGTATACATTTCTGACATTCCGTTTGCTTTGTTTTGATTGCATTTTTTGTTTGTTTGTTTGAGACAGGATCTCACTCTGTTGCCTAGGCTAAGGTGCAGTGGTGCGATTTCAGCTTACTGCAACCTCCACCTCTCAGGCTCAAGTGATCCTCCTGCCTCAGCCTTCTGAGTAGCTGGGACTACAGTCGTGCGCCACCACACCTAGCTAATTTTTATAGAGACAAGATTTCACCACGTTGCCCAGGCTGGTCTCAAACTCCTGGTCTCAAATGATCTGCCTGTGTCGGCCTCCCAAAATGTTGAGATTACAGATGTGAACCACTGTGCTTGGATGTTTTTATTGCTTTCTCTCTCACATGAAACATATTTTTCTTGACCATAATTAGGGGAGAGAAAAGAAATTATCATTAAACAAAAACAGTCATCCCTCTTGCTGCTCCATTCCAACACGGGCCAAAACACCCCATTTCTAACACTATGCAAAGAAACATGTGTAATAGAGGGAAATATATAAAGTTCTACTGTTGATTTATGGTAACTTACTTAAATGAGGCTTCACGGACAGCAATAATTTTGAACTTCTTCTATTTTGGCACTCCCAGAGATTTTTACACCCTGGCATAATGTACATATTAAATTCAGTATGGCTGGGCAGTTCACCTCACTTTTATATAGTGAAAGGGAGGGTGGGAGAGGAAAATTGGCATGACTCCTTGAACACAGTCATATTCTCAGGCAGATCAGTTTCAAGGAAGTGAACATTTAAAAGTTGAGAAAAGAAACTTGATTCCCTTAAAACTTTCCATGTTCACATCCCCCATGAGAAGTCTTCACGCGCCCTAGTGTGGAGACTACTGATAAAGACTTGAAAATTTAACACAATCTGGTTCATTAACATCCTATATGGAAATAAAACCTATCATGGCTCAAAATATGCAAGATGAAAGCTTAGTTCAATTAAGGTAGAGGGCACATTGAAGAAAAAGCAGTTTAGAACTCTCCAGAAAGGAAGGAACATTCTTTTTCTAAACGAAGAACTGTATTACCTTTTAGAGAACATTTCCATTTGGTGCCCATTCTTACAGTTTATGACACCGTATGGCACTTGACTACTGGAACTGTAAATCTAGGGATGGCAATAAACCCTCCCACTGGAGTAGGATAGGCCCAAGTTCCATCTGTAGCAGGTGATGAGACAGATTAAGTCTTGCAGGAAAGCCTGGTAACTAAGGGTTTCAATAGTCTTCAAACACAATTCAAGCAAACACCAACAAATGCATTAGTACAAACTGAGGCATCTGGATATTCTAGTAGGTTGGTGGAGCCAAGGACAGGGTTTGAAGCAAGGTTATTTATTATTTGAACCGTGCAGACAATTGTCATCAGAGAAGTCTATCTGAGAGTAGCAGGGCCTCCAGTCAATAAAAACAAGAACCTGTAACTAAGCACAGTACATACCTCTGCAGCTATTAACAAGATATATTGGCAGTAGAAGGAAAGGATGACAACTGTCATTGATAAATGGGAAACATCTAGTGAAGACCATTTGTTTCCATTGAAATAGAGATTTATTTACCTCCCAGGACACCTCTGTTCTCAGCCAGACCAACTCCTCCTCCGGTTGTGTTTTAGTAATGGGGCTGATACACATTTGTCTTAGTCTGTTCCTGCTGCTATAATAAAATGCCTTAGACTGGGTAATTTATAAATAATAGAAATTATTTATAATAATAAAGCTTGGAACCTGGGAAGTCCAAGATCAACGTGCCAGCAGATTTGGTGTCTGGTAAGGGCTCGCTGTCTGCTTACAGCATGGTACCTCTCACTGTGTTCTTACATGGTGAAAGAGATGGAAGGGTCAGGTGGCTCTCTGAAGCCTCTTTATAAGGGCAATAATTTCATTCATTGTGATTTAATCACTTTCCAAAAGGCTTCATCTCTTAATACCACACAAATAGGGATTGTTTCAATGTGGATTTTAAAGGGACATATACATTCAAACCATAGCTACTTGATATCAAACCAATATTCTACTTGAAAGTAACTGATGGGGAACAGATAGTAGCAAGAGCTACCATGAGTTCAGCAACACTTTGATATTTTACTACTTTTAAGAATATCTCCAGAAATCATAGCATTATTAATATCTATATTTGCAAATAATTTTATTTATTCTGAATAAAGGTAGCATTTAATGTGCATTATAGGCTTTTTACTTAGTTTTAAAACCCCTTATAGTCAGGTGGGCTAGAGATTGAAAGTCACTATTCTAATCCAGTTCCTTCCCAACTTCTTGTATTATCTTGCATCAAGGAAGTCCTATTCCTCACTGGTCACTCTTGAAGTATGTCCTCTATATTCATGGTTCCAAAACTGGAGTTCCTGGGAGGATTCCAGGGAAACCATCTCTATATATTTTGAAATGTGGTAGTGAACACATGGGCTTCTTACAAACTGGTAATTCCCAAAGCTGTGTGCAAATTTTCCTAACTGAAGTTGCTGTTTCAGGAAAGAGACAATATGAAATTTATGAAAATATAATCTTTTTGAAGTGTTTAAAGACTTGTGAATTAGAATGTTTTGTCAAGAGTTCCAAAGAAAATTATACATTACTCTGATGCTGGGACACCTTAAAAAGTCAGAATATAAATTGGTTTGAGTGATATGATATATAAAAATAGGCATTTCTTCAGCTTAAGCTATAGTCCCACAAAAATGTTTTCCTTTATAAGAAAGAACAAAAGTTATAAAGTACGGAGGAGAAAAATGATTACCAGAATTTTCTTGTCTTAAATCAAATCACCACCAGAGAGCTATAAAAGTGTCTTTTGTGCTTTCCCAAGCATTAATAAGAATGTTTATGATTGGAAAAATTCATTTCCAAATATTTTTATGTATTTACTTTGCCATATGTTTGAAACTAGGCTTCTAACTGTCTCCTTGGATACATCAGTGAGTTTACAACAGTGATTATTTCCAAAGGAATCTTGGAGAAATACA
The DNA here is from genome assembly GCF_000001405.40 of Homo sapiens. Taxonomy (NCBI): domain Eukaryota; kingdom Metazoa; phylum Chordata; class Mammalia; order Primates; family Hominidae; genus Homo; species Homo sapiens. Next base: position 94,370,918 of record NC_000004.12, on the reverse strand, counting down.
AGAAAAATAACAACAAATGAAACAATACATGTGTGGTTTTCAAATGTGGACAGGTTTAATATTAAGTGAAGTGTTTGGTTTACTTTCCCTTTTGTAAAACCTTAGGAACAATTTTAACCGTAAAAGTTAACTAGAGATCACCTAATGGTATGTATTGGAATTAAGTTAGCATTCCGACGTATATTAGACAGCCTAAAAAGTCTTTAAGCTCAATTTACGAATAGCCCTTACACAGGAAAAATTGCCAGTGCTGAGCACAGAGATTCTTATTTCCTTCCAGTTGCTGATCTTGAGACCTCACTTCCTTTTCTTCCTCTATCCCCGTTCCTACCCTTATGCTAGCTCAGATTCCTCACACCCATTTCCCTAGTACTACTTCAGTGGAGAGTGTGTGGGAAGAGATGGCTGAGGGCAAGGAAGGAAGGGAAGGTGACCCTCTGAAAGCTCTGCTTGTCCTTTCCATTCCACTACTGGGCTCATCTTATCTGCAGGGTCTCAGTACTAGTGTACTATCTCCTGCCTCATTCAGAGCCTCCAGCCTATCCGACTGCATCACTTCCACTCCAGCTCCAATGGTGAAATGCTCAGGATTGCTTTTCTTCTGGAAAAAGAAATGTCTGAGGAACAATTTTGAATAGATGCTCTTACTTTAATCCATTAAGAACAGTACCTAAAAAGCCAACATTATCACTAAAGTGGTCCTTCCTTCCTTCCTTTTGCACAAATCCACTTTCATTTATTGAGTTTTCATTAGTTTAAATCCTTGAGGGGTGCAGCATCACTCGGACTCTGTGTCCAATAGCTTTAGCGGTAAGGTTGCTTTGGAATTTGGCATGAACCATGCCACTGTTTCCGTGGGCCAGAGTTACCTTTCCCCAGATTACTCTGGTTTTGTTCGGTTTGCCATCAGGAGTCACTGTGTTGTTCTTTGCTTTGTATACATAAACACATCTCTTGCTCAAATAGAATTCTGCTTCATCTCGGGAATAAACACCTTCAATTTTAAGAAGAGCTGTGTGCTCCCTTTGGTTCCAGAGACCCCGCTTATAGACCGCAAAATGGCTTGGACAACAGCCTTCCAGATATATTTCCTTTTAGAAGTCCTATTCCCAGCAGGCCTCCATAGGATCCAAGATGGCGGGAGAGAAAAGTGGTCTTGTATTTTCTTACAGTGTATAAGTTAAGGAAGATAAATAGGAGGCAGAGGAGGGAGTCTTCCTTATCAAAACGGAGGGCATGACTGGTAAAATTAGAGATGTAGATAGGTTAAAGTGATCACTTCACATAAAATAAGGAATGGTTAAATTTATTAGTGGATTCTCTCTTCCTTCCTCCCTCTCTTCCTTTCTTTCATTTTTCTTTCTTTCCTTTCTTTTATTGTCTTAACAAATATTTACAGAGATCTACTATATACTAGGCACTGTGCTGTGTTCTAGGTTTACAAGATTTAAAGGAAATAATTATGCTGCATTCGTCAGCATATTAAAATTTTCAGCAGCTCAACATAATAGTGGTTTATTTCTTGCTTATGTCAAAGTCTTATTAGGTGTTTTGGATATGCTGATTCAGAGCTTCTGGTCTCCTAGAAGTCCACCCTTGGATACTTCGCACTTAGCAGGCTCATAAGTAAAAAGAGCACTTGAGGAAACGATAGCATGTGATGTTTTGTGGCCAGGCCTGGATGTGGAGTGCATGATTTCTACCATTCCACTAACAAGAACCCAGTTGTGTAGCTCTACCACAAGTGCAAGGGAGGCTGAGGAATGTAATCATCTCATGTGACCAGGAAGAGAAAATGAAATTAGTGAATATCTAGCCAGTCTCTGCTACATATGCCCTTGTGAAATTTAAACCTATGTAATCACAAAACAATGCAAAGAATAGTTCCTGGCACCTACTAGGCATTGTCTAACTAAATTTATTGGATGAAAAAGTGAGAGTGACTGGAGGATAGGGTGTGATGAGGTGAGATGGAGAAAAATAGTTGGAGTTGTATAAGAAGTTGGATAGGTTTCCAGTTTTTTCCAATGAGGGATTTTCTTAGAAATTTGGGTGAGACAATTCTTGGTTGTCTTAACTCCTTTTTTCATTACAAGCACTTTCAATGTGTCAAGTGCTATTATGAATGCTTTCTATATATTTAACTCATGTAATCTGCACAACAATCTTATGAGATAAATACTACTACTCCCATAATGATAAGAAAATTGAGGCACAAAGAACAGTAACTTTCTAGTCACACGCCAGTCATTGTGACAAGGAAGACACTCCACATTTCCAAGTGCTGCTTAAGGATAGAGTACTTGTCAACCTGGTTGACAACATCTAGATGTTATTTCACTGTTATTGGATTTCTATTCTTGCAGTTGAGAACTTAGTTAATCTGTATTTTAAGATGATCTGTATTTTAAGATGATCTGTATCTTATCTCTGGCTACTCTTAAGATCTTATTTTTGATACTTTGAAATTCCTCTATAGTATAATGTGCATATTTCTTTTTATTTATTCTTTGTTAGATTAGTTAGCTTTCTGACTCTGAGGATTGATTTCTGTCATCATTTCTGGAAAATTTTCAGCCATTATCTCTTTAAATTTTCTCTCTAGTCTCTTTCTCTTTGTTGAACTTCAATTAGATGCAGGTATGATTTTCTCTATCTATTCCATACGTTTCTGATCTTGTTCTTCCATATCTCCTAGATCCTTGAGTCTCTAGATTACGTTTGTTATAATTTCTTTAGCTCTACTTTCTTCCAATTTACTAATTCTCTTTCAGTCATTTCCAATCTGCAATTTAACCAAAACATTGATTTGCTAATGTCAATTATTATATTTTTCATTTTTGACACTTCTTTTGACAATTTTTACAATTATTACAATTTTGACAATTATTAATCAGTTTTGATAATTTGCTCTTTCATCATACTTTCAATGAATTTATTTTATATCTTTAAATATACTAAACAAACTTATTTCATATTTTCCTTTGTTAACAATTCTAACATTTATAGTTTTAAAGACTTTAACATAGGAGTTTGTTGTTTCCGTTGACTTTCACTCATGGTGTCTTGTTTTAATTTTTATTTAGTAATTTTTTCTTATGAGTTGATTTTCCCTGGAACTTTGGGAGAATTATTTGTTATTTGAGTTTAATGTACCTTTTTTCAGAGAACACTACAATCTGGAATTACTTTAAATTTTTTATTGTGTTTTTTGGGAGAGGGGCAAATATTATGAATTTAGGCAACAAACCCATATGAGGGCAGGCTTGTGATTACAAATTATTAGGAGAAATTTTCTTTTTTTTAATCTTCTCAGAATGTGGCAGCTATCTTTCTCTGTGAGGACCATTATTTTTTCTTATTTTACCTAATATAGATACCGTCCTTTAAGTGTACTGACTTTATGCCAAGATCTCTGTCCCAAACCTGTATTCTGGTCAGAACCCCAGGTTTGTCTCGTGGCCTTATTAGTGGTCCATTAAAGCCCAGTGGAGCAAGACAGCTGAATAGAAGCCTCCAGTGATCATACTCTGCCCACTGCAGGGACACCAAATTGAGCAACTATCCGCACAAAAGAGCACCTTCTTCAGAACCAAAAATCAGGTGAGTGATCACAGTACCTGATGTTAATATACCAAAAATAACAAAACCAGAGGAATCACGTTACCTGACTTCAAATTATACTACAGAGTTACAGTAAGCAAAACAGTATGTACTGGCATAAACACACACACATAAACCAGTGGAACAGAATACAGAACCCAGAAATAAATTCATACATCTACAGAGAACTCATTTTCAACAAAGATGTCAAGAATATACATTGGGGAAAGGACAATCTCTTCAATATGTGGTTCTGGGAAAACTGGATACCCATATGCATAAGAATGAAACTAGACCTCTATCTCTCACCATATACAAACATCAAATCAAAATAGATTAAAGATCTTGGACTGTGAAACTACTAAAAGAAAGCATTGGGGGAAATTCTCTAGAACATTGGACTGGGCAAAAATTTCTTGAGGAATACCAAGACAGCACAGGCAACAAAGCAAAAATGGACAAATGGGATCACATCAAATTAAAAAGCTTCTGCACAGCAAAGGAAACAACAAGGAGACAACCCACAAATTGGGAAAAAGATTTGCAAACTGTCCATCTGACAAAGGATTAATAACCAGAGTATCTAAGGAACTCAAATAACTCTATAGGAAAAAATATAATAATCTGATTAAAAATGGGCAAAAGACCTGAACAGACATTTCTCAAAAGAAAACATACAAATGGCAAAAAGGTATATGAAAAGGTGCTCAAATCACTGGTCATTAGAGAAATGCAAGTTAAAACTACAATAAGATATCATCTTAACGCTAGTTATAATGGCTTTTATCCAAAAGACAGGAAATAACAAATGCTGGCAAGGATGTGGAGAAAAGGGAATCCTTGTATACTGTTGGTGACAATGTAAATTTGTACAACCACTTGGAGAACAGTTTGGAGGTTCCCTCAAAAAACTAAAAATGCAACTACCGTTTGAACCAACAATCCACTGCTAAGTATTTACCTAAAAGAAAGGAAACCAGTGTATTGAAGAGATATCTTCACTCCCATGTTTATTGCAGCACTATTCATAATAGCCAAGATTTGAAAGCAGCCTTAGTCTCTATCAACAAATGAATGGATAAAGAAAATGTGGCACATGTATACACAACAGAATACTATTCAGTTATAAAAAAGAATGAAATCCTGTTATTTGTAACAACATGGATGGAACTGGAAGTCATTATGTTAAGTGAAATAAACCAGTCACAGAAAGACAAACTTTGTATATTCTCACTGATTTGTGGGAGCTTTAAAAAAAAGTAAAACAATAGAATTCATGGAGTTAGAAAGCAGAATGATGGTTACCAGAGGCTTGGAAGGGTAGCGGAGGTGGAGGAGGAAGGGGAGATGGTTAATGGGTACAAAAATATAGTTAGAATAAAAAAGATCTAGTATTAATAGCACAACAGGATGATTAAAGTCAACGATAATTTATTGTACATTTCAAAATTCAGTTATTTTAACTAAACTTTTAGTTATGTGTATAACTGGATGTTTGTAACCTCAAAGAAAGGATAAATGAGGAGGCATAGATGGCATAAATGATGGCCAAATAGAAGCCTCCAGCAATTGTTCCTCCTACAGGAACACCAAATTGGAAAACTATCCACCCAAAAAACACTTTCTTAAGAACCAAAAATCAGTCCTGTGACCCAGCTATGTGAGCTAGCCTGTTACCCTGTGGAGAGACCCATATTACAAGAAACTGAGGGCAGCCAACAAGTACCTGATGCCCTTAGTCCAACAGCTCAAGAGGAACTCAATCTTGCTAACAACCATTGTACAAGGAAAATAGAAGTCTTCTCATCATAAAATAATTTTGTGGAAAGTATCCAATGTAAATATAACATATAAAATGCAAAATCATGAAGGAAGTGATACTAAAGACAAGAATGTAAGGCTCATTCTCAGAAATTATAGTGTTGCAAGGCTTATTTTAAAGGAGTTTTTGAATTTTACACCGAAACAAAGTAATCCAAAAGAAAAAAGGATAAATACCTGAAGTGATGGATACCCCATTTACCCTGATGTAATTATTATGCATTGTATACCTGTATCAAAATATCTCATGTACCCCATAAATATATACACCTATTGTACTCACAAAAATTAAAAAAAATTGCTCACTTTCCATGTTCTTATTATTTCTAATCTCTGAAGGGTTCTTTAATTCCTCTGCCAGAATTAATCAATAATCCTTTTTGAAAAGTATTTTATACAATATTGTTCAGTGCTTCCTACTAGGAATAATTCTGTGAACATCAGACTGCCATATTTCTGGAAACAGAGGTTAGGGCTGGATATCTTATCAGACCTTAAAGTCTTCACCTGCTGTATACTGTATGCCTGCTTATGTGAAATCACTGATATACAATATGTTTTAAACAATCATAAATGGACAACACGTGAAAAGATCTCTGCAAAGGAGCCATAAATGGAAAATATTAAAAATGCAAGCACAGACAGACAACGAGGAAATTACAAAGCTGACTTTCTTCCTGCCCATCTTTGACCAGCTATGTTAAGAGATAAAAAGCAAATGATAATCTAATTGAATATGAGAGGAAGTAGTCTAATAAAATTAGTCAAACAATCAAGAAGGCCATTTGAGAGATGAATTTAATCTACTATCGTTAGCAATAAGGCCTGTGCTAAGCGATAATTATACTAGATATCCTACTAGATATTAGATAATTATAGTAATATATGATTTTACAGAGAGGCAATACATATTTGCATGGTTTCTTTTTCCTTACTTTGTTTAGTCATAGCTGATTTTTTAACAAGTTTGGAGACCACTGCTGTAATCAACTGGATTCCTTTTCTGTATGCAATAAAGAGCTACGAAAGGTTTTGAGCCAAAGAATAACAGAATTATTTTGCTATTTGGAAAGATTAATTTAATTGTACAAATCAAGATAAATAAGAAACAGCAAGAGTGGAGTGAGGAAGACCAGTCTCTAATAATATAACTTAATGTTCAGGATAGCTTCCTTTTCTGTGTCCTCAAATACAGTTTGATGGCAATTTCCATCAAACCTGAAGTCTGATTGTCAGTTCAATTAAAATTACCATTAGTTATGGCACGCCATTGAGTTGGCTTTCTTAACCTTGCTTTAAAAATCATGATCCAAAACAATTTATGTTAAAAAAACTAACTGTGCTTCATAATCATGACCCAAAAAAGTCAAACAAGTGTTCAAACATAACTTTAAAAACATGATTACCAGCAGTCATGGAACATAGTACATAATAATTAATTGAATTTGTTTTAAGATTATAATTGCTACAGCCAGTGTGTTGTGGTCCAGACTAAGAGAGTGAAACTTGTAGAAGAAAATTTAGCAGTTTTGGAGTTTGTTTCTCTGTGAGATGGTTCATATTCATTCACACAATTTATGATTCCTGTTTATTTCTTTTGAGGAGATAAAAATCAGGAGAGGCGGTGTGTGGTGGCTCACATCAGTAATCCCAGTGCTTGGGAGACTGAGGTAGGAAGACCGCTTGAGCCCAGGAGTTTGAGTTACGATGAACTATGATGGTACCACCACACTCCAGCCTGGGCGACAGAGACAGACCTTGTCTAAAAGCAAAAATAGAGAAAGTCAGGAGACTAGGACAATTTACAGTTATGTGTCTTCACAGCATTATAGTTAGGTAAGTAAATGCAGACTCAACATGACAATCCTGGACCTTTTTGCACATTGTTATGTACTTTTTCTCCGAGCAGCCCACAGGAAACGCAAGGCTGTATCACTTTTATCACCAACAGTGTTGACACCCTGAGTTTCTTGCTAAGGGTGTCTATATTTTTTCTCTGGAATAAAAGCTATAATTGATGGAAGAATTAGAGTTAAAGAGATAAGAGAAAAAAAGGTTCTAAAAGGAAATGAGTCTAGTTTGATTTTTTTTTTTTTTTTTAGATAAAAGATAAAGGAGCCGGAAAAAGAGGTCTGTGACTAAGCTTGTTTAACATGGTAACAGTGAGGGTGGTCACATTCTTAGTTGGTCATTAAATATTTTGGTAGGTTGAGAATGAAGAAAAGCAAACACAATCAAGGAAATCAAGAAGATATTTTACTCCCTGGCACAAAAAATACGAATGATTCTCAATCCATTAAGTAATTCCAAATTAAAGGTTTTTCTGAAAAAAATTAACTTCATATGAATTTTATAGCAGAGCAAAATAAGACAATTTAACATGAATGCACAACCGATGATGAAAAAGTAGCATTTTATTATCTTTCCTATAATCTGTTACTCTTATTTTTTCTATAAGATTCAGACCTGAAGTGAATCTGCAGGCCTGAATTTTAGGTTGGCTATTTTCTAACTAGTGTACTTGGACAAGTCACCTATTCTTTCTGTGCTTGGATTCTTTATTTGTAAAATAGAGATTATAATAGTACCAATTTTATGGGGTTGTTGGGAGGAGTCAATGAGAAAATACACTTGAAATACTGAGAAAATTATCTAACAGGTAGTAGACAAGGTAGTCAATAAATGTAGTAAGTGTAGTCAATAAATGTTAGCTACTATTATTATTTCTGAGACATCAGAAATAATAATAATAATCAGGGTCAAATGCCAAAGGAAACTTAATTGAATTGTGAGATAGCAATTCATTATTTATGCAAATTATTTTTTCAAAGGCACCGAGACTATAACTGCAGAGCACTGCATTGGATTACCTTTCCCAGAGACAACTATCGCATTGTGCTCTGGACACAATGTGTGGTCAAACCAAAAATTCTTTCCTTCCCTTAACTCTTCATATGTTCCTCTCCTCCTCTGTAAGCTACAAACAGACACAAGAATAGGATCTGACTTGATTCTCCTCTGAATTCCCAGAGCCTATCACAATACCGGCACTTTGTAAATGCTTACTAGATGTTGTTCAAACAAATGATTGATAATGACCACATTTGTATTTTGCCTTTGAATTTTTTTCTGAGCACCAGATGCACAGAACCATATATCAATTAGATATTTCCACTTGGATTTCTCACAATTACCTCATGATGAACCTCTTAGTGGGCTCTTCACTTGGCTTTTTTTTTTTTTTTTTGTCTTGGCGTCATGCAACAGATACCTAAGGCACGTGTTTTCATAATGTCACTGTTTTCTTCCTGTCTCTGGGATTTGCTCTTTCCTCTCCATTGCATTGCAACAGTTTCCTCTTGTCTCTTTGCACCCCGTCATTAGTCTTTACAGAGCTCTCTTCCCATCCCAGAGTCCAACACATTCTCTTACAGAGCATTCTTCCTAAAATGCAAATCTAATAATGACACTTTTTTTTTGTATAAAATCATCCAGTGTCATCCATAAAAGACTGGCTAAAATTTTAATTCCTCAATATGGCATAGTAGGCATATTTTTTTTCTCCTATCTATATCCAGTTTCCCCTTTCTCATTTTCCAGCTTACCCAGACATCCTGGGTTGTTTGCAGTCTCTGAACAGTTCCTCTATGCTCACAGACCTGGGATTTTAAAATATGCTGCTCTCACCTCATGGAGCATTCCCTTCTCCCCTTTACCTAGTCAATTCTAAAGTTTGTATCTCCTCCTTTGGGAAATATTTTCTAGTCTCCATATATTCATTTTCCACTCTATGCTCACCTCTACCACATTCCCAGTTGTATAACTGTCTTTTCACTTCCATGCACCCATTATTAGACTATTAGTTCTTGAGGCGAGAAGAAGGAGCATTAAATAGGGAGTCAGGAGAGGTAGCCTCTACTCTCAGCCTTGCAACCAACACTTAGTTCCATCATAGACAAAGTATGAATGATGCTGGATCTCAGCTTTTCTTGCAGGTCTTACCTAGATTATCTTTATATGGAATCTAAGTAGTTCCATACAGAACATTTAAAAATATATTTGTGATATCTTTTATTCTATCGCATTTCTGCAAACACTGATTTCCATTTGACAAAGTCACTTCAGCAATCCTTATTGGCTGCAAGTCACAATCTACAAGGAGACCATGACCCAGAAGCAAAGCAAGTGAATCAGAAACACCTTTCTGCCCTCTACCATATAATTTTCCCTAACTAAAGTAAGTATTGTAAAGGCTCAAAACAAAATAAAGCAAAAACAACTATGAGTTTTGTAATGTATGAACATAGGGTGTTAAGAGGCAAATGCCAAGAGAGGAAGCTGGATACAGGTAGGAAATTTATGAGGATGTGCCTGGATTATAGTGTAAGGATTAAGAGCAATGATTTTAAAGACAGACTGCTTGGGTTCAAGTCCATATTATTTTCATTATTAGTTGTGTAATTGTGAGCAAGTTCTGATCCTCAGTTTTCTTACTTATCAAATAGGAATAATAATAGTAGTAGTAATAATTAAAAATAGTAAAAAATAATAGTAGTGGTAAAATACTTATAAGAATAACAGTAGTAGTAACAATAATACAAAACCCCATAGTGCAGTTATGAAAATTAAATATATTAATTAATATGAAGTACTTAGAACAATGCCTACTGCCAGTAAGTTATGTTAGCTAAGAGTATTGCTAAGATGTAATCAAAGACAGTAACTTAATCAAATCACAAAATAGGGCCACTGTATCTATCTCAAAAGAAAAAGTCAATGATGTTCTTAAGAACTGATATATTTGATTGGAGATCATTCAGTAATAATTGATTGAAATATTAACTAGAATCATCAACATAAATGGTGGCATTCTACATAGGGTGCCACTAGTTATATATATGACTATACTGGAGAAGATGATGAAATTTTTCTTTGAAAACAACCAAAACGCTTAAGTATCACTGACCAGGAATTGAAACATTTCTTTTGTTATAAGCCTTTGGAATTTAGTTGAGTAGTGATCATTTTATGCAGATCAGATTTAAACACATATTTAAATTAATAAAATACCAATAACCAACTAGAATTAAATTGTTCATAACAGAAAATTATTTAAATAAAAATTCAACAAAATGAAACAAAAAAATTCAGTAATTATGCATAGACTCACTGCATAATAGCCTGTCTCACCACACAAACACACACACAAAACCACGTGGAAAACAATATCCTGATTCTGTGATGGATGAAAACCTAGGTCAAATTTATGTTAAAAGCAAACAGCCACTTGGCTTAAGAATCCTGGCTGAGATACTTGACAATAATCTCCAGGATCTTAGGACCATCAACTCTGTATTAAGCATTGATCCCAATGGCCTAAAATTGAACGTCATTTGAGCTGTGCACATACTTTGGCTTGAAGATGGACATTGAACCATTAATTAGTTTTCCATGCAAACATTTTTTGTAAGGTTTGGACATCAGATAAAGCAGTCCAACATTTTTCAAATTAAAAGCATTCATATGACATCTCTGGGGGAATAACTGGCAAATACAAATACAAGTATCGAACACACATGCTAGAAAGACAACAGGCATTTTGCTTTGCGCTTATGATAATGACTTAATTCAAAACCGAGCTCAGTTTGGACAGTATGTTTACTTATTTGTTTATTTCAATGAATCGGAAAGGACATGAGTTATATTTTCTGTATCCAATAAATGTTATTATTTAAAACTAAGCCAAATACATTCAGAAAGATTTTGGCAGGCGCTAAAGAGTCACTGGTGTGGTAGTCACTCAAGGCTCAAACCAAATAACATATGATGAAAGTTCAAGCTCAATTTGGAGAATATTTTTAAGTTCTGGTTTAACTCAGGATGGAAAGGTTTTTTTTTCAAATATTTTTATTGTGATAAAATATACATAACAAAAAATTTACTTTTTTAACCATTTCTAAATGTATAGTTTAGGGACATTACACTGTGTACATTCAAACTGCTGTATAGCCATCACCACTATCCATTTTCAGATCTTTTTCACTATCCCAAAGGATGAGTAGCTTTAGAATATATACACGTTTGGCTTTTTCCCATTTGATTCCTTATAAATGTCTTTTGGAAGAAACTCTTGATTACTTCACAGTTCCTTTAAAGAATGTGTATCTGAGTTTACCATATGAGTTCAATTTGTTCAAATGGATGCTTTGCTGTTTGTTTTTTAATTCTCTGCTTGGGATCACTAATAAATAGCCCTACTGCGCATAAGGCTTAAGGCAGTCCCAATGAGCAGAAGGTTACCTTGGATTATATTTCCATTCAGTGTGAAACAGTGTAAGAATTAAAAAATAGTGTCAGTACTTAGGCACCTGAATGATCAATATTCCACTTCATCAAATAATTTTTGGATCTATTGCCACAGTGATCCCATTTTTTAAAGACACATCTTGAAAAAAGGTGAAAGAAAGAAAACCAATGGTTTGAGGCTAAGAATTCAGTCTCTATCTCTCTAACCAAGCTAAATAACCATACGTTTCATTTCAAGACCACTGGCCTCCAAATATTAGGCATAGAATTAATAGAGCTAATGGATGACTACTTGAATTTGGAGTAAAGCTTTATGCTTTGAGTTTAGCTTGGGACAGGCATTACAATTTTACTGAGTTGGCTAGAGGGTTAGTGAGATTACCTTGATACTGACTCTGATTTAGAAGCTAGTTCCATAGAGCCTGATAATCCATAAATGACATGGAGTGTAACACCCACAGAACTCTAGAACATCAGGGAAAGCCAAGCTCCAGGTTGTTTCTACTTCACATAGACTTCTTAGGTGTGTAACCCTTGAGGGAAGGAAACTTGCTTATTTTGCGCACCACTGATTTCTGGAATAGTGCCAGGCAGATAGAAGGCACTCAAGAAATAGTTCTAGACTGAAAGAATATCCCACCCCACCAGCTCCCCACACCCCACCCCCTCCAACAGACACACACATCTCTTGTTTACAACAGCATGAAGGTACAAATGAGGTCATGTTAACATCAATTTTTCCAAATTTAACAGGCTCTGTGCCTCACCTTCTTGACTGACAGTTATTAGCATCCCTCTTCCAAAATCTTCAGTTTTTTGTAACATCCCCAGAGTATGTCTCACATGTGTGTAAGAACAAGTCTGGTCTGGTTCTCCTGACTTGCCTTCCTTGTTGCTGCTGCCTGTTACCTACAAGCACCTTGAGGGAGTGTCTCCTCATGATCACTGCCTTAGCTAAACAATGTGAGAATGGGAAAATGTTGCTGCCTTCAACAAGGGTGCATGTCCTGATGCTCCTGCAACTGAGAAATCTTGGGATGGCAAATGGTACAAGAAATAGAATCCTCTCCTCATCCCAACTCAGTGCTACACTTTGACACAGAGATCCAAAGCAGTACTCACAAAATTGTTTATGAAAAGACCCCCATTCTCTGCTTCCTGCAACCCTACAAATCTAGTTTTGGGGCCAGGCAAGGAGAACACAAACCTGAGTTTTCTCTGTCTTCCTATCCCTTTTCTTTCACTCACTGATAGACTGATAGAAAAATGTTCTCCTCTCATGCTTATGAAATAATTCAAGTCAATATCTTGGATGAAGGGCTGACTCATTGACCCAATGCCTGCAGCCAGACTCTGAATCCTAGCTTGGGATCTGCTGAGATACCCCATCAAGTTGTAGAACAATTTGTTTTCATTAAATGAATCATCGTTGATAGAAAAGTTACAATTCAGATTGACTTGGCATAAGTCACGTATCCATCTCTGTGTTTGGGAAGGTAGAGCAATGTGATGGAAAGCCCCATTAGAACCCAGTGGAATGGGGAAAGGGGATGCTAGATTGTTGAGAAAATAACAAGACCCACTATTTTCTTTAATTAGAATTAATTTTATGATAAACTGGGCGTGGTGGCATGCACCTAGAATCGCAGCTACTTGGGATGCTGAAGTGGGAGGATCTCTTGAGCCCAGGAGTTCAAGTCCAGCCTGGGCAACATAGCAAGAATCTGTCTCTTAAAATAAAAATGTATGATAAACTAAAAAGACATTTCTTTCTCATCTAATGGGCTTGAAATCAGATAATCACTAAAACTATGCCTAGAACATTTCTTTCTTCAAAGGCTGGACATTAAAAATTTGGATTTACTAAGAGAACTATAAAATACAGCAACACCTGTAGTAGGAAGTGTCTCACGCAATGCCAAGAGCATAAAAAAAAGTGTACAAATCCCTGTGTTATCAGAAGGCCCTGCATGTTGGGCATCTATTATTTGCTGTCCAGCATCATCCTCTGCTTTCTGGAAACAGCATCCTAAAACTACAACCCCCATTCCCAGCCAAGTGGTTGGCGTAGGATTGATCTTTGGATCTGGAGTGAGCCTTTATTGGTTTTCCCTGATCACCATACCCTCCACCACCACTCAGGACACAGTGATTGGTTCAGAGATGAGCACATAACCCAGTCACCCAGGAGCAAGGTACGGCTTTTGTGGGCCCTGGGTACTTTTGCCTACGTGGACACCTTCCTCCATACAAAAAAATTAAAAATCTTATTTTAAATGGCACTGATATAGATACATTGATATTGTTAATAAGACATTTTCCTTGAACTAGAAGTGTTTTTTTCATTTGATTTTGAAAGAAATTAAAACATTTTTCATAGGCCCCTGAAAGTATTGCAGGCCCTAGGCACAGGGCCTTGCAGTCAGGCAGTGAGATTCTAGATGACATTTGCCAGGCCTCTGGGAAACAGAAGCCTTCTATTCTGCTGGATTTGGTGGCAAAAGACCTTTGGGCTTGCACCTGCTCAGATATTTTCAACCACAAGGGGTAATCTCGGAGTAGCTGGAAGCCATGAGGAGGAAGCTGGGAATGGCACTAACTTTATATAAGCAGAACCGAGGGATGAAGCTGGTGATAACAGCATGAGATCAGGCAGCCATTTCTATATCCAATACAATTCTTTTTTTATTTTTTTCTGAAGTCTGTGTAATTTGGGGTTGCTGTTGAACAGGGTCCTCCCTGAAACAACTGCCTAATGAAAACTTAAAAAGCAAACACTGCTTGTGTTGTTACTGTAGGCATGTTATGGAAGAGGCTCGATAATTCCATTTAACATTTTATGATGTCTTAGTGCAACTTCACTGCTTTCTTTTCATAGTTCTTTTCTTTCTCTGATTCATATTGGTCAGAGCGATTGTTTACAAATGAAATGTACTCCTGTTGCTTCCTTACTTAAAATCCTTCAGTGATTCCTCACTGCCTGGGGTACAAGCTCCATGAGGTTCAGTCTGGTGGGTTAGGCTCAGACAACACCTGCCTCCCACCAGGATCCCTGCTTTACATAGAGATTGGAATGTCTTCTTCACTCTTACTTCTGTGCCTTTACTTGAACCTTCCCTCTGCCTGAATGCTTTTCTTCTTTCCCACACTTTCTCATCTTCAAGTTTTGGCTTAAGTATTACATAGCTATTGCTCAATAAAAGTTTATCAAGTTGACTATATCTAAACTCTAAAAGAGAGTTGAGACTTAGTTGGGCTTATTGATCATAAATGCACTGTTCCTATGACTGTGTTTAAACATACAGTTAAGGCTTAGTTCTCTATACATATATAAGAAATAGTGGGTAGAGCATGCTATTAGCAACTGACAGAGTTCTCAAGGAGAAAAGTTTACATGTAGTTTCCACAGGCTTCTTTCTTTCCATCATGCCATGAGAGACTTGCTATGGTCTGACCTGTGCTTGCTTTTCAGACTCATCTACCTGGAGCTAGATGCTAGCTAGAACTCTGGCCCTGATCAATACTAACTTACCTCAAAGGCATTTTTCTATTGGGAAGACTTTCCTCCATCCTTAGCAGTCAATTATCTTTCTCTCTGTTATCCTTGAATCTTTTTTTGTTTTTCAGACGAAGTCTTGCTGTGATGCCCAGGCTGGAGTGCAATGGCATGATCCCGGCTCACTGTAATCTCTGCTTCCTGGGTTCAAGCGATTCTCCTGCCTCAGCCTTCCAAGTAGCTGGGACTACAGGCATGCGCCACCAAGACTGGGTAATTTTTGTATTTTTAGTAGAGATGGGGTTTCACCATGTTGGTCAGGCTGGTCTCGAACTCCTGACCTCAAGTGATCTGCCCGCCTCGGCCTCCCAAAGTGCTGGGATTACAGCTGTGAGCCATTGCACCAGGCCTATCCTTGAACTTTTAACTAACTGTTAATATTGCAGATGCTTATGCCACATTAGAGAAATAACTAGCAAATTTGAGCCTGGCTATTAATTCCTCTTCCTTGTCACTACATATGTAAACATTGCATTTTACTGAGACCAGTTTCCTACCTGCTGTTTTGTTTTGCTTTCTCTTGGCTGTTTTCTTTACTTTTATTTTCCACAGTCTTACTGTTCCCAAGGAGGCTTATCAATCTGCATTTTAAATATGAATAAAGCTTGATTTTTTTTCCTATTCTTTTAGATAAGAAATATAATGGAAATGGATTTCTTCTCATGTCCTAGTGGACTATCTTTTGCACTCCCTGGGTGCATGCACCTCACTTTGGAGATCATGGGTCTGTGCCTGTTATTAGCTAATGTCTCCCAGCTGCAAATCTACCCTTCTGTGCTCAGCTGGGACTGAGCGGGGGCTCTGCCAATCACATTTCTCCTTGGCCAGCTAGCTGTCTATTAGATTTTGTCAGTAGAGGACACTACAGGGAGATGTCAAGGCTGGAAGAGGAAGAAGGGAATTGCCGTTTCCTGTTTCTCCGTGTTTGTTTGCTGTACCTCTCGGTGTCAAGCATCACCCTAGCAACAATTCTTCACCCTGTAAGAGGCAGTTCATTCTAGTAGCAGCCCTTGATCTCAGCTCTCCGTTCTTCCAACCCTTGTAGGACCAGCCTCACTGTGCCTCTCAGGGACACTATCAGCAGCTGACCTGCATCCCTCCTCAGAGGTCTGTGTCGCAACCTCATGGGCCCCTCCTCAGGTGTCTGAGCTTCAGTGACATGGGGCATCTCCTTCAAGCTTATAAGTTTAAATAATGTCAACCTCTTTCCCTTTGTTCCTGTAGGCCAGGAGAGGTGAGTTGCTTCCTGTGTATGCTAACCTCCATGGTATTTAAAGGTGCTCTTTTAAACTTTCTAGTCCTTCAATACTTAGTATTTCCTTTTCTTAAGTTTTCTTGGTTAAAATAACTGGTGTGGTCATGGTCTCCTGATTGGACTGTGACTGACCCTATCTTCCTCCATGGTTCTTTGGAGATTGTCCATGGCTTCAGTGTCCTTATATCAGGCTTATCTTGCCACATACCCTGGTTACACTGGGTTCATGTTGACCTCAAAATTCCAAGTTTAGCCTTATGGTCAACAATTATCTCAAAATGACTGTTGTAATTAATTTATGTGTCAACTTGGCTGGGCCACGGGGTGCCCAAACATTATTCTAGCTATTTCTGTGAGGATGCTTCTAGATAAGATTAACATTTAAATTGGTGTACTTTGAGCAAAGCAGATTGCCCTCCATAATATGGTTGGGCTTGATCTAATCAGCGGAAGGCCTCAGTATAGCAAAAAGACCAGCCTCTCCTGAGCAAGAGGGAACACTCCAGCAGATGGTCTCCAGACTTCACCTGCAACATTGGCTCTTCCTGGCTCTACAGCACATTGCTCTTAAACGGGAACTACAACATTGGCTCTCCTGGGTCTCCTGGACTTGCCACTTTCCACAGTCATGCAAACCAATTCCTTAAAATAAACCTCTTTTTATATCTATGCACGTTGGTTCTGTTGGTTCTATATTTATTGGTTCTGTTTCTCTGGAGAACCCTGACCCAATACAATGACCATTAAATATTTCATGAAGAAATGGCTGTTCTGACTTTGCCTCCTAGTACAGTCTGCTATACTGGCTGATAACGGTGGAAGCTGCTACTTCTCTTGCCAACCTTAGCAACTATTTGCGGGCAAAGTGTTCTTAGTATACCTCTTTCCCTGAAAAAAGAGCAGTATATTTTTTTCTCTACGTTATTTTCTTTTTCTTTCTTGTATTTTAAAATATCTCCTCTTTTTGTAAGTTGACAGGAGCACATTGATATTTAGAGAAAAACTTCGCAGCATTATGTTGCTGCCGTAATGCTGCATAACAAATTCTCAGTGGCTTATAACAACAAACATTTTAGTGTCCTCATTCACAAGTCTACAGGGCAGCTGGGATGGCTTCTTACAAGAATGCCCTTCTTATGTCACATCACAGGAGTGGAAGAGGAAAATCCAAACTGTGAAAGCACATTTAAAGCCTCTGGTTGCATCACATCTAGTATTACACTCTGGGCACAGCAAATCACATGGCCAAGTTTCCAGCCAAATGATGAGAAAGTACACTCTGCCTACTGAGAATCCACAGCAAGGATGGGTAAATATATAGAATATATATTCTATGGCTTGCCTATAATATCTATAAGAAAAAAAGATGAAAACCACAATAGAAAAAAATACTCCACGGCAATAGCAGGACATTCACAAAAGTATACACATAAAAATAAAGAAACATGGGATGTTCAGTCTTATCTGTAATCAAAGAAATGCCAATATAAAATACTGTGAGACACTTTTTAACCCATAAGATTGGAAAATAATAGAATGATAAACATCAGCTCATTGGCTAGAGATTAATTTGTGCAATCTTTCTGGATATCAATCTGACAATAGGTATTAACATTTTAAAATGCATATAGCCAATTACTCAGCAATTCCTCTTCTAGGAATTGACAACAAAAGTGATTGTGCAAAGACTTATGTACAAAGGTATTTACTTGGGGAAAAAAATGACCAAATTGAGGAAAGTTCTTTGTTCTCTTGCTTTTACCTGAACATCACCATTATATACATGGCAGAGCTAAATCGATCATTTCATCTGTTGCATATAATCACAAATTTTGTAGTTCATAGTAGACTAAACTTACCAATAAAGTAGCAGATTTACCACCAACATAATAAATTCCTTTTCAGAACTAAAATGTGTCTTTACTGTGAAACGTTAAAAACTATCAGGAAACAGGAAGGCGAATATGAGATAGAAAGATAAAGCTGGAAAAAAATGAAAAGAGGAAGGTTATCAGGCAATTCATTTTAACATGTTCTCTGGGTTTCATTGTAGACCTTTAAAAAGGTTGAATTTTATAGCATTTTGTACACAGATTGTAAACTTTTGGACCTAGCACACTTTGTCGGGAGTTTCTTTAGCAGATCTTATGAAACTGCAGGGGAAGAAAACAAATGCAGCATAGTTGATGCAGAGCGTTTTCAGGCACTTTCTAATAAAGAATGAACTGGGATGGTCAGCCCTGGCTCAGAATTGTGAAGATCCTCCCAGCTGGGCAGGCACTTGGTGGGGAGGCTGGCATTGGTGCTAACAGACTATTGAGGATGGAACACGTTCAAGAGCTCACCCCTCCCCGATTTAGGCATAAAGAGATGATCAGATGGCACTGCCCCTACCCCATTTGTACAGTATCCTCAAAGGATTTTGCTGTTCATACCTTTTCTCCTCTTTAATGCTGTTCTTGATACACTTTTCATTTTATTTAACCTGCCTAAAAATGCTGGGTATGGCAAATGGGCAAAAGACTTGCTGTAAGGTTTTTTTCCTTCCAGATCTTCCCACAAATTGATCCTTCTACCCATTCTACCCAATTCCCCACCCCTACCTCAGCCAACTGTCCCGGAGGGTGATTCTGCCCGACTGTTACATATAAAGAAAGTGGGAACTTAAAATCAAAATGTGAATATGCAAACTGCTCTTTGGGCTACCTGACAAAGGGTGACACAGAATTCAAAAAATATTCAGCTAATATTTATATGAATAGAAATCATATTAATTCATCTTGGACCAAATATTAACCGGGGCAAAACTTTTATCAGGCAGATGAGTCCAGACCACATTAGGCAGAGAGAAAAAGTGTCAGAGAAAATGACTAATGGAAACAAGATAAGAAACACTTGATAAGTTTGACCCTCATTGTTCAGTTTCATTTGTATTTCTAAATTTGATTTTGTGTACTTGCAGTTTTAGAAAAAAAAGTAATATTTGAAAGTATTTTTCCCAGCCTTTAAATTTCAAGTTCATCAATCTAATAAACACTCATATAACTAGAAGTTCTAAACTTGTAGGGAAGTTTCCTTGACACTTATTTCTTTACCCTGGAGAATCTCCCCTTGGTGCAGAATTGTTGTGAACCAAAACTTTGTGAAGAATTTTGGGATAGTTGTAATTAACAGAACTGAGTTTGATCACTCATACCACCACTACTTCACAGTTGTATGACTCTGCATCAGTTACTTAATCACTCTAAGCCTTAATGTTTTCATCTGTAAAAATGGGTCTAATAATATCTGCATTACAGATTTGCTGTGTGCCTTAAATATCCCCACAGCAATCATGACTATGAAATAAGCACACCAAATATTTGAATTCACTGCAATGTTCTCAAATAAGAAGATCTTCAAAAATTAGACTACTCTATTCATCCATACAATGCTTTCCATTTACTTTCTCAGTATGAAAATAATTGCAATTCCTATTGCAACTGTGATTGTGAAGAACTTATAAATCTTTTTTTGGCAAAGTTTTTTCCAAGCAAAAATGAACTGGGAACAGCAGGTAGAAATGTCTATAAAAATCCGAGTTGACAGAAACCTTGGAAGTCCTCTCTTACCTTCCGTGGTTCATTATCCGAGCCAGAGGCGAATGCATTCTATAGTGAGCTTTGGAGTAGAGTCTGATGGGAATTTGGTCTGATGCCAACAGTCACTGTTTTTCAAATGGCATGAATGACTGATACTTTAATTTTTATCTCAGAACCTGTATTTTCTCTGCTTCCCAAAGATTCTCCTATTTCTTTTCTTTTTAAGACCAAGGGATTTGTTGGTGGGCAGCAACGGGTGAGAAGAGGTAGGGAAAGCAGGTTCTAGTGCTTTCTATGCTGACTTTTAACTAATCTTTTCATTTTTGACCTCAAATATCAAATTCACGTATGTGGATTTTGGGGGCCAGGTATTTCATGGATCCTTCAAAGGTGCTTGGGATGGCATTGTTCCCCTCAGTGTGTCTGCCCCTAAACTTAGCTCATAACTTTGACTATGCAGTCCATTCAACTGCCACTCCTCCACTTGCTTCCTGTCAGATAAAGGGTTTTTTGTTTTTTTTTTGACGGAGTCTAGCTCTGTCGCCCAGGCCAGAGTGCAGTGGTATGATCTTGGCTCACTGAAATCTCCGCCTCCCGGGTTCAAGTGATTCTCCAGCCTCAGCCTCCTGGGTAGCTGGGATTACAGGTGCTCGCTACCATGCCCGGCTAGTTTTTGTATTTTTTATAGAGACGGGATTTCACCATGTTGGCCAGGCTGTTCTCGAACTCCTGACCTCAGGTGATCTGCCCGCCTTGGCCTCCCAAAGTGCTGGGATTACAGGCATGAGCCACCGCACCCAGCCTTTTTTCTTTTTTTTTTTTAATGTTTCTTACATGCTTTTATACCCTTTCTCTTTGTCCTTGTTGACTATACCTTTTGTATAATTTTACTGACCTTTCATGGGTCTTGGGGAGGGAAATGAGATTAAGATGTATTGTCAATATGTCATGCTTAACCAGAAGCCTTGAAAAGAGCAAGTTTGGAAATTTAAATAATAGGATTTAAACTTGATATAAATAATACAAAAGAGAAAAAAAATCTTAAACTTGATATGAATAATACAAAAGGAAAAAAAATCTTTAAAACTTCAAGTAAAATATATAAGATTTGTGACTTGTTTCCAGAGATCAATACATATATTTAATTTGTGTACTTCCATTATATAGCTCTTAAGATAACAGCAGAACATTTTTAAATATTTATTTTTAAAAAGCATATTTTCCAGGAAAATTGCTATGTAATTTTATTCCTTGAGTTAATAAACAGGGCTTTGTAAATATGATCCAAAGAATGAGAACTAAAACTAAATACTCAATCAGCTTAAGCTCAAACTTTACTTTTTGACATTCATGGGGTGTTAAAAGATGCCTTTGACTTTGATGTTTTGAAAAGAATGTAATACTTTCCATTTGCTAAGACTGGAAAAATGAGTCATGAACAGCCACTTCACTTTGGTAGCTAATCTGTATCAGAATATCATCTTGCTTAAGCTGTGTAACTAAAGAGATTTTGGTGTAGTTCAGAGCATACGTATTTGTAATCTGCTGTTATAAAACAGAAACAAATAGAAATTTTAAAATTGATGTGAGATTACCACTACATCCAAAGAAATAATATAAAAGGCAAAGATTTTATTCTGAACATTTACAGAAACACAGCAGCACTTTAGCACGAAGTCTAAGTCAGTGTGACATACAGTTTCATATGAATTTGTTTGCAGAAAAGAAAGCCTGTCTTTTCAAATTGGGCCTAATAAAATGTCTGCAACCAGAAAGGGAATAGCCAAATGGTCAAATCCATCTAAAGTCATTAAACAAAAGATGCCGCCATCTCAAAACCATGTGTCTGATATTTGTTACATGAGTCATAGAGTCTGTGCTAAAATTTAGGAAACATTCAAGTTTTCAGAATCAAATTTACACATCATCTTTCGGTTGGTGTCCACAGGGGACAAATTTTACCATTTATATAAGTTCTTCCAAATCGCAGACCTAGTGGCAATTCTGGATCTTGTCTCTAAATTTTGATGATATATTGTAATTGAGGCCTGCAGCTTCCCATGAGTTATTTAACTGTTAACACCAACAAAATGTATGTACTGCTAGAAAACAGATCATTTCTAGCCTTTCATGGACTGGATCCTAGAGTTTTAGAAGCAGCTGGTATTTTCTCTCTCAATGGCTCACTTTATGAAAAGCCAAAGTATATGTAGTAAAATTGTATCTTGGAGGCCAGAAAAATATTTTTAGCATAATTTTGTTCATTGTTTTCTGGATCTTCTTGCTACGTTGGTTCAGATGAAAACAGTTTTTTCTTTCCTTACATAGCAATATGTTGTTTATATTCTTGTATAAGTTTGTGTTAAGGATTGAAGCTTCATTTAATTACTGCAGTCATCTCTTAAAATTCTCCTTTCACTGTAGAATTCTTTCCCTAGGAACAGGGCAGCAAATGTGAGCTGTGTCATCAGAAACCAAGATTTCTTGATTTTCTTTCTTGTAGGTAGCTTCCTTTCTTTGTATCACAGGCCAATCTGAAAGTATTCTTCCAGAAATTCTGTATGTTTGATACGAAGGCATGCAAAGCCAACTTTTTTTTTTATACTTTAAGTTCTAGGGTACATGTGCACAACGTGCAGGTTTGTTACATAGGTATACATGGGCCATGTTGGTGTGCTGCACCCATTAACTCATCATTTACATTAGGTATTTCTCCTAATGCTATCCCTCCCCCATTCCCCCACCCCACGACAGGCCCCAGTGTGTGATGTTCCCCGCTCTGTGTCCAAGTGTTCTCATTGTTCAATTCCCATCTGTGAGTGAGAACATGCAGTGTTTGGTTTTCTGTCTTTGTGATAGTTTGCTCAGAATGATGCAAAACCAACTTTCAGAATAAAATGGTGAGCAAAAACCTGCTTAGGAGAAAGAATTTAGGTCTGAAATTTGCTTGATACTTACAGTTAGGCCAAAGAAAGTTGGATAATCCTGAGAAAATGTCAGCAAATGATTGTAACTTGTTTCTTTTCTTTCACTCTAGTATTCTATATTTTGGAGTCAATCTCATGCAGTAATTAATCGCAAAGACTCTGAAGGCTGACTACTGGGTTCAAATATTGGATCTTCTGCTTGCTAGGTTTGAGACCTTGGCAAATTAAAATCTTGAGTGAGTACCAGGTACACGATAAACTCAAATGTCCGTGTTTGCTATTATTAGTCCTCTGTGGAGTCCTAGAAATTTTCTGACACCTTCTTATTCTCCAAAATTTCCTTTTTCTAGACTTCATGAGGAAAACACACCTCTTCAGATTAATCTGTTTTTGAGATATAAGAAAATTCCAAATATACAAATTCCTTTAATAGGTATATTTTGGTTGCCTCTTCTTGATAACTGCTAGGAAGACACTTTAATCTCACCAAAAAAAAAAAAATTCTCTCTAAATTACACTTTTGTTTGCATTTTCTTAGTACCTATAAATAGTAAGTCCATCCTGTGACCTGGGATTATCAGAATGGGTGGCCTTCCTTTGATCTGAGAATTTTGCCTTTCTTGCTAGACTTGGGGACAAAGGTAACTTGTGTACCTGTAACTCTCAGCCCATGAGCTCTGTGCCTTTTTGGACTTAGTTTTCATTCAATTATCATGTAAGACAGAGAAATGTCTTCAGGGGGAAAATTCTGTCATGAAATAATAGAGTAGGAAGTGACTTCAGAGGTCACCAGGACATCTCTTTTCTTTTCCAAGAACTGAGGTTCAGAGAGGAGACATGACTCTTTTGGGGAACACAGGACAGGGCACAGGCAAAGGTGGGACTTACTGCACAGTCCTTCCTCCTACAGCACAAGTTGTAATGGTACAGAGGTGACATTAATTGATTCTGAAAAAACCTTGAAAAACAAATTAACTTAATGCTTATTTTCTTCATTCTTGACAGAAGAAAAAACATAAAATCTTGTGAATGAGATTCAAATGTCTGAGAAATTTTCTATCTATAAATGCTTTCATGACAAGGCCCAGTCAGTTATGCAATTACACTCAAGGGTGCATGCACTATTTGTGATGTTGTTTTGTAGGCATTCAATGAGGTAATACAAGACAAGTGCTTGGTTCAATGCTTGGCCCACAGGAAATACTTAATGAATTTTAGCTATTTCTATTACTATTATTTGCCTACATATAGGAATCCTCTTTTAGCCAAAAGGCTAGGTAGTGAAAGATTTGCTCATAATCTTGGATATAATTACCATATCATTCTTCACAGTATCTGAAGAGGCAGACTTCAGATAATAGCATTATCATTATTGAAATCTGGGAAAACACAGACACTAAAATATTTGCAGGCATGTTTCAATTACTCAAGTAGGTTAGAAGCAGAAAAACATATTCTTTATTTCCTGTATTTTCAACCCCAGGTTTAAATACGTCACTTTTACATGTTTTTAGTTTTTCAAATAACTAACTATAAAAAGGAAAACTGTTTTATTAAATAAAATATACAAAAGTAAACCAGACCACTCTAGAATCTGAGCAAAGGAAGTTTTGTGGGCTTCTCCTGGATACTTCTCCCCTTCCCCATCAACAGACAAGCTAGAAAAGGAGAAATAGGTTTGTTTGAACACTTCTCTTTTACAAAAATAAATAAAGAGGAACAAATATGTGGGCCACGTTTTAAAAATTGTATGTGTTTTTCCATTACTTATCGAGCAACTGCTTGCTAAGCAAGGCACTAAGTGACTTAAATGCACAAACTCATTGAATCCTTTCAACTCTGAGTAGAATGATTTTTATCATCACCATTTTACAGATAAGGAAACTAAGGCAGCTGCCTAAAGTCCCAGAGCTTGCAAATAATGGAGTGGAGATTCCTCTAAGAGGTCATGATTCCAGGATGAAACTCTTTAATCACTATCTTGTATAGTCACATTACTACACAGGTGGGCAAATAAAGAAAACAAGGACAGAAATGGACTATGATTTAACGTTGGATTTTTAACAGCAGTTAGGAATTTGCTAATTCAATACCACAGGATTAAAAGTTTTCCAACTAGGAAGCCCCAGAGAAAATGAAGACATATTTATTAAATTATAATAGGCCTTTAAATGACTGTGTGGACATGATCATACAACTTGACACGTTTTTTCACGGGTATTTCTCATGCAGTCCAGTCTGGATCCACAACATGCTCCTGAAGGGTGTGTGGCATGAAGAAGTCACTGCCCTGGAGAGCAGGGAACTGAGAGGTAACAATCCATGAGGGGTTTTCACTTTGCCCTTGCCCTTTTCCTCCTCCCTATTCCAGTAGACACTTGGCTCCGTGCTCATTTCCTCAGAAGAGGATGAAGCAGGGTGAAAAATGAAAGTTGCCTGACAGCTACTTCTCTTTCTGCTGTTAGTGCCCAAACCCAACCACAGAAAAGGAAAGAATTCTTGAGCATAGATTCTTGAAGGGAAACGATTTTCCCTTCAGGTGAACTGCTAATAATATTAACAATTGCTCTCACTCATGGATCCCTAACTATGCATTAGGCACACTTTGAAGCACATATCTGTGTACTCATTTAATTCTGTAAAAGCTTATGAGAGAGTTATTACTAATATTGTTAGAATGCTCCATGAAGATTTGTTTTTGTCTGATTTTATTTAGTGCTATATCTCTATTTATTTACTTATTTATTTTTGAGATGGAGTCTCGCTCTGTCGCCAGGCTGGAGTGTAGTGGCACGCTCTCGGCTCACTGCAATCTCTGCCTCCCGGGTTCAAGCGATTCTCCTGCCTCACACTCCCGCGTAGCTGGGATTACAGGCGTGGGCCACCACACCTGGCTGATTTTTGTATTTTTAGTAGAGATGGAGTTTCACCATGTTGACCAGGATGGTCTCCATCTCCTGACCTTGTGATCCACCTGCCTCGGCCTCCCAAAGTGCTGGGATTACAGGAGTGAGCCACCGCGCCCAGCCTTATTTACTGCTATATCTCTAGCGTTCAGAACAATACCTGGCAAAGATTAGGAACAAATAAATATTTATTGTAGAATCAATCTCCATCTAAAGGTGAAGGAGCTCAGGCACAGAGAGATTAAGTTACCTGCCCAAAGGCCCACAGCTGGTAGAAGACTAGGAGAGTTAGAGCACCCCCACCTGGGCTGGGAGAAGAGACAAGAGGATGGGAAAGCTGTGCTTCCCGAGTAGAGGAGATCTGGGACCCTCTCCTGGGACCCTCTTGTGCCTCCAGGGAGGTAGAAAGACCACAGAGAAGAAGTGGCTCTGTTGGGTACTGGGCAGGTGGAATCTCAGGCAGCGTTGTGATGAAACCACCACACTGGGGCAAGAAGGTAGCAAAATGAGAATGCTACAGGAGCTGCAGAGAGCTCCTGGCGTGGAGGCCATGCACACAAGGACAATGGATGCCTCTAGAGCAGCCTCTGTTGATCGGTGACCAAGGATCAAGTGGCTGCTCCTTCCCCAATCCTTGATGTGTTACTCTGCTTTCCTCCAGCCAAAACAACTGGTCGTAAAAGATAAAATTGTAATACAAAATGAGAAAAGTGTTATTTTTTGTATACTTGATTTTTTTTTAACTGAAGCAGTCTCGTATTATATATAGGCAGCATTATGTAAGGAAAAATATTAAATGTGTCATCAGAAGGCCTAGATTTTAATCCTAGCTTGTCCCAACAAAAATTCGCAGGCAATTTACCTAATTTCCCTATGTCTCAGTTTCCTCATTTATAAAAATAGGGATTAAAAATCATTGAGGTGAGGATAAAAAGATTTTTTTGAAAATATAAGTTAAAGCTGTCAAAGATAATAAATGCATTGTGTTAATTTTGTATAGCTCCCACTCCCATCCCATTTGCACTTGATTTTGACACACATGTATCCTTTTTTGGTGGGTAAAGGGCTACACTTGCGTCTTCTCTTTTTACATACTAGTATTTACATTTATTTTCATTTCTGACGTTTATACTAAGTGGATGTAAACATATTTTTCAAAATTAAAAGCACTTTAGAAATAAGAAATATTAAATGATTGATATGTTGCTATTGTTGCCTGTGGGAGTAATTTTCTGGAAGTTGAAAGCCAGCTGGTCATTGAAATGTTTCATGGATAATCCTCAGGCTCAGTAAGGCCCAGGCAGGCATTTTATTGGATCTTTTCACTGAGCTGTCCTAATATTATAGATAAAAATAATTCCTGCACTAAGAAGTGAAACAATAAATTTCTAAAATGTCAGGCATTTGTTACTAAATTGTAAAAGGATCACAAACAAGATGAATTGGAAACTTCTACACCAGGTTTACTTTAAACACTTTGGCTTTTCTGAGAAATGAGAGTAAATGAAATAAACCAGCAACAATGCAAATTTACAGTCCTTGCAAAAACGTGAACTATAAATTAGGGTTATTCTATCATCAGATGTATATTAGTGGTCATGACATGCCTGGCACTCCTCTTAGAACTGAGGAGACAATAGTGAAAAAGACAGTGAAGTGCCTGCCTTTACAGAGCTTACATTCCACTGGGAGAAACCAAAAACAAACAAGTTAAATACACCACATTGTTAGACACTGCCTCGAAGGAACATACAGCAGGTACAGGAGAGACTGTTTCTAAAATAGAGAAGCAAGTCATGTGCACATCTGCAAAGATGATTTC
Source organism: Homo sapiens (assembly GCF_000001405.40). Lineage (NCBI taxonomy): Eukaryota > Metazoa > Chordata > Mammalia > Primates > Hominidae > Homo > Homo sapiens. The sequence continues at coordinate 94,343,141 of NC_000004.12, read as the reverse complement.
ATTACATTCAGGTTTTCTTATTCTCCAGGAGCCTATGGTGTAAAACTGAAAATAAGTGAACATGTAACAGTGGGCATACATATGCAGCTATAACTTTGACTTTACCTTGTATACAAATGTGTTGGTTTATTTATACCCAGATATCCTGTATAACCAGCAGTCTTCGCAGGCTTGAACTGCCTGGCATGCATGTTTTATCTAAGAAAAGAAGGAAGAGCGTTAGGTAGAAGGAAGTTGCCTGTCCTCTCACTGGCTCGTGATTATCACTTACTCGTCATATAAACCCAAGGCACAGTCACATACCCAGGGATACAAGACACTGCAGACTCCCGAGAGACATAACACAGGTAAGTCATATTACTGAACTCCACATAGGTAATAAATGAGATATGCTTTACTCTTTACTTCAGAGTTTTTATTATTCTCATATCCTGTTTGTGACTAACTGTCTTGTGAGCTATTTTCATGATGGTGCTCACTCTGACCTTGTCTTACCCAGAACCTCTCCATATATGCGAATATGTGAAACTCAAATAGTCATTTTTAAGGAAATATAGGTACAGGAGATTTAAGAAGATCTCTTCAAGTGGATTTTAACATAGAAAATATAATCAATGCTAGAGGAAAAATCCTGTCTTAATCAGGGTTTGTTACTACTTCCAGAATTTTCCCAAGTGATTCTTCAATAACTTGGATTGATGGAGTAGAGAATATTATCTCATGGCTGTTCAATTTCTTTCCTTTGCTTTAAAGTTTAAGACTTTTACTGGTAATATTTTATATTATTTTAAGGCACATTTTGTTGAAGCATCTCCATGTTTTGATAAGAATTGCAACCTATCATCTTTTGGCTTCAGAGATGGTTTAAGGGATTTACCCCAGGCCAGGAATTTCAACTCACAGCTCCCAAAGGATATTTCAGTTATTCCTCTTGCTTTGGCTTTAATGTGAAACAGTCACTTAAAATGACATTTAGTTGATATTTGATAAAAAAAAAAAAAATAGAGCTTTCAGCTTGCTAATTCAAAGTTAAACATCCAGTGCTTGATTGAAATCAATATCTTACTCAGTCAACAACAATTCTTCTATTTCTCTATTGTCCTATAATTTAACTCCAACCTGGCAACTTTTCCAGAATTGAACTTGAAATGCCCAGGGACACTGTGAAATGAGGGAAATTAACATTCTTTACCATCAAATGTTAGGGGTAATAAAAAGCTGTTTTAATGTCAGTATATGCAAGAAGTTCCCCTGTGAACAATAGTATCTCACATGATTGCTGTCTGAATCCAATTTTTACATTTCAGAACACCAGGGTCTATATAATAGGAGTGTAAACATGCTCTAGGCCATTACATTTTGTATAAGTTTATTACTGGGCAAGTTAAGATCTGCATCTTAAACTCAAAGAAGAGCTATAGCAAATTCACAAGTAATCTTTGTTTTTATATCTCTAACTCAGATTATTGCGCAATTACTAAGCATGTAAAAAACTGTGTCTGGAATGCCCAAATATGTTTGAATTCTTGATGTGTCGTATTTAAGAGTAAGAGCTTACGTTGGCTAACATTTTGTATTGAACTGTAGAATGGTCAATACTTAATTCCTCATTTGTAAGTTTTCTATCTAACAAAATTATTCCAAAAGTTCTCTTTTTTGAACTAAAAATATTTCGGCTGAAGTCTTTATTAAGATGTTTAGTATAGGCATTGGATATTGATTAGCCTGTGTTGTCAGAGAGTTGAAATTGGATTGTTGTCATCTTTCTGGCACAGAGACTAGAATTTTTGAGACTATTTTTTACTGTGCTTTTACAGCAGTATACGGAATAATATATTGTTAAATTGTTTTATTATAAAAGTTTGTAATTTTTTCAATGATTATGTTAAAATTGCCTCTGGGATTGAATTAATCAGATGAAATAAATCAGCATTGTATTAGTTAGTTTTCACGCTGCTGATTAAGACATACCTGAGACTGGGTAATTTATAAAGAAAAAAAAGTTTGGCCGGGCGAGGTGGCTCAGCCTGTAATCCCAACATTTTGGGAGGCCGAGGCTGGCGGATCACCTGAGGTTAGGAGGTCCTGGCCAACATGGCGAAACCACGTCTCTACTAAAAATACAAAAATTAGCTGGGCGCGGTGGTGGGCGTCTGTAATCCCAGCTACTGGGGAGGCTGAGGCAGGGAGAATCGCTTGAACCCGGGAGGCGGATGCTGCAGTGAGCCGAGATTGCGCCACTGCACTCCAGCCTGGGCGACAGAGCAAGACTCCGTCTCAAAAAAAAAAAAAGAAAGAAAAAAAAAAAGAAAAAAATTTGCCGGGCGTGGTGGTTGGTGCCTGTAATCCCAGCTACTCTGGTGGCTGCGGCAGGAGAATCGCTTGAACCCGGGAGGCAGAGGCTGCGGTGAGACGAGATCACGCCATTGCACTCCAGGCTGGGCGACAAGAGTAAAACTCCGTCTCAAAAAAAAAAAAAAAAAAAAAAAAAGGGAGGGGGGCGGGCCGGGCCCGGTGGCTCACCCCTGTAAACCCAGCACTTTGGGAGGCTGAGGCAGGCGGATCACGAGGTCAGGAGATCGAGACCACCCCGGCTAACACGGGGAAACCCCATCTCTATTAAATATACAAAAAAATTAGCTGGGCGTGGTGGCGCGTGCCTGTAGTCCCAGCTACTCGGGAAGCTGAGGCAGGAGAATGGCGTGAACCCGGGAGGTGGAGCTTGCAGTGAGTGGAGATCACGCCACTGCACTCCAGCCTGGGCGACAGAGAGAGACTCCGTCTCAAAAAAAAAAAAAAAAAAAAAAAAAAAAAAAAAAAAAAAAAAAAAGAGAAAGAAAGAAAGAAAGAAAGAAAGAAAGAAAGAAAGAAAGAAAGAAAGGTTTAGACCAGGCACAGTGGCTCACACCTGTAATCCCAGCACTTTGGGAGGCCCAGGCAGGCGGATCACAAGGTCAGATGATCGAGACCATCCTGGCCAACATGGTGAAACCCCATCTCCACTAAAAAATAAAATACAAAAATTAGCTGTATGTGGTGGCGCACACCTATAATCCTAGCTACTTGGGAGACTGAGGCAGGATAATCGCTTGAACCCAGGAGGCGGAGATTTCAGTGAGCCCAGATTGCGCCACTGCACTGCAGTTCCACATGGCTGGGGAGACCTCACCATCATAGCGGAAGAGGAAGGGATGTCTTACATGGCAGCAGGCAAGACAGAACCAGAGCCAAGTTAAAGGGGAAATCCCTTATAAAATGATCAGATCTCGTGAGACTTATTTACTACCATGAAGTCAGTATGGGGGAAACCGCCCCCATGATTCAATTATCTCCCACCGGGTCCCTCCCATGACAAGTGGGAATTATGGGAGCTACAATTCAAGATGAGATTCTGGTGGGGATATAGCCAAACCATAACAAGCATTCTATAAAGTAAAAAAAAGCTACAAGAAAGAAAGAGAAAGAAAGGAAGTACCCAAGATAGTACTTTAAAAACACTGTTATTTCCCATATAAAAGAGCTTATTTCCTAATGCATATATTAATATTAAAAGTTAAATCTTCTGCAGTGGATAGCTATGTTCATATGAGTTTATATGTCTAAGTTTTTATCCAGGGTATTTATTAGTCGTTTATGTGTTCTTTGATAAACCGTATAGGTTATTTTTCAAACAGAATTCTAAATGAGCTTTTTATCTATCTGCTGAATTAGTAACTTTACACGATATACTTTGGGGTGTAAGGAAGCCAGTGGTTAATTTTAGATGCAAAGATCTTTAGATGTAAATATCTTCAAACACAATCAGCTTTTAAACTTCAGGCTTCTGTATCATTTCAGGAAACATGCAGTTTTCTCTACATGAGATTCTTAACACAACGACAGTGGAAGGGTTCAGAAATGAAGCTAACAGGAAATAAGGGACCAGAATGATACTGCAGTTTTGCTATGCTAGTCAAATCATACCAAGATAACCTAGATGTTATTTCTGTGTTTGATAGAAAGTTGGGGTCTAATTATGCTTATTTTCCCTCTATTGTCTCAGAACCATTTTAGTCTAGTTTCAGTCTCAGAACCATTTAGTCCTCACTCTATGTCATGTCTGTCCTATATATGAGGTTCTGTTTTAAGACAATGCACCTCTGAGCAAATACCGCATTACAAGGCTTTTTATCTAAGTCTTGCTATCTGGTACATCAGGTCCTCCTCTCCTGTTCTCTTTTTTTCTTTGTCTTGGCTATTTTGGTCCTTAGCATTTCCATTTGAAATCTAGGATCCAGTTTATCTGTAGAATCTCTCGAAGTTTAAATATAGACAATCATTTTGGACACAGCAAATGGATGCTGTGTCGCTCCCTTCCTACTACTTAACAAATGTTATTTATTGTTGTCTTACATTATTGAATTAGCTAGGCTGTCCAGCATTATGCTGAATAGTAGATGTTATAGTGGGATTCTTGTTACTTCTGACATTAAAGAAAATGCTTTTATTGATTCACCATTATGTATTATATTTGCTATAAGTTTTTAGTAGAGACTCTTTATATGGTTAAGGAAGTATTCTTCTATTGCTAGTTTGATAAGAGGTATTTTATTTTGTTTTTTCATTTTGCTAAGAATTTTGATCACAAATGAGTGATAATGTTATAAATGCTTTTTAAAAGCATTTAGTATCTATTGAGATGATAGTATGTTTCATGATAATTCTGTTTCTTATTTTTGAGAGAGAGTGTCTCACTGTCGCCCAGGCTGGAGTGAAGTGTCGCGGTCTTGGCTCACTGCAACCTCTGCCTCCCAGGTTCAAGCAATTCTCGTGCCTTAGCCACCTGAGTAGCTGGAATTACAGGCTCACACCACCACATCCAGCTAATTTGTATATTTTTTTGTAGAGACGGGGTTTCACCATGTTGGCCAGGCTGGTCTCAAACTCCTGACCTCAAGTGATCTGCCCGCCTCGGCCTCCCAAAGTGCCGGGATTACAGACGTGAGCCACTGCACCCGGCCTGATTTTTCTCTTTTAATGTAGTTTATTATACAGATGGATGTTCTGATATAACATCTGGTATTCCTGAGACAAACAGAAAATATAATTATGCAAATAACTACAGAAATGTCATGTAAAAAGTACAGCTTCATTAATGAGTTACAACTGTTGAAAGAATATTTTAAAAGGAAAGATAAGCATTTGTTAGCTGCTATTGGGCCTCTGCCAAATCTTAGACTTCAAGATATTTTTGCAGAGAAATATAGATAGCTACCAACCTATGCTGAGAATTTTTAAATGTCTTCTTTACTTGAGTGAAATACAATATAAAATAGCATGATTTTGAAAATTAACAATAATAAAAAACAATCACTTTGTTTTCATGCAGAATTCAACAGGTGGACACTGGTATCTATGTGGTAATTGACTGAATGAGAAAAGGTTGTATGTTTAACTTTTAATGCTGTTAACTTTTTTTTCTTTTTTCGAGATGGAGTCTTGCCCTGTCCCCCAGGCTGGAGTGCAATGGCAGGATCTTGGCTCACTGCAACCTCTGCCTCCTGGGTTTCAGTGATTTTTCTGCCTCAGCCTCCTGAGTAGCTGGGATTACAGGCGCCCGCCACCACCCCCAGCTAATTTTTGTATTTTTGGTAGAGACGGGGTTTCACCATGTTGGCCAAGCTGGTCTCAAACTCCTGACCTTGTGATCTGCCTGCATTGGCCTCCCAAAGTGCTAGGATTACAGGCGTGAGCCATGGTGCCCCACGTAATGCTAATAACTTTTAATATTAAAGGGAGAAAATATAATTTCTTCATGCTGTGGAAACATTGACTATGCCAACAAAACCAATAAAAAGTTTTATATAGAATGCTTTTCAAATAGAAGCTGCAGGCTGGGCACAGTGGCTCACGCCTGTAATCCCAGCACTTTGGGAGGCCAAGGGGGGTGGATTACCTGAGGTTGGGAGACCAATCTGAGACCAGTCTGGCCAACATAAGTGAAACCCCATCTCTACTAGAAATAGAAAAATTAGCCAGGCATGATGGTGCATGCCTGTAATCCCAGCTACTCAGGAGGCTGAGGCAGGAGAATTGCTTGAATCCAGGAGGCGGAGGTTGCAGTGAGCCCAGATTGAGCCACTGCACTCCAGACTGGGGGACAGAGTGAGACTGTGCTGCAACAAAACAAAACGAAACAAAACGAAACAAAACGAAACACCAAATAGAAACCACAACTAATAATCAAACTTTTTCCACTCTGTAGGCTTTTAAAAATTGTTTTGATATTTAAAACAAATACGTCCAGGAATTATAACTATCATGCTTTTCCTGGATAAGAATAATCTCTTAATTATTATGTTTTTTATTTACTATTTTCGTGCTCTTAGACCTTTTCCACTATTTATTTCTAAGCTCAACATTTCTAAGTAACCTGGAAAACAGTTCCATTGTTCTGATGGGCATTTCATTTAGTCTCCCAAATTTGAACTCCTTTATATGTATAGTTCTCCCTGAAAGAAATTTATGGCTGTAAATCATGGAATTCTTATTTATTTAGTCAATTCTTGTCTCTTTCAAGGACATTTCCCCACATATCTATATATGCGGTGAATGCTACATCTCAGTTGGGTGGGGACTGGACTGGCTGATGCAAACTGGGCAGGAATGATTGGCAGTAGCTCTCTCGTTTTAGCAAGGAGCACCAGCTTCACTCCACAACATCTGGACACAGAAGCCAGGGCCAGAAAAAATGGTTTTGCTAGGAATTACCATCACCGTCACTTCCTGAACCTGGGAGCTTCTAGATAGGCAACCAGTTATTTCCAGGTCATCCTCTTCCCACTAGACTCCAGGAATATATAAACTTAAAGTCAAGACTTGGCAAGCTAGATTTTTATGATTCGTGTTTAACCTTTTATGTGGTGTGATTTCTTTCTTTCTTTTTTTTTTTTTTTTGAGACGGCGTCTCACTCTGCTGCCCAGTCTGGAGTGCAGTGGCGTGATCTTGGGTCACTGCAACCTCCACCTCTGGGGTTCAAGCGATTCTCCTGCCTCAGCCTCCTGAATAGCTGGGATTACAGGCGCGCACCACCACACCTGGCTAATTTTTGTATTTTTAGTAGAGATGGGGTTTCACCATGTTGGCCAGGCTGGTCTCGAACTCCTGGCTTCAGGTGATCCGCCTGCCTTGGCCTCCCAAAGTTCTGGGATTACAGGCATGAGCCACCGTGCCTGGTCTGTGATGTGATTTTTGATGAAACTTTGTTTTGAGGCTTGAGCCCAACTTTCCCTTTTATCTAATTAGTATTCCATTAATATTCTTTAAAAACTTTCTTAGTAGTGAATAAACTATTTAAACTCACCACTTTAAATAAATAATCATCATTATATGCTTTTATTCATTTAGTTACCATAATTATTATTTATCTTTAGTGTGCTGTATTCATAGTGTTTATTCTTGACTACAGAATGAGATCAAAGTCATTATTACTGATGCTAATGATTAAGTTTGCCATTGTGCTACGTACCTTATATGTATTACCTCATTAATTTACAAATCCATGTTAATATCACTATTTATAAAAAGTGGTCTTTGAAATTCAGGGAGATTTTAACTGGCCAAAGCCCAAATTCAAAGAATTGAATTTCAAATGAAAACATTTCTTTCTCAGTTGTTTGATCTTACGAAATTAAAATATATTCCACTACGAGTGCTTAAAGTCATTAACCATTTATAAACAATGAAAATGAAAAGATACAAATCACTGAAAACCCATAAAATTATAATGACTGAATTCGTCGGTATTAGCAAACGTTTTGAAATGTAAGAGTACTTGGCTTTCTTCCTCTACAGAGGGAATGAAGGAAGATTGCCCCATCTCTGCAGAGGTCTGGAGATGGGGTGTGTTTTGTGGTGCAGGTAACCCAGTAAAACCCAGTAGCGTGGATGTAGTCAGAGGGAACCAGAGAGCAGTGTTTCCCTAGGCCTTGGATGCCTAGAGGGAAAGCCACAGGTGAGGAAAGAGAGGCAAAGACAGGTTGGCATGGCACTCACATTCCTCTTGCATGTGCCCAGCCCTTGGCTGTCCTTACCCAGATGTCCTCATAAACTCTGAGCTGTGTCACAAGGGCAAACAAAACAGGCAAAATATCAAATATTACACATTACCAGTGACTAAAAGGAGGGTAAAATCATCTTAAAGTGGGAAGTTTTTTTTGCTCCATGCTCTGAAGGTTGGGGTGTAGTTACCCTCTTAATCTGAATATTTTTATAAATAAAGTTTGAATTTGGTTATTTCACTGTAATGTTCTAAGTAGTGCCAAGAGAGAGTCATGATCTGATTTCAACCAAGTTTCCCCGTATGTAATTAGATAGTGATTTATAATTTTGGTTTTGAAATATCCTCTAATGTCTCCAGTAATCTCAAGAGATGCCATAAAGTTTTCCAAAAAATTCTGAAGAAAAATATTGAGGCATCTCTAGAGGGCTCTTAAAATAATCCCTCCCTTTTTCTTTTTCCAGAATTGCACCATGCCAAACTACAAACTCACTTATTTTAATATGAGGGGGAGAGCAGAAATTATTCGTTACATATTTGCTTATTTGGACATACAGTATGAAGACCACAGAATAGAACAAGCTGACTGGCCTGAAATCAAATCAAGTAAGTAGCAAAAATAATAAATGTAGGAAAAATATGCTTTCAGAACCTTTTGTTTTTCCTCAGGGAAATGAAAAAAAAATCAAGGTTTTCGAAGCTCATGTAGCTTTAAATTGAAAAGCAGCAGTTCAGACTAAATAAATGCTGTGTGATCAAGCAAATTTCCTATTAGAGGTGAAAACACAAAACTTACAGAAAGAGAATATAAAGGTAAACCAGTATAAAGCTTTAGCAGACAATATGAGCTGAAATAAACATGCGACATTGTTTGTTTGTTTGTTTTTCTATTTTGTCACTGGGATAGCTGAAGTGCACAGAGTTTAGGTAATTTTTCCAGTTTCACGACCCTAGCAAGTAGAACTGAGTTTCAAACCCAGGTCAGTTTAATACCAGGCTCAAGCTATTTGCACTAGACAATGCCAAAACAACACTACTATGATAACAGGCATATTAACAATGAATTGCCACAGCCTTTGGAAGCATGAGCTCCTTAAAAGTCATTGCCCTTATAACCATTCTTTTTCTTAGCAGAGACCTCTTCTCTGGTGAGATAGTGTATCTTATTTCTTATTCTCATGATACTTTACCATTAATATCCAAATGTTTCTTCCGATATTGGAATTTACACATGGGATTTTAAGACAGTGAATATATAATAGGTGAACATTACTTTTATCCACTAATTAATTAGACCAACATGGATAGAAAGGTGCAGATATTACATGTAATAAATTTTGCCTGTTAGCTTTGAAATATAAGTTCACTGAGTGCCTCATTCCCTATTCTACCTGAACTTTTCATTGTTACTAAAAATGGAATTTCTGTATTTTCTTAATATTTCCATAGATTTTCAGAGTTGAAAGGAATCTTAAAGTTCATGATGGTTAGGATATAGTTTCAAATGTTTTAATAGACAAAGACGCAATGTAAAATTTTCTTAGAAAGGACAGAAATTTCATTTACACAAAACCCCAAGTGGGTATCATGATTTTGCTCCATACAGTTGTCAAAGATTAGGTTTCTTGTTGATCTGCCACCCCTTGGTGTCTTATTGACACAGTGTGAGATAGCTCACATTCCTTCCACATTGTAGCTCAGAGAAAGTGTGAAAGAGGGAGGGGACACACCCCTTCCTTTTACTAGAAAGTTGCATACGTCACTTGGTAAGCCCAACGGTCACATATTACTACAAGGAAAATTGAGAGATGCTGATTTAATTGTGGATAATCATTTGCACAGGTAAAAATCCAGAGTTTTATTACTCTAAGAAGAAAGGAAAGAACAGGTACTACTAAGGAGCAGTTTCTATTACAAATGTTATTTGGTCTCATCTGCTGTCCAGTTTAGCAGTGCTCTCTGGTGCTTGAAACCTGCTACGACACTCCCTCTGCTAGAACCTAGAAAATCTCCAGTCAACACATTCCATCACTGGATACTTTTATTAAAATGTTCTCCTGGACAAACTTGGTAAATTGCACATATGAGTTTACATTTTCTCCCTTTAAAACGTTTTTTCTCTCCTTTAATAACACTGAAGTACTTTAAAAAAGGGCCAAAGTCCATAAGGACAAAGAAATAAAGCTTGAATGTAGATATGATAGCACACAATTCTGGAAGCTAAAAAGCAGGCCAAAGCATGGTAAAGTGACTTAGTAGGCCCAGAGTTCAAACATAAACCTTGAGGAGCAGAAGGCAAGCTAAATCACCAGAGATACAGAAAAAGGCTCATGAATTTGTAGTAGCAGATAACTCGAAAAGTTGAGCTGACATAGGATTGACTAGAAAAATGTTGATGGAGAATTTTTCTTGACCCCTTTGTCGGACTTGTGATGGGGTGCCCCATTTACTTGGCCCACTGCACTCAATCCCTTGTGGGAGGGAGCACGTGAGCAAGCAAGCATGGGATCCAGCTGACCGCTTTGGGCGCTGGCAGGAGCAAGCTCTGTGTGGGCCCTGCAGCAGCACCCAGGTTGGGGTGCCTGCGACCCCTGAAGCCCCAGAGGCATGTTACAATGCTCTCTTAGCCCTGCCATCCATGGACAGCGGTGTGTTATCAGCTCAGTGGGCCTCTTGCCTCATCACATGGGGTGGCTGCCCCCCACCAGCAAGGGCAAAAGGCCAGTGCGACAGCCTTTTTTGGTTCCCTGTACTTGGTGGGTCCCTGCACTTAGTGGGTCCCAAGCTGTTGTCCAGCGTCCGAAGAACTACGTTGTCCAGACACTTGAAAGATGGTGAAGGCAGAACATTTTATTAAGTGGTGGAAATGGCTCTCAGCAGAGAGGGGAGCTGGAGAGAGGACAGGGTGGGCAGGTAGTCTTCCCCTGAAGTCAAGTCATCTCTCCTCCGAAGTCCAGCCATCTCTCTAAAGTCAAGTCAACTCTCTCCAGCTGGGCCGCTTTTCTTTCCTCTACCAACTGAGTCTGAAGTATTTATAGGCACACGATTGTGGGGCAGGGTGGGCTATAGGTAGTTTTGGAAAAGGCAACATTCAATTGGTAAAAAAGCATTATTCAGAAAGAACCAATCAGGAGACAGCAGGCAAACAGGAATAGATTTTCTTATGTTGGGCCGCAGGTTTCAGGCTTTTTGGCTTGAAGGTGGGGTTTCACTGGGGACCTGCTGCTGTCTGCCTAGAATTTCTCTGCCTCCTGCCTCTATCAATGTGAAGAAGCACTGTGACCACCATATCCCTTCTCGTCCCTAGAATAAGCATGGAGGTTACTCTCAGGGGAGGATAGACCAGAGGCTTCTGGGACAACAGACATGTCTTGAGGACACAATGCTATAATAAAGGTGGGATTCAGTGGAAGTATAGAAACTAAATGGTGAGATCCATAGCACCTTTCCCCTGCTCTACAATCAGAAGGCTACAACCAGGCTAATATTCCTTGAGCAGAAATTCCTCTCTGGGGAAGCTGATCAGCTCAAGTTAATGAACGATCGAGAGTTTCTTAATGAAACAGCCCAGCCCAATCTGTTGGCAAGCCCCTCCCATGCACACTGAGCTTACAGGTAGTTTTTATTTCTTTGCCTTTTAAGACATAAATGGCAATCAAAAATCAATAGATATTTGAGAAAAATCTAACAGAAAACATACCTAAACAAAGAAGCAGAAAAAAAGCAACTCTGAGGAAACCAAGATGATTTAGCGAGAAAAAAATACCACTTCAAACATTTTTTAAAATCCTCAGAGAAATAAGAGAAGATATTCTATCCATGAAACAAGAACACTGTAATAGCAAACTAAATATGGCCTGAGAAGGACTCTGTACTACTATATTTGAGTCCCTGTAGATGAACTGTAACCTAACTTAGTAAGTAGACAAGATTAAAACCTAACTTAGGAATATGCACCTATAAGAAGAGCTGAGTCTTGGCCAATCCCAGCAGCCACACTTCAACCACTCATATACTGCTGAGTGTTCAAACTGTGTTCAAATAAGGCAAACTCTGGGCTGTAACCAATCTGGTTGTTTCTGTACCTCACTTCTGATTTTTGTGTGTCACTTTACTTTTTTTGTCTATAAATTTGTTCTGATCATGAGGCCTCCCCTGGAGGCTCTGTGATTCTGCTGTGATTCTGGGGACTTCCCAATTGGCAAATCGTTCATTGCTCAGTTAAACTCCTTTAAATTTAATTCGGCTGAAGTTTTTCTTTTAACAACAGGGTGCTGTCAAAAGAAATATTCAGAGACAAACAGTTCTTGAAAATTAAAACTATGATACAAACACATCAATAAAATGACAAAAATAAGGATATTTTTCCCAAAAGTACAAAAATAGGACAAATAAATGAAAAATAAAAGAAGAAAGAAAGGAAACTTGAGGCTCAGTTTAGGAGGTCCAACTTTCAAATAAAATTCTGGAAAGAGAGAACAGAAAATAGAAGGGAGACTAATTTTGAAAGACTATTCCTTATACAAAGTTGAGATCTGTCTCCTTATAGCTTTCATAGATTGGTCTTGTACTTAATAATTTTAATCCATGGAGAACCAGATTACTCCTTCTTTTACAACCAAATATTTAAAGAAACCTAGTTTCTTTAAAGACGTCATGGAAAAAAAAGCTATTTCTGAGTGGTTAGTTCAATACAAATGTGCTGAGTGAAGATAAAGGTCTTTGGCAGAATTTGTAATTGGGTCCCATTTAATTCATGCATCTGTACCTCTAACTAGTTAACAAATTTTGGAACTTCCTTGTTAGTTTCTCTGATCATCATTGTGAATTTTAGTCCAACTTTCCCATCCCTGACTCTACTTCTTGATTTAGATGCCATTCTTCCCTGGACCATCTGTGATTTACAATTTTACAATCACACCCAGGTCCAAAGGACAATTAAGTTTTCTTCCTTGAGTGCTCATTTATATTCCCTGATTTGCATTTCTTCACCACTCACGTAGGTATCCTCCAAACAAGTTCCTGTTACTGTACATCTGCCATTTAAGGTGTGATACCTATGGAGAACACAGTGTTTAAGGTACAAGAACAGCACAGAGCAAAATGGGACCATCATTCCTGTCACAAGACTAGACATCATTGTAAGACATTTTACCAAGATCACTGTAGTTATTTTGCCAGCCACATCACATTGAGGCCTCATATTCAGTGTAACAAAATTCCTTAATGCCTTTTAAGCTTTAGAATACTTCTGTTGACACCTCCAACAACACTGGGATTATTATTTTTTCTGGAATCAAATGAAGGACTTAGCATTTGCCTTCTTAAATGTCTTCTTGTTAGATGCAGCCCAGTGTTCCAGTTGTGGGCAGTTATCCCAAGGTTGGCTCAAACACTTCCAGTAGCTAAAAGCTCACTATCTCACAAGAAAACACATTCTGTTGTCAATGGCTCTAATGCGAACAAAATTATTCTTCATCTGCCCTTTATTCTACTACCCTTTGATTCTAGTTTCACATTTCAGAGGTACTCAGAATAAGTCAAATTTTTCTTCTATTTGATAGTTCTGTCCTATTTGAGGTGGTTATGTTCCACTTAGCTAGTTTTATCTCCTCCAGGTGAAGAGTGCCAAGGTTCTTCAACCAATCCTCAAAAAAATAAGATTTTCAAATCTCTCACTAATTTGGAGACTATTCTCTGAGCTTGCTCTGATTTTTAATATCTTTCTCAAAACATGGCTCATAGAACTAAGAAAACAGCTGAGCAAGGGTTCCAAGTGACCTCAGTGTGAAGCCTACCTTTACCAGGTGTGTGACCAGGGCAATTTATATAACCTCTTAACTTCATCCCTTCATTTATAAAATGAGATAGTTATCACCTACTTCATAAGGTTGTTGTAGGTAAAAGAAGACCTAATGGGCATGCTAAATATTTAGTACAATGCCTAGCACAAAAAAAAACCTCTCCCTGACAAAAAAATTACGCATTTTGATTCCTTCTTGTTCACATATTTTGCTTCAAATAAGGCATCCCAACTCATGTCAATTTCATTTGAGACTTTGTTTTGCTCACTGAAGTATCTCAGGCACCAAAAATAGTAGTTGGGACACTCATTACTTAAAGGTAAGTACTTAAAGGTATTTTTATTCCAGATGTGAAGTATAGTTCTCATATACTTATTTAGGTGTGCATATGAAAGATACTTGAAGGAGACACACAAAGTTGATTCTAGTAGTTGTATGAGGGTCATCAGAGTGTGACTGGCACTTTATTATTTTCTCTCTTTTAAAATAATTTTATGTCCAAAACTAAGGCACTGGTTGGGAAAGTTGTGGTCAATACACATGGCAAAGTATTACGTAGTCATTAAAAAGATGATGTTTCATTGATTTAGAAAGATGTTTAAAAGATACTGTGAAATGAAAAGTGATTTACAAAACTTGAAATGAAAAGTGATTTACATGCATTATAATTTGTTTTAAAATATATATGAGAAATCAATTAAAATATTAAAATGGTTAAAACTATGTGGCTGAATTATTTTCATTTATCAGTTTATAATTTTTCTATAATAAATGTATATTACTTTGTGACAAAAATATAATAGGTTTAGATAAGAAAACAGTAGGATTTACAGATAAAATATTAATATGGTATCTGCTATCAGTCTGTCCGATATTTGTGCAAAAATGCTTGCTGCCTTGCTATACATTTCAAATAGTCCCTCATCAAAATGAAGTGGGGCTTCAAAATTAATGACTAGAGGTAACTGACACTCATCTCCTCAAAGAAGGATCAAAATAGCAAGTAGATAACCACACATCTAATAGAGCATCTAAGAGAGAAGACTGGAATTCAGCTGGGAAGTGATGGGAAACCTCTGAGGCACAGAAAGAAAAGGAAGCGAAGCAGCTGATGTGGCTGGAATCAGCTTGGAGCCGGGAGGGACTCCCCATTGTGGGGAAAAGGTAAGAGAGATATCCCCAGTGGTCCACATTTACTCCGCAGACTCCTGCAATTCTAGCCATGGGAGAGCCCCCTTGGGCCTTATGGGCCCTGAGACTAGGATAGGGAGTGCCTGGAGTCCATGTGAGAACATTGTTCCAGAGTGGAAGTTTGTGCTGTGTCCTACACACCCCCTGAGACCCAAGTAGCTGCATCATGGTGCCACTTGGAGAGCCCAGTCCCCACCAGACTATATCTTGCCTTGGAACCCAAAAGCCCGTGCATCTCCACATCCCTGGAGCCCTTCTGACATCCCCCCACAACAACCCAGAGGGCTGCAGCATTGCAATGCTGGCTTCACTTAAGTGTTGTGGCTGGGTGCCTAGCCCTTTAGCCCATGTAGTGTCCCAAACCTTGGGGAAGAGACAGTGTAGCATACCAGACAGGCTGCTGCTGTAACACAGGAAGCTAAAGCACGCACTCTCCAGAGTCTGAGAGCTGCCTGCCTGGGGCTGTTGCCACAGACAGCAACCATACCTTCTCTAGTATCAGGGCCACAATGTACCTTCATGCACCTTTATGAAGCCCGGGGACCAGCTCACCAATATGCCATTCCAGGACCTGAGGATAGTACTGCCACACTTATCACCACTAGCATTTATGTGCACCATCTGCATGCCTGAGGACCAGCCCACCCCACCCACTACCACTGCCACTGGCACCCAAGCACATTATCCAGGGGTCTGGGGATCAACGTGCCCTGCCTGCTGCCACTGGTGCAAACATGCACTCTCAGGAGACCTGAGAACAAGCCTATCTTGCCTGTCACTGCTGCTGCCAATTCCTGAATGCATTGTCCAGTGGCCTGAGGATCAACCTACTCCACCAGCCACCACCAGTGCTTGTGCACATCATCCAGGGGCCTGAGGTCACCTTTTCTGCTTGCCACTGTCATTGGGACTCACAAGCATTGTCTGGGGGGCTGGATCTGCCTTACCCAGCACTGCTGGTACCAGTGCATCCCATTCAGGGGCCTAGGAATCCACACACCCAGGCCACTGTAGCCACCACTAGTGCCTGAGGATGAGTCCACTTGGCATCCCCCTCCCCAGCAAAGACTCACCACAGCCTCACTAATAACTACAGCCTAAGCCACTGAGAAACTCACAGACACCACTGATGCTGACTATAGCTGAAGAAATCATATGAAGACTACATTATTGCACCTACTTAGAATCAAAGCTAAAGTACCCTACCCAACCAACACTATAGATATATCTATAGGAAAAAGGGTTTCCCTACAAAAATCAATCCATAAAACTGAAAGGAGCGACTACTATACCAGATACACAGAAATCAACATAAAGACACAAGAAATATGAAAAAGCAAGGAAACAAGACATCTCCAAAGGAACCCAATAATTCTCCAGTAACCAATTCCATAAAAAAGGAAATACATGAAATGCCTGAAAAAGAATTGACAATAATGGTATTAAAGAAACTCAGTGAGATACAAAAGAATACAGATAATACAAAGAAATCAGGAAGACAATGATCTGAATGAGAAATTCAATATAACAGATAGATATTATAAAAAAAATCCAAACAATTCTGGAGCTAAAGAATTCAATGAATGAAATTTAAAAAATACAACTAGAGCTTCAATAGACTAGGTCAAGCGAAGAATTTCTGAACTTGAAGACAGGTCTTTTGAAATAACCCAGTCAGACCAAAGAAAAAAATAAAAGAATGAAAAAAGGATGAAGAAAGCCTGTATTACATCATTTGGGAAACCATAAAGCACCCAAATGTTTGAATTTGGGGATTTTGGGAATTCCAGAAGGAGAAGAGATGGACAAAGGCATAGAAAACCAATTAACAAAATGATAGTTAAAACTTCCCAAGTCTAGCAAGAGATTCAGACATCCAGATACATGAAGCTCAGGTATAGATTCAACATTAAAGTCATTAAACATTAAAGTCAAACTGTCAAGCTTGTCAAGTTGTCAAGTTTGACTTTGTCCTCAAGGACAAAGAGAATTCCAAAAATAGTGACAGAAAAGTGTCAAGTCATACATAAAGGAATCCCCATCAGACTGACAGCAGATTTCTCAGCAGAAATTTTAGAGGCCAGGAGACAATGGAATGATATGTTCAAAGTGCTGAAAAAAAAAAAAAACCTGTCAGCCAAGAATACTATAACCAGCAAAGCTATCCTTCAAAAATGAAGGAGAGATCTTTTCCAAGATGGCTGAATAGGAACAGCTCCAGTCTGCAGCTCCCAGCGTGACTGATGCAGAAGATGGGTGATTTCTGCATTTCCAACTGAGGTACCTGGTTCATCTCACTGGGACAGGTTGGTCAGTGGGTGCAGCCCACGGAGGGCAAGCTGAAGCAGTGTGGGGTATTGCCTCACCCAGGAAGCACAGGGGGTTGAGGGATTTCCCTTTCCTAGCCAAAGGAAGCCATGACAGACTGTATCTGGAAAATTGGGACACTGCCACCCAAATACTGCATTTTTCCAATGGTCTTAGCAAATGGCACAACAGGAGATTATATCCCACGCCTGGCTCAGTGGGTCCCATGCCCACGGAGCCTTGCTCACTGCTTGTGCAGCAGTTTGAGATCGAACTGCAAGGCGGCAGCCTAGCTGGGGGAGGGGTGTCTGCCATGGCTGAGGCTTGAGTAGGTAAACAAAGCGGCTGGGAAGCTTGAACTGGGTGGAGCCTACTGCAGCTCAAGAAGGCCTACCTGCCTCTGTAGACTCCACCTCTGGGGGCAGTGCATAGCTGAACAAAAGGCAGCAGAAACTTCTGCAGACTTAAACGTCCCTGTCTGACAGCTCTGAAGAGAGCAGTGGTTCTCCCAGCATGGTGTTTGAGTTCTGAGAATGGACAGAGTGCCTCCTCAACTGGGTCCCTGACCCCCGAGTAGCCTAACTGGGAGATAGCTCCCAGTAGGGGCTGACTGACACCTCATACAGCTGGGTGTCCCTCTGAGATGAAGCTTCCAGAGGAAGGATCAGGCAGCAGTATTTGCTGTTCTGCAATATTTGCTGTTCTGCAGCCTCCGCTGGTGATATAATGGCAAACAGGGTCTGGAGTGGACCTCCAGCAAACTCCAGCAGACCTGCAGCTGAGGGACCTGACTGTTAGAAGGAAAACTAACAAACAGAAAGGAATAGCATCAACATCAACAAAAAGGACATCCACACCAAAACCCAATCTGTAGGTCACCATCATCAAAGACCAAAGGTAGATAAAACAACAAAGATGGGGAGAAACCAGAGCAGAAAAGCTGAAAATTCTAAAAATCAGAACACCCCTTCTTGTCCAAAGGATCGCAGCTCCTTGCGAGCAATGGAACAAGCTGGATGGAGAATGACTTTGACGAGTTGACATAAGTAGGCTTCAGAAGGTCGGTAGTAACAAACTTCTCTGAGCTAAAGGAGGATGTTTGAACCCATCACAAGGAAGCTGAAACCTTGAAAAAAGATTAGACGAATGGTTAATTAGAATAAACAGTGTAGAGAAGACCTTAAATGACTTGATGGAGCTGAAAACCATGGGATGAGAACATCATGATGCGTGCACAAGCTTCAGTAGCCGATTTGATCAAGTGGAAGAAAGGGTATCAGTGATTGAAGATCAAATTAATGAAATGAAGTGAGAAGAGAAGTTTAGAGAGAAAAGAGTAAAAAGAAATGAACAAAGTCTCCAAGAAACATGCGACTATGTGAAAAGACCAGATCTACATTTGATTGGTATACCTAAACATGATGGGGAGAATGGAACCAAGCTGGAAAACACTCCAGTATATTATCCAGGAGAACTTCCCCAACCTAGCAAGACAGGCCAACATGCAAATTCAGGAAATACAGAGAACACCACAAAGACATTCCTTGAGAAGAACAACTCCAAGACATGTAATCGTCAGATTCACCAAGGTTGAAATGAAGGAAAAAATGTTAAGGGCAACCAGAGAGAAAGGTCAGGTTACCCACAAAGGGAAGCCCATCAGACTAACAGCTGATCTCTCAGCAGAAACTCTACAAGCCAGAAGAGAGTGGGGGCCAATATTCAACATGCTTAAATAAAACAATTTTCAACCCAGAATTTCATATCCTGCCAAACTAAGCTTCATAAGTGAAGGAGAAATAAAATCCTTCACAGAGAAGCAAATGCTGAGAGATTTTGTCAATACCAGGTCTGCTTACAAGAGCTCCTGAAGGAAGCACTAAACATGGAAAGAAACAACCGGTACCAGCCCCTGCAAAAACATGCCAAATTGTAAAGACCATCAATGCAAGGAAGAAACTGCATCAACTAATGGGCAAAATAACCAGCTAATATAATGACTGGATCAAATTCACACATAACAATATTAACCTTAAATGTAAATGGCCTAAATGCTCCAATTAAAAGACACAGACTGGCAAACTGGATAAAGACTCAAGACCCATCAGTGTGCTGTATTCAGGAGACCCATCTCAAGTGCAGAGACACACATAGGCTCAAAATAAAGGGATGGAGGAAGATCTACCAAGCAAATGGAAAACAAAAAAAAAGGAGGGGTTGCAATCCTACTCTCTGATAAAACAGACTTTAAACCAACTTAAATCAAAAGAGATAAAGAAGGCCATTACATAATGGTAAAGGGATCAATTCAACAAGAAGAGCTAACTATCCTAAATATATATGCACCTGGTAGAGGAGCATCCAGATTCATAAACCAAGTCCTTAGAGACCTACAAAGAGACTTAGGCTCCCACACAATAATAATGGGAGACTTTAACACCTCAATGTCAATATTAGACAGATCAATGAGAAAGAAGGTTAACAATGATGTCCAGGACTTAAAGCCAGCTCTGCACAAGCAGACCTAACAGACAACTACAGAACTCTCCACCCCAAATCAACAGAATATACATTCTTCTCAGCACCACACCACACTTATTCCAAAATTGACCACATAGTTGGAAGTAAAGCACTCCTCAGCAAATGTAAAAGAACAGAAATCACAACAAACTGTCTCTCAGACCACAGTGCAATCAAACTAGAACTCAGGATTAAGAAACTCACTCAAAACCACACAAATACATGGAAACTGAACAACCTGCTCCTGAATGACTACTGGGTACATAACGAAATGAAGGCAGAAATAAACATATTCTTTGAAACCAATGAGAACAAAGACACAATGTACCAGAATCTCTGGGATACATTTAAAGCAGTGTGTACAGGGAAATTTATAGCACTAAATGCCCACAAGAGAAAGCAGAAAAGATCTGAAATTGACACCCTAACATCCCAATTAAGAGAACTAGAGAAGCAAGAGCAAACACATTCAAAAGCTAGCAGAAGGCAAGAAATAAGTAAGATCAGAACAGAACTGAAGGAGACAGAGATACAAAAAACCCTTCAAAAAATCAGCGAACCCAGGAGCTTATTTTTTGAAAAGATCAACAAAATTGATAGACTGCTAGCAAGACTAATAAAGAAGAAAAGAGAGAAGAATCAAATAGATGCAATGAAAAATGATAAAGGGGATATCACCACCGATCCCACAGAAATACAAACTACCATCAGAGAATACTATAAACACCTCTACACAAATAAACTAGAAAATCTAGAAGAACTGGATAAATTGCTGGACACATACACCTTCCCCAAAATAAACCAGGAAGAAGTTGAATCCCTGAATAGACCAATAACAGGATCTGAAATTGAGGCAATAATTAATAGCCTACCAACCAAAAAAAGTCCAGGACCAGGTGGATTCACAGCTGAATTCTACCAGAGATACAAGGAGGAGCTGGTACCATTCCTTCTGAAACTATTCCAATCAATAGAAAAAGAGGGAGTCCTCCCTAACTCATTTTATGAGGCCAGCATCACCCTGATACCAAAGCCTGGCAGAGACACAAAAAAAAGAGAATTTTAGACCAATATCCCTGATGAACATCGATGGGAAAATCCTCAATAAAATACTGGCAAACCGAATCCAGCAACACATCAAAAACCTTATCCACCAAGATCAAGCTGGCTTCATTCCTGGGATGCAAAGCTCGTTCAACATATGCAAATCAATAAATGTAATCCATCACCTTAACAGAACCAAAGACAAAAACCACATGATCGTCTCAATAGATGCAGAAAAGGCCTTCAACAAAATTCAACAGCCCTTCATGCTAAAAACTCTCAATAAATTAGGTATTGATGGGATGTATCTCAAAATAATAAGAGCTATTTATGACAAACCCACAGCCAATATCATACTGAATGGGCAAAAACTGGAAGCATTCCCTTTGAAAACTGGCACAAGACAGGGATGCCCTCTCACACCACTCCTATTCAACATAGTGTTGGAAGTTCTGACAAGAGCAATCAGGCAAGAGAAAGAAATAAAGGTTATTCAATTAGGAAGAGAGGAAGTCAAATTGTCCCTGTTTTCAGATGACATGATTGTATATTTAGAAAACCCCATCATCTCAGCCCAAAATCTCCTTAAGCTGATAAGCAACTTCAACAAAGTCTCAGGATACAAAATCAATGTACAAAAATCACAAGCATTGCTATACACCAATAACAGACAAACAGAGAGCCAAATCATGAATTAACTCCCATTCACAATTGCTTCAAAGAGAATAAAATACCTAGGAATCCAACTTAAAAGGGATGTGAAGGACCTCTTCAAGGAGAACTACAAACCACTGCTCAACAAAATAAAAGAGGATACAAACAAATGGAAGAACATTCCATGCTCATGGGTAGGAAGAATCAATATCGTGAAAATGGCCATACTGCCCAAGGTAATTTATAGATTCAATGCCATCCCCAGCCACCTACAAGTGACTTTCTTCACAGAATTGGAAAAAACTACTTTAAAGTTCATATGGAACCAAAAAAGAGCCTGCATTGCCAAGTCAATCCTAAGCAAAAAGAACAAAGCTGGAGACATCATGCTACCTGACTTCAAACTATACTACAAGCCTACAGTAACCAAAACAGCATGGTACTGGTACCAAAACAGAGATATAGACCAATGGAACAGAACAGAGGCCTCAGAAATAATACCACACATCTACAACCATCTGATCTTTGACAAACCTGACAAAAACAAGAAATGGGGGAAGGATTCCCTATTTAATAAATGGTGCTGGGAAAACTGGCTAGCCATATGGAGAAAGCTGAAACTGGATCCCTTCCTTACACCTTATACAAAAATTCATTCAAGATGGATTAAAGACTTCAATGTCAGACCTAAAACCATAAAAACCCTAGAAGAAAACCTAGGCAATACCATTCAGGACATAGGCATGGGCAAGGACTTCATGACTAAAACACCAAAAGCAATGGCAACAAAAGCCAAAATTGACAAATGGGATCTAATTAAACTAAGGAGCTTCTGCACAGTAAAAGAAACTACCATTAGAGTGAACAGGCAACCTGCAGAATGGGAGAAAAATTTTGCAATCTATCCATCTGACAAATGGCTAATATCCAGAATCTACAAAGAACTTAAACAAATTTACAAGAAAAAATCAAACAACCCCATCAAAAAGTGGGCGAAGGATATGAACAGACACTTCTCAAAAAAAGACATTTATGCAGTCAACAGACACATGAAAAAATGCTCGTCATCACTGGTCATCACAGAAATGCAAATCAAAACCATGGTGAGATACCATCTCACACCAGTTAGAATGGCGATCATTAAAAAGTCAGGAAACAACAGGTGCTGGAGAGGGTGTGGAGAAATAGGAACACTTTTACACTGTTGGTGGGACTGTAAACTAGTTCAACCATTGTGGAAGACAGTGTGGTGATTCCTCAAGGATCTAGATATAGAAATACCATTTGACCCAGTGATCCCATTACTGGGCATATACCCAAAGGATTATAAATCATGCTCCCATAAAGACACATGCACATGTATGTTTATTGCAGCACTATTAACAATAGTAAAGACTTGGAACCAACCCAAATGTCCATCAGTGTTAGACAGGATTAAGAAAATGTAGTACATATATACCATGGAATACTATGCAGCCATAAAAAAGGATGAGTTCATGTCCTTTGTAGGGACATGGATGAAGCTGGAAACCATCATTCTGAGCAAACTATCTCAAGGACAGAAAACCAAACACTGCATGTTCTCACTCATAGGTGGGAACTGAACAATGAGAACACTTGGACACAGGATGGGGAACATCACACACTGGGGCCTGTTGCAGGGTGGGGGTAGAGGGGAGGGATAGTATTAGGAGATATACCTAATGTAAATGATGAGTTAATGGGTGCAGCACACCAACATGGCACATGTATACCTATGTAACAAACCTGCACATTGTGCACATGTACCCTAGAACTTAAAGTATAATACAAAAATGAGGGAGAAATAGTCTTTCTCACACAAGCAAAAACTGAGGAAATGTATCACCAATAGACTGTTCCTACAAGAAATGCTTAAGGAAGCCCTACATCTGGAAGTGAAAGGATGATATCTACCATCATGAAAACACATGAAAGTATAAAACTAACTGGTAGAGCAGATACATAAATGAGAAAGAGAAAAAATCAAAAGTTATTACTATAGATAACCACTAAATCACAAAGATAAATAAGCCTTTATCTATCAATGAATACAAATGATTTAAATTCCCCAATTAAAAAGATACAAAGTGGCTGAATCAAAAACAAAATACAAGCCAACTATCTGCTGCCTACAATTAACTCTGTTCACCTGAAAAGACACACATAGACTAAAAATGAAGGAATGGAAAAAAATATTCCATAAAAACAGGAACCAAAAGCATGCAGGAGCAGCAATGTTTATAGCAGACAAAATAGACTTTAAGTAAAAAATGTAAAAAGAGAAAAAGTCATTATATAATAATAAAGTGGTCAATTCAGCAAGAAGATATAACAATTGTAAATATATGTGCACCCAAATATATGAAGCAAATATTGTTAGAACTGAAGTTAGAGATAGATTCTAATGTAACAAGAGTTGGAGATGTCAACACTTCCCTGTCAGCACTGGACAGATAATCTAGCCAGAAAACCAACAAAGAAACATTGGGCTGAATCTGCGCTAGAGACCAAATGGACCTAACAGACATTTACAGAACATTTCATCCATAGGCCAGGCGTGGTTGCTCATGCCTGTAATCCTAGCACTTTGGGAGGCTGAGGTAGGTGGATCACTTGAGGTCAGGAATTCAAGACCGGCCTGGCCAACATAGCAAAACCCCATCTCTACTAAAAATACAAAACTTATCTGGGTGTGGTGGCACAAACCTGTAGTCCTGGCTACTCAGGAGGCTGAGGCAGGAGAATTACTTGAACCTGGGAGGTGGAAGTTGCAGTGAGCTGAGATCGCACCACTGCACTCCAGCCTCAGTGACAGACCGAGACTCCACCTCAAAAAAAATTTTTTTAATCCATAAGCTACAGACTGCACATTCTTCTTAGCAGCACACAGGATGGGCCATATGTTAAGCCACAAAACACATCTCAATAAATTTTTTTAAATCAATTTTTAAAAATGAAAATTATATCAAGTATTTTCTCAGACCACAGTGGAATAAAACTAGAAATCAATATAAAAAGACCTTTGGAAACTATACAAATATATGGAAATTAAACAACATGGTCCTGAATGATCACTAGGTCAATGAAGAAATTAAATAAGAAATAAAAAATTTCTTGATCATTACATTGTGTGCATATACCATGTACCCCATAGTATGTGCAATTATTATGTATTAATTTTAAAAAGGCTATGGCTAAGTTCTTACCATAACTCAATATGTAAATCAAACTCTTCATAATCCTCAGACTACGATTTTAATAATCTGCAATTGAGGCTGCAAAAAATAATGAAGTTTTACAATTAATTTTTTTTAACAGTAAGCATGTAAAATACAGTACAGTATATGGTGTCACTATAAACCTGAGCTTAAGAACAAATTCTGTCACTAATTTTAAATCAGGTTTTCTAACAACTTAAACAAAACTTATAAAATATAAATATTCCACTACAAGTTGTCAAGTGTTCCTTTAAAAATATTTAAGAATTTCATGATTCCATAAAATCATGCTTTGTTTTCACGATGATCAGTAAAAATGGAAGTAATATAACTTCTGGTTTTGTTATGAAGTTAATTATTTGCTCATTTCATTTTAAGCTCTCCCATTTGGAAAAATCCCCATTTTGGAAGTTGATGGACTTACTCTTCACCAGAGCCTAGCAATAGCAAGATATTTGACCAAAAACACAGGTAACATGTTTATTGTGCTTAAGATTTTTGATAACTGAAACAAATACATGATATATATTCAATATTCATTAAATGACTTTAGCATAGCATACTATAGTACAAATAAGAATGGAATTAAATAAGAGAAAAGTATAAATATACCACCTGTATCAGTTTAACTTTCCATGAGTTCCCTGGACAATTAGACAATTTTATTTTATATCGCCTCCTGCTTTTCCTGCCTTACATCTGTTTGCTCTCCAAGCCCTTTTTGGAGTTTAGCTGAAAAATTGGACAGGGATGTTTCATTCCAAACTTTGGCTAGTTTGCATATGGTAAGTTATTAGAGAAAATTACTTAGCAGAAAATACATATGGCATATGGAGGTTGAAATTTCTTAGACTTAAAATTATATACTCAGTAATGTCCTTCATCCTAATCATGCTGAAAAAAATAGGGAGTTTCTTTGCTTCCACTCAGTGCCATCTGAGGAAACTTGAAGGGGATACTTGGCTTCCGGATTGTTGCATTAGTGCCCACACCCATGGTATTGGAAGAGAAACAATAGAAACTGTTCTTGTTTTTACCTGACACACTTTCTCCCATCCTATGCTCCATTGTCTTCTCTCTTCCCTCAAACTATTCTCACACCCTTTTTGAGCCAAAAGCTACTTTTGGCTTCTTTTAAAGCTCGTTTCTTTCAATCAATCTGTAGAATCACCATTCTCTGAAACCTATCTCCCCACCACCATTGCCACTGCTATGATCCAAGCCATAGACACATACATAGCTCACAAATAAAATGGGCCATGAATACTAAACCTCATTTTGGAATGAAATAGTGTATTTTAAAAATACAAAGTTTTGTGTTACACTAACATGTTTCAACAAATAAAGTTACTTTGAAAGTTTAGAAGAAATGGAAATTATTTATGACCAGGGAAATTAGGCTTTAAAGTGAAAATGACATTTAGGTTTAGGCTCAAAGATAGCTAGAATTTCAAGAGGAAGACTTGGACCTGGGCAGTGCTTTTCAAACTTTATGTGCATCAGGGTCACCTGGATGCTCACTAAAATATACTTTGTGCAACTTTGAGTCAGTAGACCTTGGGTGGGTCCCAAGAATTTGCATTCTCAACAATTTCCCAGATGATGCAGGTGGTCCATGGATCTCACTTTGAGAATCTCTGGGCTAGAACATTCTAAGCAGAGAGAAAATGGCATGAGAAGAAGAATGAACTTCAAATTTGCAGGTGGAAGAGAATTAGAGAAATGCTTAGAAGGATAGATTGGATCTGATTAGAAAGATCTAGAAGGATCTAGAATATGGACTTTT
Source organism: Homo sapiens (assembly GCF_000001405.40). Classification (NCBI taxonomy): domain Eukaryota; kingdom Metazoa; phylum Chordata; class Mammalia; order Primates; family Hominidae; genus Homo; species Homo sapiens. The sequence goes on along the minus strand of NC_000004.12, from coordinate 94,316,557 downwards.
TTTCTTATGCAATTGTAGGTTTTTATCTAGAAAAGCAGCATAACTACCGCTATGCATTTTGGGAAGATTATTGTGGTTACTTTGTATTTGTGGCTACTGCAGGGAAGCATATTAAGAGATCATTGAAATGGTCCAGATGGCAAAGAAGAGAGACCAAGAAAAATACGAAAAATTTGTGGATGTAGAATCATCTTAGAGACAGTAGATAGACGTTGCCATGTGGAAGGCAGTCTATTTAACCAGGAGAGGAACAGCATAGACAGAGTTTGCCGTTCTCAATATGCTATATACTGCTACTTCCTCCTTTTCTTCCTCCTTCTCCTCTTCTCTTTCGTCTCTTTCTCTTTTCTGTTCAAAATACTTTTTTCAACTTGCAATACCCTCCTCAATGTCTGCCTTCTCCAGTTGACCATACGTGCCATGCATGCAAGGAATTTACCTCTTCTATTCAATACTACTATATACAGCCACTACTTGGGGCTGAGTCACAGTTGAGGCCCGTAATTATTTGTTGGGTAAAAAAAGGAGAGCTGGTTTGAGAAAAGGTGTGATGACTGCATTTGAGGATTTGTGGAAGAATGTTCAGGGGCCAAAAGAGTAATCAGAGATATATCCAAAAGGAGGCTGAAAAAATGAGCCTGTGGTTTAGGACTAAAAATATTGAATAAGGAGTCACCTCCATAAATTTTTAGCTGAAGCCTTGAGGTGGAAGTCAAAGTAGGGATGAAAATGAGTGAAGAATTCTGAAGACTATTCAAGGTCAGAAAGACGAATAATCAACCTTTGAATATCACACACACAAAAATATAGTTTACAGAGGAACTCTAAATCGTTCAAGAATTTTCTTTCGATTTTAACACCTTTATTGAGGTATAATTTACATACAATTCATCCACTGTCAGTATACAGTTTCTTAATTTTTAATAAATTTATACAGTTTTACAAAAGCAATCCATTTTAGAAAGCTTCTACACGGGAGCATTTTAAATTGGCACCATTGAGAAAACTTTTAGGAAGACCAATGATTTATTACCAAAAATAATGATTAACAAATGAGACAAAAGAAAAAAAACCCTCTATTATTTAAAAATTTTAGTCTCCAGTCAGAAAACAAATGCTCCTGACAAAAACTGTCTGCAAAAATAAAAATAATTCTTGATACAAAATAAATTATAACATAGGTACAGGTTATTTATTGCAGTGTTGCTTGTATTAACAAAAGACTGGAAATAAACCTAATCAGTTGAGGCTAGTTAAATAAATTGTGGGAGAGGCAGTTCCAAGATGACTGAATAGGAACAGCTCCAGTCTACAGCTCGAAGCGTGAGCGATGCAGAAGATGAATGATTTCTGCATTTCCAACTGAGGTACCGGGGATTGTCTCACTGGGGATTGTCAGACAGTAGGTGCAGGACAGTGGGTGCAGTGCACCGAGCATGAGCTGAAACAGGGTGAGGCATCGCCTCACCCAGGAAGTGCAAGGGGTTAGGTGATTATCTTTCCTAGCCAAGGAAAAGGGTGACAGACGGCACCTGGAAAATCGGGTCACTCCTACCCTAACACTGCGCGTTTCCGACAGTCTTAGCAAACGGCACACCAGGAGATTATATCCCGTGCCTGGCTAAGAGGGTCCTATGCCCAGGGAGCCTTGCTCATTGCTAGCACAGCAGTCTGAGATCAAACTGCAAGGCGGCAGCGAGGCTGGGGGAGGGGTGCCCACCATTGCTGAGGCTTGAGTAGGTAAACAAAGCTGCCAGGAAGCTCGAAAGGGGTGGAGCCCACCACAGCTCAAGGAGGCCTGCCTGCCTCCGTAGACTCCACCTCTGGGGGCAGGGCATAGCCAAACAAAAGGCAGCAGAAACCTCTGCAGACTTAAATGTCCCTATCTGACAGCTTGGGAGACCATAGTGGTTTACCCAGCATGCAGCTTGAGATCTGAGAATGGACAGACTGCCTCCTCAAGTGGGTCTCTGACCCCTGAGTAGCCTAACTGGGAGGCACCCCCGAGTAGGGGCAGACTGATACCTTACATGGCCGGGTACCCCTCTGAGACAAAACGTCCAGAGCAACGATCAGGCAGCAACATTTGCGGTTCACCAATATTTGCTGTTCTGCAGCCTCCGCTGCTGATACCCAGGCAAAAAGGGTCCGGAGTGGACCTCTGGCAAACTCCAACAGACCTGCAGCTGAGGGTCCTGACTGTTAAAAGGAAAACTAACAAACAGAAAGGACATCCACACCAAAACTCCATCTGTACGTCACCATCATCAAAGACTAAAGGTAGATAAAACCACAAAGATGGGGAAAAAACAGAGCAGAAAAACTGAAAATTCAAAAAATCAGAGCACCTCTCCTCCTCCAAAGGAACGCAGCTCCTCACCAGCAATGGAACAAAGCTGGACAGAGAATGACTTTGATGAGTTGAGAGAAGAAGGCTTCAGATGATCAAACTTCTCCGAGCTAAAGGAGGAAGTTTGAACCCATGGCAAAGGAGTTTAAAAACCTTGAAAAAAGATTAGATGAATGGCTAACTAGAATAACCAATGCAGAGAAGTCCTTAAAGGACCTGATGGAGCTGAAAACCATGGCACGAGAACTACATGATGAATGCACAAGCTTCAGTAGCTGGTTTGATCAACTGGAAGAAAGGGTATCAGTGATGGAAGATCAAAAGAATGAAATGAAGCAAGAAGAGAAGTTTAGAGAAAAAAGAATAAAAAGAAATGAACAAAGCCTCCAAGAAATATGGGACTATGTGAAAAGACCAAATCTACGTCTGATTGGTGTACCTGAAAGTGATGGGGAGAATGGAACCAAGTTGGAAAACACTCTGCAGGATATTATCCAGGAGAACTTCCCCAATCCAGCAAAGCAGGCCAACATTCAAATTCAGGAAATACAGAGAACGCCACAAAGATACTCCTCGAGAAGAGCAACTCCAAGACACATAATTGTCAGATTCACCAAAGTTGAAATGAAGGAAAAAATGTTAAGGGCAGCCAAAGAGAAAGGTCGGGTTACCCACAAAGGAAAGCCCATCAGACTAACAGCTGATCTCTCAGCAGAAACTCTACAAGCCAGAAGAGAGTGGGGGCCAATATTCAACATTCTTAAAGAAAAGAATTTTCAACCCAGAATTTCATATCCAGCCAAACTAAGCTTCATAAGTGAAGGAAAAATAAAATCCTTTCCAGACAAGCAAATGCTGAGAGATTTTGTCACCATTAGGCCTGCCCTACAAGAGCTCCTGAAGGAAGCACTAAACATGGAATGGAACAACCAGTACCAGCCCCTGCAAAAACATGCCAAATTGTAAAGACCACCCAAGCTAGGAAGAAACTGCATCAGCTAATGAGCAAAATAACCAGCTAACATCATAATGACAGGATCAAATTCACACATAACAATATTAACCTTAAATGTAAATGGCCTAAATGCTCCAATTAAAAGACACAGACTGGCAAATTGGATAAAGAGTCAAGACCCATCAGTGTGCTGTATTCAGGAAACCCATCTCACGTGCAGAGACACACATAGGCTCAAAATAAAGGGATGGAGGAAGATCTACCAAGCAAATGGAAAACAAAAAAAAAGCAGGGGTTGCAATCCTAGTCTCTGATAAAACAGACTTTAAACCAACAAAGATCAAAAGAGACAAAGAAGGCCATTACATAATGGTAAAGAGATCAATTCAACAAGAAGAGCTAACTATCCTAAATATATATGCACCCAATACAGGAGCACCCAGTTTCATAAACCAAGTCCTTAGAGACCTACAAAGAGACTGAGATTCCCATACAATAATGGGAGATTTTAACACCCCACTGTCAACATTAGACAGATCAATGAGACAGAAAGTTAACAAGGATATCCAGGAATTGAAGTCAGCTCTGCACCAAGTGGACCTAATAGACATCTACAGAACTCTCCACCCCAAATCAACAGAATATACATTCTTCTCAGCACCACACCACACTTACTCCAAAGTTGACCACATAGTTGGAAGTAAAGCACTCCTCAGCAAATGTAAAAGAACAGAAATCACAACAAACTGTCTCTCAGACCACAGTGCAATCAAATTAGAACTCAGGATTAAGAAACTCACTCAAAACCGCTCAACTACATGTAAACTGAACAACCTGCTCCTGAATGACTACTGGGTACATAACGAAATGAAGGCAGAAATAACGATGTTCTTTGAAACCAATGAGAACAAAGACACAACGTACCAGAATCTCTGGGACACATTTAAAGTAGTGTGTAGAGGGAAATTTATAGCACTAAATGCCCACAAGAGAAAGCAGGAAAGATCTAAAATCGACACCCTAACATCACAATTAAAAGAACTAGAAAAGCAAGAGCAAACACATTCAAAAGCTAGCAGAAGGCAAGAAATAACTAAAATCAGAGCAGAACTGAAGGAGATAGAGACACAAAAAACCCTTCAAAAAATCAATGAATCCAGGAGCTTATTTTTTGAAAAGATCAACAAAATTGATAGACTGCTGGCAACACTAATAAAGAAGAAAAGAGAGAAGAATCAAATAGATGCAATAAAAAATGATAAAGGGGATATAACCACAGATCCCACAGAAATACAAACTACCATCAGAGAATACTATAAACACCTCTACACAAATAAACTAGAAAATCTAGAAGAAATGGATACATTCCTCGACACATACACCCTCCCAAGGCTAAACCAGGAAGAAGTTGAATCTCTGAATAGTCCAATAACAGACTCTCAAATTGAGGCAATAATTTATAGCTTACCAACCAAAAAAAGTCCAGGACCAGATGGACTCACAGCTGAATTCTACCAGAGATACAAGGAGGAGCTGGTACCATTCCTTCTGAAACTATTCCAATCAATAGAAAAAGAGGGAATCCTCCCTAACTCATTTTATGAGGCCAGCATCATCCTGATACCAAAGCCTGGCAGAGACACAACAAAAAAAGAGAAGTTTAGACCAATATCCTTGATGAACATCGATTGGAAAATCCTCAATAAAATACTGGCAAACTGAATCCAGCAACACATCAAAAACCTTATCCACCATGATCAAGTGGGCTTCATTCCTGGGATGCAAGGCTGGTTCAACATATGCAAATCAATAAACGTAATCCAGCATATAAACACAACCGATGACAAAAAACCACATGATTATCTCAATAGATGCAGAAAAGGCCTTGGACACAATTCCACAGCCCTTCATGCTAAAAACTCTCAATAAATTAGGTATAGATGGGACGTATCTCAAAATAGTAAGAGCTATCTGTGACAAACCCACAGCCAATATCATACTGAATGGGCAAAAACTGGAAGCATTCCCTTTGAAAACTGGCACAAGACAGGGATGCCCTCTCACACCACTCCTATTCAACACAGTGTTGGAAGTTCTGGCCAGGGCAATCAGGCAAGAGAAGGAAATAAATGTTATTCAATTAGGAAAAGGGGAAGTCAAATTGTCCCCGTTTGCAGATGACATGATTGTATATTTAGAAAACCCCATCATCTCAGCCAAAAATCTCCTTAAGCTGATAAGCAACTTCAGCAAAGTCTCAGGATACAAAATCAATGTGCAAAAATCACAAGTATTCTTATACACCAATAACAGACAAACAGAGAGCCAAATCATGAGTGAACTCCCATTCACAATTGCTTCAAAGAGAATAAAATACCTAGGAATCCAACTTACAAGGGATGTGAAGGACCTCTTTAAGGAGAATTACAAAACACTGCTCAACAAAATAAAAGAGGATACAAACAAATGGAAGAACATTCCATGCTCATGGGTAGGAAGAATCAATGTTGTGAAAATGGCCATACTGCCCAAGGTAATTTATAGATTTAGTGCCGTTCCCATCAAGCTACCAGTGACTTTCTTCACAGAATTGGAAAAAAACTACTTTAAAGTTCATATGGAACCAAAAAAGAGCCTGCATTGCCAAGTCAATCCTAAGCAAAAAGAACAAGGCTGGAAGCATCACGCTACCCGACTTCAAACTATACTACAAGGCTACAGTAACCAAAACAGCATGGTACTGGTACCAAAACAGAGATATAGGCAGACCAGTGGAACAGAACAGAGCCCTCAGAAATAATACCACACATCTACAACCATCTGATCTTTGACAAACCTGACAAAAACAAGAAATGGGGAAAGGATTCCCTATTTAATAAATGGTGCTGGGAAAACTGGCTAGCCATATGGAGAAAGCTGAAACTGGATCCCTTCCTTACACCTTATACAAAAATTCATTCAAGATGGATTAAAGACTTCAATGTTAGACCTAAAACCATAAAAACCCTACAAGAAAACCTAGGCAATACAATTCAGGATATAGGCATGGGCAGGGACTTCATGTCTAAAACACCAAAAGCAATGGCAACAAAAGCCAGAATTGACAAATGGGATCTAATTAAACTAAAGAGCTTCTGCACAGCAAAAGAAACTACCATCAGAGTGAACAGGCAACCTACAGAATGGGAGAAAATTTTTGCAATCTACTCATCTGACAAAGGGCTAATATCCAGAATCTATAAAGAACTCAAACATATTTGCATGAAAAAAGCAAACAACCCCATTAACAAGTGGGCGAAAGATATGAACAGACACTTCTCAAAAGAAGACATTTATGCAGCCAAAAGACACATGAAAAAATGCTCGTCATCACTGGCCATCAGAGAAATGTAAATCAAAACCACAATGAGATACCATCTCACACCAGTTAGAATGGCGATCATTAAAAAGTCAGGAAACAACAGGTGCTGGAGAGGATGTGGAGAAATAGGAACACTTTTACACTGTTGGTGGGACTGTAAACTAGTTCAACCATTGTGGAAGTCAGTGTGGTGATTCCTCAGGGATCTAGAACTAGAAATACCATTTGACCCAGCCATCCCATTAGTGGGTATATACCCAAAGGATTATAAATCATGCTGCTATAAAGACACATGCACACGTATGTTTATTGCAGCACTATTCACAATAGCAAAGACTTGGAACCAAGTCAAATGTCCAACAATGATAGACTGGATTAAGAAAATGTGGCACATATACACCATGGAATACTATGCAGCCATAAAAAATGATGAGTTCATGTCCTTTGTAGGGTCATGGATGAAGCTGGAAACCATCATTCTCAGCAAACTATCTCAAGGACCAAAAACCAAACACTGCATGTTCTCACTCTTCTCTCTCATAGGTGGGAATTGAACCATGAGAACACATGGACACAGGAAGGGGAACATCACACACCGGGGCCTGTTGTGGGGTGGGGGGAGGCGGGAGGGATAGCATTAGGAGATATACCTAATGTAAATGACGAGTTAATGGGTGCAGCACACCAACATGGCACATGTATACATATGTAACAAACCTGAATGTTGTGCACATGTACCTTAGAACTTAAAGTATAATTAAAAAAATAAAAAAATAAATTGTGGCGCATCTACCTCAATGAATCCCTATGTAGCCAAAAAAAAAAAAAAAAAAAAAAAAAAGCAAGTACACCCTTTGGGTACTTGTAAAGAAAGATATGTAGGGGACATGGGATGAGGAAGCATATCTAGTGGGATATATATTTTATTTGCTTGTATTTTCATAAAGAAATAATGTAGAATACTAATTAAAGTGGTACCAGTAAGGTAGGTAGGTAAGGGAGCAAAATGTGGTGGATGGAAGCTAGTCTTCACTGGATATTGTTTTACACTCTTTGAATTTTCAACCATATGAGTATACTATCTGTTAAAAACAAACTTTTTAATATAGTAAATTAAACATATTGATGGGCCTCTCTCTATTCCACAGATTTGGCTGGAAACACAGAAATGGAACAATGTCATGTTGATGCTATTGTGGACACTCTGGATGATTTCATGTCATGTTTTCCTTGGGCAGAGAAAAAGCAAGATGTGAAAGTAATGTGATCCATTTGCTATTCCTAGTATTAATTATATACCACCTGCCAGACATTGTGTTAGGTGCCTTAGAAAGTTCCTTAATATCAAAAGAATATGTATAATTTTAAAATACCAAATTATATTTTAAAAGTTTAAAATAAAGTACAGCAATTCCCTATTGTACCCCTTCACATTAACTCCTCCCCAGATGCAACCCTTTTAAAACTTTGTTTAGCAGTTTCTTTAGGATTTACACATTTCCATATTTCTATAGGATAAATAAATATGACTTCCTCTGATTGACCAATTGTAAATGATTTCTCAGGACTTATGATAGTACAGGTTAAGCATTCCTAACCTGAAAGTCTGAAGTCCAAAATGCCCCAAACTCCAAAACGTTTTAAGTACCAAGATAACAGCACAAGTGGAAAATTCCACATGTAAGTACTTAACACAAACTTTAGCAAATGTGCAAAATTATTGAAAATACTGTATAAAATTACCTTTGGCTATGTGTATAAGGTGTAAATGAAACATAAATGAATTTGGTTTTTAGATTTAGGCCCCATCCCCTATATATCTCATTATGTATATGCAAACATTCCAAAATCTGAAAAAGTCTGGAATTCAACACAATTCTGTTCCCAAGCATGTTGGATAAGGGATCTCAACCTGAAATAACAATTTTTCTCTTACATAGTCATCCTTTCTGCTTCCTTTTCACCAAGCTCCCAATATTGTGATGTGAAAATTTTTTGGTTAATTATCCTGTGATTAGTAGGCTATGCAAATAATGCACAGAACTGTGCACTGTAGTATGCTTTTATATTTTCTTTCTCACTTTTCTTCCTTAAAATTAGTAATTGCTTTCTTTTGCTTCTTTTCACTTTTACTGCTGACTTTCCACAGTATCCAATAGCCTGCCAATACGATTTTCCACAAGGTCAACGTAGTGTCAGTTCATCTGTTATTTCCAATATTTCTTGGAGCGCTCTCTAGGAGACTTCCATTCTTTGTGGAGTTCTCCAGGTTTTCTGCACAGCTGTCATCATTGGAATTCCCTTTGCTGTTATTCCAGTGATGCCATTCTATGGAGCTGGAGTCCTGTTCCTGGATGCTGCCTTCTTTCTTTGTTTACTCCATTGTTTATTTGGGGGCACATCCTCTAGTATTCCAAAAGTTAAAATGAAGGCTTGATGACAGCAGATATGATTATGACAGATGGCATGGATATGTCTATCTTGTGAGTCACACTGCTTCGCTCTGGTATGGTTGTCCTAGATACTTGGTCACAGTTGTCATCCTGAGATCTTTATTATTACCCAGGATTTTTTTTTTTTTTTTATGTTTTCCTGGGTTCATTCTCCTGTTTTCTTTCCTTGCTTTTGTGGAACAGTCCTCTAAGAGCTTACTGGTCATAGGAAATAAAAGTTTGGGGCTTTTGGGGCCTTATTTGTTTAAAGATGTTTTTATTTTATTCTCAAACTTGTTTATAGTTTGACTGGGTGTAGAATTCTGATGAAAGTAGTTTTTCATTAGTATTTGAAAGGCTGTTGAGAAGTTTGAATTCAATGTAATTACTGACCTTTTGTATGTGACCTATTTTTTTTCCACTCTGAAAGATTACAAAACACGTGCCCTTAGAGTTCTAAAATTTTGCAATGGTGAGTCTTGGTATGATCTTGTTTTCATCCATTGTGCTGTTTCCTTGGTGATTCCGTTCAATCTGGGACCCATGTCCTTTAGTTCAAGGACATTTCCTTTAATTCTTTCATTAATGATTTCCTCCCCCTTTATTTTCTTTGTTCCATTATAGTAGAATTCCAGTAATTCAGATGTTGGTTGGCTCTTTTCCTATTTCCCGTCTCTTGGCTTTTCTGCATTACTTTTAGAAAGCATTTCTCATCAGTCCTTGAGTTCTAAATTTCTGATATTGTGCTTCTAAATTTATAAAAATTCTTAGGCTGTTTTCCGCTAAGAATGGGGAAGGGACAGCTGTCTAGTAATGTAAAATGAAGAACATCCCATGCTAAAACCGCTTAATAGTTTTCCACCAATCCTCATTTTATCCCCTCCCAAACCTCCTTAACCCCAGTTCTAGACATATCCGGTCATTTCCTGAGCCATTTAAGGATTTTGTGTTGTTGATAGGATTGGTTCTTGGCTTTCCCTTCACAGGTGCCATTCACCCATCTGCTTACTAGCTTCAAATTTTGTTTGCTCTTATCTCCTCTCTTTCCACTTCCTTGTGGGTTCTATCTTTTTAAAAATATTCATTACTGTGGTTTAGAGATGAATGCAAAATGATATATATTTGTCAAATTATTCATCTTTATGCAGAATTCTAAATAGACGTCTTTATTACAGCTTCTAGTGGTTTCCTTTAGGACGCTCATCACAGTCTCTATTTTAAAGAGACTGGCAGGTGGTGTGTGATTACTTGTTTGTTGTTTGTCTCCTCAAGCTGGATGCATCGTGGGGTAGGAATCATGTCTGTATTATTCAACTGATCCCCCACCGCCATCACAGTGCCTTTTACATAGTAGGCATTACACACTTGTTGAATAAGTGATCAGAACCACACTCATCAAATGCACACCATGTGCCTGTGTTACTCTCAGCTCTATGTGTTATCTCAGTCAGCCCTCCTCCCACTTCAAGATAAGTGCTTTTTATTGTCATGCTCACTTTCCAGATGAAGACACTGAGAAACAGAAGTTACAGAGTTGCCCAAAGTCACACAACTGACAGAACTGTGAACTGAGCCCAGACAGCTGAATTTAGATCCCATAGCCTCATCACCTAGGTATACAATTGCTTAAATTAGTAACTAATTTAAGCATTCCTTTAGAATGAAACTGCTGTTATCCTCATCTTCCAAGTAAGAAAACAAGAGTTTCATGTAGTGTAAACAACTTACCCAAAATTGTTCAGCTAGAAGTGGTGCAGAAGGAATTCAAATCGTCACTGACTCAAACCCCAGGTTCTTAACCACTGGGTATAATACCACAGTGCAAGCAGCTGTTCAAAACAGCTGCGCATGAATATTTATGTACATGTTAAAGCTAAAGCCTATAGTCGAAAGCCACAGCACAAATAGCAGGCAGTCTTATCAATTTACTTAAGCACATATTTAAGCACATACTATCTACTTAGTATTTATTGTAAATACTATTTAATTAGCACCTTCTGATTTGAATAGAGATATCCGGACACAAAAGTATTTACATTGACTAACTCCATGATATAAATGTAAGGTGTGTAGGGTCTGCCCACACACACACGTATATATATAGGCCTAGCCAGGAAATAATGAAGCTCAGCTTTGATGATAGAAATACAACTTTTTGACATAAGTACATTTAGGCTCTGGAGTCAAACTGCCAGGTTGAATCCTGATTCCCTTCTTACTAGCTGTCACTTAACTCCCTATTTATAGTTCAAACTCTTTGTAAAGTGGGAATACAACAGGCTCTACTTTGAAGTATGTTGGCAGGATTAAATGTTAGCATATGTGCCTATGGCTAGGTAGGAAGTGTTAAATATTAACTATTATAATTAATAGTGTTATATACTTTGGTGTTAATTGTTTTTACTATTTGTCAGACATGGCATCTGTATTTTACATATCATTATAAATGTAGAAACAGATGCTCTCCAATTTAGAAGTGTCTAAAGATTTTTGTTCCATGTACCAAACACCCCCCTAATGTGCAGTCTATCAATTTATCAGTTTGCTCTTCTCTACTTTTCTATTTTCTACCTTTCTGTGGCTGAGGCTCCATAACAGAGACCACCTCCCAGAGGAAAATATTCTTCGAACATTTATGATAAGAGTAACACTCTACCTTTGTATTAGAATAACAACTCTCTTACATACCACCAATTCCAAAAAAACAATTTCAAAGGACACAGCAATCCAAGTTCATGATTAAATCATACAAAGGCAGAACACGTTGCAGAAACATTGCTGATAGCTATAGACTATCTAATTAACAAGCAGGACTTGGCTAATATATAATGAAAAATGCACTGTTCTGTATTTCATTTCTTAGACTGTTGGTAGTGGGCTACATTGCTGCCATCTTGTGGTCAGGTGAAAATTTCAAAGGCAGAATATTGATGCACTTAAGATGGATAGTGAATATATTCTTGTCATATACACCTTAAAAATCTACCAAATACACACAATTTTACAGTATTTATTACTAAAAATTCCATTTCCAATAAAAAAAGAATTAAAAGCAAAAGATGCCTTTGGATATTGGTCACCATGACAATCCTTGAACTCACCATTAGTGTTACTTTGGTTATTTAATGTATCTGTGTTTCCATTTCCTCATCTAAAGAACAGGATGGGGAAGAAGAATGAGAAGGCCTGAGGACATTCTGATGTCGTGGTTCCAACACAAAATAATTTTGGTAGTGCATATCTGAAAATGCTTTTGAGAAATATACGAACCTCTCTAAAAGTCATTTGTTAAACTTTCATAGCAACAAATTCTCAGGGTGAAAAAACCTCCTCTGAAAAGGGAGGCTAGAAATTTCTGAATCCATCAAGTAAAGGAGTGGCTATCTAGGATGGATCAGGAAATGTGTTTTTTAAAATATATCTGGAAAAAAAAAGAAGTGTAATCAAATCTTATCTTCTTTATGTTATTTTGGTTGATTGTACTTTAAAATGAAACTTAAATACTAATTACACTGTTTATTAATTTACATTTCATTAGACTGAAATAATTCACCAAACTTACAAAGACAATCTGGGCTCAAGGAGAAGTCAGTAGCACAGATATAAGAGTTTTATTTGACTCTGCATATACACAAACATTGGTGCACCTGAAGCTCTGGAAATGCACGTTAGAAGAACAGAATTTGCCAGGAGTGCACACAGGAGTTTTTGGAAAGTTGTCCAACAATCAAATTGGCCATTACTTTTCTGACTGATGCCAACTGAGGTGAGCAGATCTGTGGCAAGCACCACATGGTTATCGACTCACTGCCCTTCAATGGGATTACAAATTCTGTGTAAGCAGCAGAAAGACTCATAACTAATGTTTTCTTTAAAACTATGAACATACTGACCACAGAGCACTTTATAGAACAAGGGAAAGAACATAAAGTCAAAATAATGACAAGCTTTATAAGCTTCGGTTTTTAAATCTGGCAAACATATGTAAGTACATGTTGAGTATCCCTTATCTGAAATTCTTGGGACCAGAAGTATTTCAGAATTGGGGTTTTCTTCAGATTTTGGAATATTTGCATTATACTTACTGGTTGAGCATACCAAATCTCAAGAACCGATATCTGAGATGTTCCCCTGAGCATTTCCTTTGGGCATCATGCGCATGCTCAAAACGTCTTGGATTTTGGAGCATTTTGGATTTTTGGACTAGGGAGGCTCAACCTGTATGTAAGGATGCTTTTGCAAATTGTATTCTAAATATAAGGCATTATGTTGTGGTAGTATATACCATCTAGCTAAGTCATAATCATAACAGCAAGTAAATCAGCAAATTGGTACAGTATCCACTATCTGACTTATCTTAATAAAGGTTGGATTTCATTATAGATCATTTAGACATATTAATAAATGATATATACATTTTATATTTTTGAGTTTGGCTTCTATTTCATAACCAAGACTCAAACAGGCAGAATTCTTATATATAAACAAACATCTCTTATCAAGAAAGAGGCCTTGAGTAAATTATTTGGTCTTCAGAGCTTTAAGTAGAAAAATGATGACAATTAAAAAAATGGATGTTTTATATATATTTTCCTAAGGATGTTAATTTTTAAATAATATTTGTTTATATATCAAGAGGGGATAACTAGATGATGCATTTTGTAGATGATATTCAAGATGGACAAATCTGATAATGAGGCACAATGGTAGTCCAATGAGAAAATACATAAAGGCCCAAGATCATGATTCATTATAAACGCAATAGTGAAACGAAGAACTGCCAAACTAGAAGAGTCTAGCCTTACGAAATAAAATAAATTTCTTTACCTTCAGTTACATTATTTAGCTTTAAAAAAGCTAGGTTAAGAAAGAGGGAAATTTTAGGAATCTAAAAAGACAAGAGAATCATTTCACTTTAGTAAATTTAAGAAAAAATAAGATTTTGTGGGTAAAATATTTAGTCATTATACACAAAGAAACTAAGAACTGGTGACACAAAACTATTTTTTTAATCCATGAGCAATAAAGAGATGACTCACATCTATAGAGAATCAGACCTAAATCTCCATGTCATAAATTTGAATAAAAAATCTAGCTACTTCTCTTTCTTCTTGAATTCATGTGGGAGAATAAAGATGGAGAAATCTACTTCCTCCTCAGATCATGTTACTTTTCTTCTCATTATTCTTAAAGTGATATTTTCTCCTTCTCCTAGGAGCAGATGTTCAATGAGCTGCTCACGTATAATGCGCCTCATCTTATGCAAGACTTGGACACATATTTAGGGGGGAGAGAATGGCTTATTGGTAACTCTGTGAGTATGTTTTATATCTTAAAAAATTCAAGCAAATAAAAGGACAAACCAATAGAAGTATAAAAACTTACTGAAAAAAAGTTACCTATAGGGAGGGGATAGAATTTACAGCAAGAACAAAGGTTAAACTTCTTTAAATAAACCTTTTTAAAAAATAGATTTGACTTTGGAACCATATTTTATATAATTATATATTGGCAGCGAAAACTTAAAAAGCTATCCTAAAAATCAAAGCAAAGTAAATGAACCTAACTATGCAAAAGAGGTGCATAGAGAACACACAGAATACATATGTACTCTACTAGAGAAGAACTATTTCAAGAAGTATCATTTGTAAAACACACTAATCTGATTATACATCTAAGACAGATATCTCTTAGCTTAGAACAACAAAAAATCATATACTATTTTCAGTAATCATATTGTTGGTGGTACTACAAACTATTGGTATTTTTTTTCTGGTATTATTATAATTATATTGTGGGTACAAAAATAAATTGTGTTGATGTCACTGAGAACCAGGATCTTCAATGTGGGAGAACGGAGATAGAGATGTAAGGTGAGTAAGGTCAAGTAAATATCCATTCCTGAACTTGAACTACAGCTAACAGTATAAACTCATATGTATTTTATATCAGGATAAATTATGAAGCATTTTATATCTCGATCAGTTGGAAAAAGTTTGTCTTCATGAAAGTATTCCAGTTAATAGATAAGAAAGAAAGACTGAAATAAACTATCACCACTTTCCAACCCCAGAAAAATTAATTGGCGTAGGCATGGACCATCAATAATCACAAAAAAGTTAGACAACCAGATACTAGGCACACTACCACCTAGTAGTCTTGCCAAAAAATTCAAATCTAAACCTGATTACAAGTTGTGGTAGGTGGAGGTCTCTACCTTCAGGGAGACTGCATTTTGGGAGATAAGACTGCTTTTTTGTAGCATGCTGACACTCTGCTGTCTGCCCTGTTCAGCCCTTCTGGGTGATACAGAACTACATTTGCCACATCTTTATTCTCAACTTTCAACCTCTTCACATACCCCTTCATTTCTTCTGACTCCCCTCATAGCCTTTACTAAAATGCTCCTCTCCCTGCCCTATTGAAAAATTTCTAAGAATTTATTTTTCATTTTCTATTAAGATTCCTTTGTAAATGATGTTCTGATCTCATCTCTGGGCACTCTCTCCCTTCTTCACAGTGCTCCACACTGGTGTGTGTGTCCCTCAGACCTAACTCACATTCCCACTTAAGGGCCTTTACGCATTTCCCTATACCTGGAACGCTTAATCCCCAGATTGCTCACTGCAGGTCTTAATCTTTTTTTATATTTAAGCCTGGGCTTACGTGTCACCTCTTAAAAAGTCCTCTCTGACCATGTCATAGTCCATCACATGACTTCACTTTTTTTTTTTCCTAACCCCTATCATTTTGCATATTTGCTTTTCCCTTCTAAAATAAAAGCTACATGAGAGAAGGGCTTGCATCCTACCTTGCTCTCCAGCACCTAAACCTGGGCATGGCACACAGTAGGTGCTTGATAAATATTTGAATAAATTCTGGATTTATTCTGAATTCTGAGTCTTCCAGCCAGTAGCTTCTCTTGGCTGACAGATGTTTAATAAGTTCCTGAGGCACTAGCAATCAGCTTTATTAAATTCTATACAAAAAGAAAAAAGAGTGGGCCACATTTAAACTTCACTCTTTGATAATCATATGGAGCCAAAGTAACAGCATACAGATTAGTTTCTAACACAAAGATAAAAACATACAACTGTACAATGGTAGGACCAGGCTGTCATCACTAATCCAGTGGCCAATCTTGGCATACCCCTAATGGTCAGACATCCATATATTCTTTTTATGTGATACAATATAATGTATTTTAGCCACAAATATTTCACTTGAAATTATATACCCTCTAAGAGTAACCTGCACCTTCCTTTATACTACGTAGTACAAAGGAACAAGGTAAGATGAAATACAAAGGTCCTGAAGATAGAACATTCTGTAGGACTAGTGTGAAATCTTCAATAATTTGGTGATGTGAAAAAAAGGGTACTGCTTTGAAGAGTTAATGGACATAAGCAGATCAAATGCATAGACCTGGAATAGATCCTGCTTTGTCCTGTAAAGGGCAATTTTAGAACAGATGGAAAAATACGTATTGGTTATTGGATAAGGAAAATGTATTGTCACAGAGAGGTGGAGACTGGACAAGGTTACAAGAGTATGTACCATTAAGATCTCATGTTAGTAAAACAACATCTATCAGCATAGAAAAATATCTTATACACGAAAATGTTTAATAGTAGTAACCTGATTGCTGGAGTGTGATATCAGTAATTTTCTGAACTTCTATCATATAAACATTCTGCTTTTGTAATAACAAGATTGTTTTGAATCTTTTAGATTAAGAAACTAATTTCAATTTTGGAATGCTGATACAGCTACACTTTCTATGTTCAAATGAAAAGTTTGTTTCCTTTAAACTAGGTAACTTGGGCAGACTTCTACTGGGAGATTTGCAGTACCACACTTTTGGTCTTTAAGCCTGACCTGTTAGACAACCATCCAAGGCTGGTGACTTTACGGAAGAAAGTCCAAGCCATTCCTGCCGTCGCTAACTGGATAAAACGAAGGCCCCAAACCAAACTCTAGCTGATCCATGTTGCCTTCAAGTTTGTTTTTCTCGGGGGCATCTCTCTCATCAGATAAGACAGCTACATCAGCCTGCCAGATAATCCACATGCTCCCTCCCCAGCTCCACTAAGATTTTCACTTTAGCCATATTCTGATTTTTAAAAAGGAAAATAAAAACAAATCTTTCTTCAGTATCTTTTTCTTTCAGAATAGCTTCTCATCATTTACAATTACAGAAAAATAGTATGTAATACAGGCAGACCTTGCTTTGCACAGGTTCTAACATGCACGAATTGCAGTCATAATGGTTTAGCAACACCATTCTTCCCCTCCCCCAAAATGTTTTGGACTTCAGCTACCACAATTACCTGTAATTGCATAAAACACAAACTTTGCTAGTAGCTCTCCAGTTCACATATCGCTGTGTAAATAACCTATGTACATCATGACCAATGACCAGTCACTTCTATCAAAGACTGCCAGAGGTCACTGCACATCTGTTATTCCTGCATAGATAGCAAAGTGTGTAGTTGTATTGCTATTGCCTGCTTGTGGCCCAGTGATAAATCCCTTTGACATTTTACAAAAATGAATCAAAAGAGGGAACTCCCCAACAAAGATGAAAGTGCAGCAAAGGAACAAAAACTGATAATCCTGGAATGAAATTCAAACTGAATATAAAGAGTTATCGAGAAAAGAGCTGACTGTGGGAATCTGACACGGCTCAAAAGGCTCTAGATATGCAGCCAGAGAAACTTGTAAAGATGAATTTACTGACATGAATAAAGTTGTTGTGATGAGAAAAATGTAGATACCCCAGAGATCAAGAGAAGGAGAAGACAAGCCACAGACTTGGAGAAAATACTTGTAAAACATGTATCTGACAAAAGACTATTATTCAAAATTATATAGAACTCATAAAACTCGGCTGACTCTCTTTTCGGACTCAGCCCACCTGCACCCAGGTGAAATAAACAGCCACGTTGCTCACACAAAGCCTGTTTGGTGGTCTCTTCACACGGACGCGTATGAAATTTGGTGCCGTGACTCGGATTGGGGGACCTCCCTTGGGAGATCAATCCCCTGTCCTCCTGCTCTTTGCTCCGTGAGAAAGATCCACCTATGACCTCAGGTCCTCAGACCGCCCAGCCCAAGAAACATCACACCAATTTCAAATCCGGTAAGCGGCCTCTTTTTACTCTCTTCTCCAACTTCCCTCACTATCCCTCAACCTCTTTCTCCTTTCAATCTTGGCGCTACACTTCAATCTCTCCCTTCTCTTAATTTCAATTCCTTTCATTTTCTGGTAGAGACAAAAGAGACACGTTTTATCCGTGGACCCAAAACTCCGGCGCCGGTCACGGACTGGGAAGGCAGCCTTCCCTTGGTGTTTAATCAATGCAGGGACGCCTCTCTGATTATACACCCATGTATCAAGGGTGTCAGACCACGCAGGGACGCCTGCCTTGGTCCTTCACCCTTAGCGGCAAGTCCCGCTTTTCTGGGGAAGGGGCAAGTACCCCAACCCCTTCTCTCCTTGTCTCTACCCCTTCTCTGCTTTCCTGGGGCAGGGGCAAGTACCCCTCAACCCCTTCTCCTTCACCCTTAGCGGCAAGTCCCGCTTTCCTGGGGCAGGGGCAAGTACCCCTCAACCCCTTCTCCTTCACGCTTAGCGGCAAGTTCCGCTTTCCTGGGGCAGGGGCAAGTACCCCTCAACCCCTTCTCCTTCACCCTTAGCGGCAAGTCCTGCTTTTCTAGGGGGCAAGAACCCCCAAACCCCTTCCCTCCGTGTCTCTACGCTCTCTTTTCTCTGGGCTTGCCTCCTTCACTATGGGCAAGCTTCCACCTTCCATTCCTCCTTCTTCTCCCTTAGCCTGTATTCTTAAGAACTTAAAACCTCTTCAACTCTCACCTGACCTAAAATCTAAGTGTCTTATTTTCTTCTGCAATGTCGCTTGACCCCAATACAAACTCGACAGTAGTTCCAAATAGCCGGAAAACGGCACTTTCAATTTTTCCGTCCTACAAGATCTAAATAATTCCTGTCGTAAAATGGGCAAATGGTCTGAGGTGCCTGACATCCAGGCATTCTTTTACACATCAGTCCATTCCTAGTCTCTGTGCCCAATGCAACTCGTCCCAAATCTCCTGCCTGTCCCCTCAGTCCCAACGCCAAGCGTCGCTGAGTCTTTCTAATCTTCCTTTTCTACAGACCCATCTGACCTCTCCCCTCCTAGCCAGGCCAAGCTAGGTCCCAATTCTTCCTCAGCCTCCACTCCTCCACCCTATAATCTTTTTATCGCCTCCCCTCCTCACACCTGGTCTGGCTTACAGTTTCGTTCTGTGACTAGCCCTCCCCCACCTGCCCAGCAATTTATTCTTAAAAAGGTGGCTGGAGCTAAAGGCATAGTCAAGGTTAATGCTCCTTTTTCTTTATCCCAAATCAGATAGTGTTTAGGCTTTTTCATCAAATATAAAAACCCAGCCCAGTTCATGGCTCGTTCGGCAGCAACCCTGAGACGCTTTACAGCCCTAGACCCTAAAAGGTCAAAAGGCTATCTTATTCTCAATATACATTGTATTACCCAATCTGCTCCCGACATTAAATAAAACTCCAAAAATTAAATTCTGGCCCTCAAACCCCACAACAGGATTTAATTAACCTCGCCTTCAAGGTGTACAATAATAGAAAAAAGTTGCAATTCCTGGCCTCCACTGTGAGACAAACCCCAGCCACATCTCCAGCACACAAGAACTTCCAAATGCCTGAACTGCAGCGGACAGGCGTTCCTCCAGAACCTCCTCCCCCAGGAGCTTGCTACAAGTGCCAGAAATCTGACCACTAGGCCAAGGAATGCCTGCAGCCCAGGATTCCTCCTAAGACATGTCCCATCTGTGCGGGACCCCACTGGAAATTGGACTGTTCAACTCACCTGGCAGCCACTCCCAGAGCCCCTGGAACTCTGGCCCAAGGCTCTCTGACTGACTCCTCGGCTTAGCGGCTGAAGACTGATGCTGCCCGATCGCCTCGGAAGCCCCGTAGACCATCACGGACCCCGAGCTTCGGGTAACTCTCACAGTGGAAGGTAAGTCCGTCCCCTTCTTAATCAATATGGAGGCTACCCACTCCACATTACCTTCTTTTCAAGGGCCTGTTTCCCTTGCCTCCATAACTGTTGTGGGTATTGACGGCCAGGCTTCTAAACCTCTTAAAACTCCCCAACTCTGGTGCCAACTTAGACAATACTCTTTTAAGCACTCCTTTTTAGTTATCCCCACCTGCCCAGTTCCCTTATTAGGCTGAGACACTTTAAATTATCTGCTTCCCTGACTATTCCTGGACTACAGCTACATCTCATTGCTGCCCTTCTTCCCAATCCAAAGCCTCCTTTGTGTCCTCCTCTTATATCCCCCCACCTTAACCCACAAGTATAAGATACCTCTACTCCCTCCTTGGCGACCGATCATGCACCCCTTCCCATCTCATTAAAACCTAATCACCCTTACCCCGCTCAATGTCAAGATCCCATCCCAAAGCATGCTTTAAAAGGATTAAAGCCTGTTATCACTTGCCTGCTACAGCATGACCTTTTAAAGCCTATAAACTCTCCTTACCATTCCCCCATTTTACCTGTCCTAAAACCAGACAAGGCTTACAAGTTAGTTCAGAATCTGCACCTTATCAACCAAATTGTTTTGCCTATCCACCCCGTGGTGCCAAACCCATATATTCTCCTATCCTCAATACCTCCCTCTACTACCCATTATTCTGTTCTAGATCTCAAACGTGCTTTCTTTACTATTCCTTTGCACCCTTCATCCCAGTCTCTCTTTGCTTTCACTTTGGCCCTGACTCAGCAAATTACCTAGGCTGTACTGCCGCAAGGCTTCACAGACAGCCCCCATTACTTCAGTCAAGCCCAAATTTCATCCTCATCTGTTACCTATCTCGGCATAATTCTCATAAAAACACACGTGCTTTCCCTGCTGATCATGTCCGATTAATCTCTCAAACCTCAATCCCTTACAAAACAACAACTCCTTTCCTTCCTAGGCATGGTTAGTGCGGTCAGAATTCTTACACAAGAGCCAGGACTGCACCCTGTAGCCTTTCTGTCCAAACAACTTGACCTTACTGTTTTAGCCTAGCCCTCATGTCTGCGTGCAGCGGCTGCCGCTGCTTTAATACTTTTAGAGGCCCTCAAAATCACAAACTATGCTCAACTCACTCTCTACATTTCTCATAACTTCCAAAATCTATTTTCTTCCTCATACCTGACGCATATACTTTCTGCTCCCCGGCTCCTTCAGCTGTACTTACTCTTTAAGTCCCACAATTACCATTGTTTCTGGCCCGGACTTCAATCCGGCCTCCCACATTATTCCTGATACCACACCTGACACCCATGACTGTATCTCTCTGATCCACCTGATATTCACCCCATTTCCCCATATTTCCTTCTTTCCTGTTCCTCACCCTGATCACGCTTGATTTATTGATGGCAGTTCCACCAGGCCTAATCGCCGCATACCAGCAAAGGCAGGCTATGCTATAGTACAAGCCACTAGCCCGCCTCTCAGAACCTCTCATTTCCTTTCCATCGTGGAAATCTATCCTCAAGGAAATAACTTCTCAGTGTTCCATCTGCTATTCTACTACTCCTCAGGGATTATTCAGGCCCCCTCCCTTCCCTACACATCAAGCTCGAGGATTTGCCCCACCCAGGACTGGCAAATTAGTTTTACTCAACATGCCTGAGTAAGGAAACTAAAATACCTCTTAGTCCAAATAGACACTTTCACTGAATAAGTAAAGGCCTTTCCTACAGGGTCTGAGAAGGCCACCGCAGTCATTTCTTTCCTTCTGTCAAACATAATTCCTCAGTTTAGCCTTCCCACCTCTATACAGTCTGATGACGGACCAGCCTTTATTAGTCAAATCAGCCAAGCAGTTTTTCAGGCTTTTAGTAGGTTTCAGTGAAACCTTTATATCCCTTACGGTCCTCCGTCTTCAAGAAAAGTAGAACGGACTAAAGGTCTTTTAAAAACACAGCTCACCAAGCTCAGCCACCAACTTAAAAGGGACTGGACAATACTTTTACCACTTTTGCTTCTCAGAATTCAGGCCTGTCCTCAGAATGCTACAAGGTACAGCCCATTTAAGCTCCTGTATAGACGCTCCTTTTTATTAGGCCCCAGTCTCATTTGACACCAGACCAACTTAGACTGTGCCCCCAAAAAACTTGTCATCCCTACTATCTTTTGTCTAGTCATACTCCTATTCACCGTTCTCAACTACTCATGCATGCCGTGCTCTTGTTTACACTGCCGGTTTACACTTTCTCCTAGCCATCACAGCTGATATCTCCTGGTGCTATCCCCAAACTGCCACTCTAAACTCTTGAAGTAAATAAATAATCTTTGCTGGCAGGACTATGCTGCATCTCCTTAGGCACTCTCTCATCAGATGTCCTAGGTCCTCCCAATTCTTAGACCTTTTATACCTGTTTTTCTCCTTCTCTTATTCCATTTTGTTTCTCAATTCATCCAAAACCGTATCCAGGCCATCACCAATCATTCTATACGACAAATGTTTCTTCTTACATCCCCACAATATCACCCCTTACCACAAGATCTCCCTTCAGCTTAATCTCTCCCACTCTAGGTTCCCACGCCACCCCTAATCCCGCTTGAAGCAGCCCTGAGAAACATCACCCATTCTCTCTCCATACCACCCCCCAAAAATTTTCACCACCCCAACACTTCAACACTATTTTGTTTTGTCTTATTAATATAAGAAGGCAGGAATGTCAGGCCTCTGAGCCCAGGCCAGGCCATCGCATCCCCTGTGACTTGCACGTATACATCCAGATGGCCTAAAGTAACTGAAGATCCACAAAAGAAGTAAAAACAGCCTTAACTGATGACACTCCACCATTGTGATTTGTTCCTGCCGCACCCTAACTGATCAATGTACTTTGTAATCTCCCCCACCCTTAAGAAGGGACTTTGTAATTCTCCCCACCCTTGAGAATGTACTTTGTGAGATCCACCCCTGCCCACCAGAGAACAACCCCCTTTGACCGTAATTTTCCATTACCTTCCCAAATCCTATAAAACGGCCCCACCCGTATCTCCCTTCACTGACTCTCTTTTCGGACTCAGCCCACCTGCACCCAGGTGGAATAAACAGCCATGTTGCACACACACACACACACACACACACACACACACACACACAAAGAACTCATAAAACTCAACAATAAGACAACAAACAAGCTGATCAAAAGATGGGCAAAAGACCTCAATAGACACCTCAACAAAGATACAGGTAGCAATAAGCATATGAAGAGGTGCCCAACAAAATGTCATTAGGGAACTGCAAATTAAAACAAGATACCACTATATGACTGTCACAATGGTAAAAAATCCAAAACAGCAGACAACACCAAACGCTGACGAGGATGTGGAGCACGGGTAACTCTCATTTGTTGCTGATGAGAGTACAAATGGTACAGCTACCTTGGAAGACAGTGACAATTTCTTATAAAACTAAACATATGCTTATCATACAATCTAGCAATTGTGCTCCTTGATATTTATTTCAAGGACCTGAAAACATGTCCACATAAAAACCTGTCCACATATATTTACAGAAGCTTTATTCACAATTAAGAAGTCAAAAAAGAGAGGAGGATGTTGGGGAGAAAGAAAGAAGAGGAAAAGAAAAGCCCAGATAGGTATGATCTTATTTAAGGTGTTTCTTTCCTCTCAATGTTTTATGAAATTGAAAAAAAAGTTACCTAATACTTTAGGCCGGGCGCAGTGGCTCACGCCTGTAATCCCAGCCTTTGGGAGGCCGAGGAGGGTGAATCACTTGAGGTCAGGAGTTCGAGACCAACTTGGCCAACATGGTGAAACCCCATCTCTACTAAAAATACAAAAATAAGCCGGGTGTGGTGGCGGGCACCTGTAATCCCAGCTACTCAGGAGGCCGAGACAAGAATCACTTGAACTGGGAGGCACAGGTTGCTGTGAGCCGAGATCACGCCACTGCACTCCAGCCTGCATGACAGAGGGACTCTGTCTCAAAACAACAACAACAACAATAACAAATATAAATTATTAAGGATTACACATAAAAACAGTGTATTTTCTAAGTACCTTGATTCTTTGGATCAAATTTTCTTGTTATTAGTTGCTATAAGTAAATGATAATAGGTTGTATGTGAATCTCATTCAAAACCCTCCAACATGTAATCCAGGCAATCTGAAGAAAAATTACCTTTAACAAAAGAAATGCAAATAATGTTCTAGATAATAAAAGTAGTTAGCTTTTCTTCACTCTTCTGCATAGCTAAATTTCCCCCACATCAAGCTTTAATGAAGACAGAACTAAGTAAAAGTGATAATCCAATGCTTATACAAAATTATGAAAATTCAAAATAAGATAATCCTATTTATACAAATCATAATACAAGTATAAAGTATAACCACAGCAAGTTTCATAAGGAAATATTTAGCATTATTATAACCTTTAGGTAATCTTTTTGCGCTGAAGGACAATACATTCCATTATCCCATTGTGTATGCAAATTAAATGTCTCTTTGCTTCTATACAAAGAGAGGGTGGCTAAGCGAGAGTGAAGTCAAGCAGAAAGTGAACTGCATATTGAATTTATAATTTCAAAAATACATTTTTGGTAAGAGTTAAAACAATCCGAATTCCTTAAATTTATGGACTGTGAAGTATCACACGTAAGGTCACACAAATGGAAACCAAATCTCCTCATACCCCGTCTCTCCACTACACGATAATGCCAACTGTTAGGAACTACAGTAATGTTTCAAAGTAAGTATCTACTGGCATAAAGTTAAAACTCTATGGGGGTCCCAAACAGTTATAAAAATGCATAAGGCATGTCTTCTTTGTGTAGCTTGCATTTAAAAAATGCTTCAGTTGGTCAAGATATTACTCCAACTCTCGCTTCATTTGCTCTGTAGTGATAATGGGTTACAGTATTTACTGACATCAGTCCAATGAAGGAACCAATGAGAATACATCCTAAGTAGTAAGTTCCAATTTACTGGCAAACAGGCAATATTAAGCACATAAGATAATCTCATTTGTGCCCAATATTATATGATTTTAAGGGTAGGAGGAGGAAGGGTTAGAAACTATTAAAAAGGGTGTGAAAATACAACTTATGATCACAAATATTTTTATTAAGCCCAAGACATAATAGCGCATTACAGGAAGAACCCAACTACATTTCATTAGAGATAAAAGTATGGATATAACAACAACAACAATAACAACAAAAAAAGAAACAGCCTATCATTGAAAATACATTAATACAGAAAACATGAGATATCCATTATGAGATTTTAAAAGGTAAAATTCCTAACAATTTGAATAACTGATTTGGGTATAGTGATGTACAAGGAGGTAGTATTAACACATGAAGACTCCTTTTAGCCCTGTAATGGTAAAATATATTCAGTCTGTTCAATATACCATCAAGACTGGGGTTAAGCCGTGAGTTCTCAGTCTTTAATATCTAAATAATCACTGTAAGAGTTTTATTTGCCTTCCAAATCCAGAGGGTCGTACTACCTAGCATCTTAGCAAGTTAGGATGCTTTGAAAAGCATGATTTCCAAAAATTAACAAATCTTTGATTTATAAATAAGTTTATTTATAATGATATTTACATAATAAAAACAAAACACATGGAACTCACAAGTTATACAAAGAAACTGATGTATAATAAAAACAGCAATATAGACTGACAGGCAGAAATTTAAAGAAAGATTTAATAAAGAGTTAAATATCAAATAGACAACTTCACTTCTAAATTTCACTTTGTCACTCACACTGAATTGGAATTGAACAATGGCTCTCTCTTCAGGCGGTCCTGTACTGGAAATTCTGGAAACTGGTAAAATATATTTTGATAAGAGTTTCAAGTTAATGACCTATTTCCATGCAGTACCTAATGCTGCCTTTAGATGAAGTCACATTCAGTCTGCTTTGAAATGAAATAGCTTTAAGTAATCTGTTCTGCCAGGCTAGAAAAATGTCACCAACATTTTGCTGATGCATGGAGATGTGGCAGTAATAAACTACTATTTAGAGAGGAAGAGAATTGGAGCAGAAGTGACTGGGCAACAGTTTCAAGAGAAGCAAAAGCCGGGAGAGGGAAATCAATGAAAACATGCACAAGATTAGGCAGAGTAATATGCACAATTAGTGCAGTTGGAAAATGAACAGAAGGAATTAATCCATGGAGCAAGGTAGGGGCTTCTTTAGTTACTATTCACTGGAAAACAACTTAGTGCCTAGCCAAATAAATTTGTTTCAGCAGAAGTACTTGAGAGGACCTGGGGGATGTTAGTATATGGAATGCCACCTTTAAATTCAGGTTGAGTTCTTGCTGACATTGGTGAACATCTGCTTCAAATAGCAATAAAATGAAAGCTATATAATCTATACAGCTGCATTCTTTAACATAATAAAAAAGAACTTCAAATGAGACAAGCAAAAACAAGACATAAGCATTGTCAAATAAGGCACATGTAAAAATCTACACACATTATCCAGTGAAAGACAATATATATATATTTGGAGGTAGAAATAATTACAAAAATACTGACATTTCTAAAGCATTAGCATATTTGTTACAAACAATCACCAACTAATCCCCATTCAGAAAACTGCTTTGTAAAATGATTATTCAACATCTTCAGAACTACATATTTGTGGCTTCTTTTTTGAAATTTCACGTGTGAGTATTTGGAGAATTCAGTTAGTGGCAAAAAGTTGTCCATACTATGAGAAATGTAATATGGAAATTATAAAAAGTTATAAATGTTCATAAACCCCATGGTCATCATAATGTAAATGTCCTTGAGTGCACCAAGTTGATATTTCCTCATCAATTGAGAGTTCACAGTTCTTATTTCACAGGCCCATTGATGTTTTTAGTAATGTGGCTATATCTGCTGGCATACTCCCTTCATCACCTGTAGGTCAGAAAGTAGCATTAAAAGCTTTATAAAAATATTTTACTTAAAAAAAAATTGTCTCAATTATTTTTTTTCTTTGGTGAATTCTTACTCATCTTTCAAGGGCTAGTTTGCTTCAGTGTCACTCACCCCTGTTAAAAACTTTCCTAAGCTCTACTTAGATTAGGGCTATTTCCTCTATGTTCTTGTTCATATTGCCAACATAGCAATCTAAGGTTATTTTTCCAATTTTATAAAGCTATATAAAAATACACGGTAATACACTGGATCGTATCTAATTCATGGTACTTAACTTCTCACATTTGCTAAATAAAAAACATTTATGTAAGAAATGGAGTAGGGAAAACAAGGATAACAAACCCAAACCTAAACCAACGAAAACCAATCTATATTCTTATTTTTCATCTAAAGATATAATCACTGACTCAGACCCACACTGTATACATATAAACAACATTCTGAGCACAGCATACCAGCTGATGATTAAATTAGCCACTTTAAATTACCTGGTTTATCCAATGTTTGCCCTATATTTTAATTAAATGAGGCCCCAGTATAAGCACTTACAGGAATTATTTGAGATTTTCTAAATCTCTTTGTGTCACAGTGGCAGATAATCTAGCCATCCCTGATTAATTCAATTTAGCACTGAGAATATTTTGAGATGAGTTGATTAATTTACTAGTTAGTGACAACAGCACAGGTGGCAATTCAAATATTTGCTGATCTGTGATAGATCTGTAACTATGAATAATTTTATAAATTAGATGTGGCTGAAATGTAGCAAAACTAACCACTTCTCTCCTCCTCCCCTCTCTCACAAATATACACCTCAGCTATAATCTAAAATTATGAGTACTTTCATCCACTCTTCTTTTCTCTGTTAAAAAAACAAAAAACAAAACAAAACACATATATCCACAGGAACACAAAATAGTACATCAACTCTTAGGGATGTCAGTTCACTGACATCCTTGCTTCCAAGCTCATCCACAGACTTGAAAATAGCCCATAAAATCCAAATTGACACTTCATAAATTACTATATAAACTGATACTATGTTAGGAAGAATGCAGGGAGAAGAGAAAAGAAGGAAAAGAATAAGGAGATTCTTTTAAACTTGAAGATACTAAAGACAGAATACAATAAAATGCTGTGTGTGAACTTTGGACCCTAGTGTTTTAAGGAAAGCTATAAAAGACATTAAGGGGACAAATGAGAGAAATCTGGATATGAATAATATATGATAATGTCTGAAAATTACTGTTTATTTTCTTAGATGCTACAATGGTATTGTACCAACTTTGAGGAATATGCTGTGATATTGAAAATAAATTGCCATGTTTACAATTGACTTTATTATGGATCAATGGGAAAAAAGAAGTAGAAAAAACAAACACTGCAAATGTCACAACTGTTAAATCGCTGTATTTTTCATTCATACTATACTTTCAACAATTAAAAAAATATATATATATTTTAATAGAGATGGAGTCTTGCTATGTTGCCCAGGCTGGTTTTGAACTCCTGGGCTCAAACGATCCTCCCGCCTGTCTCCCCAAGTGCTGGCATTATAAGCATGAACCACACGCCCAGCCACTGCTTTCATTTTTGTATGACTATTTCTGTAATAAAAAAATTCAAAAAGTATGTAGTCATGATTGTGGTAATATATATATATTTTTAAAGTTCCAAAAGGTAAAAAATGTATTAATACAATTAATACATTAAGGGAAGTTAATGAAAAAAAACCCAAACACAATCTTTATTTTAAAGCAGTGGTTCTCTGATTTTAGCTTTATCAGAATCACTTCAATAGCCTGTTAAACCAAGTATTATTAGGTGCCATCGCCAGAGTTTTTGACTAAGTAGGTATAGAATGGGGCTTGGGAATTTGCATTTCAAATTGCCAATTTCTTAGGAGATGCTGCTCCTGCTGCTGGTACTCTGGTAACAACTAAGGCAAGCTCTAGGAACACAAAAATCTGATAAGCATATTTGAGAGGAATCATGGTCTTTACCTTTCATAGTTTCATGTAAGAGGGGACAAACAGATTGGTAACAAAAAGCAATACATAGTCAATTACAAATATACATTTTTGTTTATAGAGGAAAAGGACCTCACTGTGAGAGATGGAAAGAAGGGCATACATGTATTATCATCAGTCCAGTGTCAAAATTACCTAAATGAAACCCGGGACACAGCTGAAGACAAATGATTACAGCTAAACGAGTAAATAAGAGACGCCATTACATCCTTATTCTAGCAAATAAAATACACACTGGGAAAAACACATATAAACAGCTTTAACAAGATAGAGGAAAACTTCTAGGAAAAGTGGTAAGGAGAGGCCAGGCGCGGTGGCTCACGAGGTCAGGAGATCAAGACCATCCTGGCTAATACGGTGAAACCCCGTCTCTACTAAAAATACAAAAAATTAGCTGGGCATGGAGGCGGGCACCTATAGTCCCAGCTATTTGGGAGGCTGAGGCAGGAGAATGGTGTGAACCCGGGAGGCGGAGCTTGCAGTGCGCGGAGATTGCGCCTCTGCACTCCAGTCTGGGCGACAGAGCAAGACTCTGAAAAAAGTGGTAAGGAGAGGGCAGGATTCTTCATAACTAAACACTTCAAAGCTATTGGCTTGAGAGCACAGCTAAAAATACACTGCTATTTTAACAGACAATGTAGGTGAACATAACAGGCAAAATTTTAGACTGACCAAATTTATACAAATACAAATAATTTACATTATGACTGAAAATGATCAAACATACACATCACCTCTGTTCCCATCACCCATAATACCATTAAAATACGATGGGAGAAAAAAGTGTAAGGGAATTAGACAAAGGAGAAAGAATAGGAGAAAAAGACAACAGCAGACAGAGAGTTGTCTACAACTTTTGAAAGAAAACGATGAAAGAATGGAAACTGATTTTCGATAATAAAGTAAAAGCTTAAGTGTCTGCAGGTGGGAAATGCAAGGCTAGTTCACACCCAGAATCCTTACCCTTCTACCTTCAAAGCTCAGGAAATGGGGGTAAATGGGAAACATGAAGTTATAATCAGCTTGAACAGGTAAGATGTCTAAAGCTTGCCCAAGAGAGCCAGCCATTTGCTCCAAATGTATAAAACTGAAGGTTTATTCTCTTTGGAGAACATGAGTCTGAGGAACTCTGGACTTGTCATAGAAGAGAAGAAAGAGGCTGCTGAAAACAGGCAGATTAACTATTAATATTTAAATAAGAGAACAAACCTCCCTCCTTCATTTCTCAGGGCCATTCTCATACCACCTCTCTCCCTACCTCTCTTCACTTCACAGGAGGTTGAAAAATTTCCCTCTGAGGAAATGAACTAGCCCATAAGAAAAGACTTATAGTTAATTTTATCAACTATTATGGTTCTATTATATTTAGAAACTTGTTAGAATAAAATCCATATATTTGGATATTTGCTAGTATTGCTGAAAAAGAATTTAAATGCTTTACTAAATTCTAAAAGCTGCCCTACCAAAATAATAAGGAAAACATTGCCCAAAGAGAATCTGCCTTATGCATTCACTTTACTGTATTTCCTGGACAACCTGAAACTGGCAAGTTGCCACATGCACACAAAGCCTAGTAATGACTGCTAATTGTTTAACTATGATCACTCTACTTATCCTTACTCTTAAAGATCTCAGTTGCTTCTTACTCAAACTTTCTCTACCGCCCACCTCCCCAAGCTTCCACAGCACCCTGAAATAAATGCTACGCAAGAAAGACTAGTAATTATTTGATCATACGCACTTCTCTCTCGCTGTAGACAGATTAAAGTATATTGATTTTTACAGAACAGAGTGCCTAATATAACACAGACATAACAGTGTCTGTCATGAACAGAAATTTGCTAAATTAAAATGAACAATTATCAATATTAGGAATTAGAATGAAAAAACTTGCTTATTTCCAATTAATTTAACATTAAATAAGAAAAGATGCAGAAGAGTGTATCGTAAGTTGACATGCACCCTTTCTCCCATAAAAGAAAGAACACGTGTTTATTTTTATACACATAAAATAACTGGTCACACACACACAAAAACAAAAGGCTAACACTTGTCACCTCTATTGGGGAAGTTGGGAGATGGGGCGACTAGGAGGCGTCTGTTCTTTCATTTCTGAGTTTTGAACATATTCTTTTCAAAAACATATACAAAAATAAAAATTTTGAACTTAAGAAACTTCAAAAAAATTATTTTAGTATTTTGAAATAAACATGCTTACCTTCTCCCACATCACACATCATCCCTAAACTGTAAGCTAGTTAAGGTAGCCATCTTTGTCATCCTCTTGCACTGACTAATTAGATGCATGGTCATATAGATAAATATTGAAGTTTCTGCTTACAAACAACTCACCTTCATCTACTGTAGTCATATCCTGTTCTAGTTTCAATTTCTGTTGGTTAATTTTTAGCATGGATTCTTCAATCGTCCCTTGGCTTATTAGTTTTATAACTAGTACTTCTCTAAAAAAAAATACAAAATATGTCCATTGGTTACTAAATATAGTTATTTGGATATATGTAAACTATATTTAAGAGTTCAAAAAGAATACTTTGAAAATTACGACAAACATATCCTTAAATTCTTTTATTTAAGCCACTTGAGACTGACATTTTCTGACTATTTAACTTTTAGACACTCCTACAGATGGAAGAAAAGAGAAAGATATTTGTATTTAAAGTAAATTACTGACTGGGCACAGTGGCTCATGCCTCTAATCCCAGCACTTTGGGAGGCTGAGGCAGGTGGATTGCTTGAGGCCAGCAGTTCGAGATCAGCCGATCAGCCTGGCCAACATGACAAAACCCTGTCTCCACTTAAAAAAAAAAACGAAAAAAAAAAAAAACAAAAACCAAAATTAGCTGGGTGTGGTGGCACACACCTGTAATCCTAGCAGTTGGGAGGCTAAGGCATGGGAATTGCTTGAACCTGGGAGGTGGAGATTGAAGTGAGCAGAGATGGTGCCACTGCACTCCAGCCAGAGTGAGGCTCTGTCTCAAAAACAAAACAAAACATTACAACTACATTACAACAAACAGTTCTGTGTTCAGATGGAAATTACTTTTTTCTTTTTTTTTTTTTTTTTTTTTTTTTTTGAGACGGAGTCTTGCTCCGTCACCCAGGCTGGAGTGCAGTGGTGCGATCGCGGCTCACTGCAAGCTCCGCCTCCCGGCTTCACGTCATTCTCCTGCCTCAGCTTCCCGAGTAGCTGGGACTACAGGCGCCTGCCACCACGCCTGGCTAATTTTTTTTTTTTGTATTTTTAGTAGAGACGGGGTTTCACCATGTTAGCCAGAATGGCCTTGATCTCCTGACTTCGTGATCCACCCGCCTTCGCCTCCCAAAGTGCTAGGATTACAGGTGTGAGCCACCGTGCCCGGCTATCTTCACCTCTTTACAGTGCTGTGACCAATGTCAAAATGTACCATTCATCTAAAATAATTTACAACTCAATTTACTTCCTAAAGGGTAACAGGACAGCCCAGCAAGTTTGTATATTACCAAGTTTGTCTGGGACTTAACTGATCTAACAAGCAAGTTTTTTTAATTACTCATCTTTTTCAAAGGGGTAGACAATTTTTTTGTTTGTTTGTTTTGAGATGGAGTCTTGCTCTGTCGCCCAGGCTGGAGTGCAGTGGTGGTGATCTCGGCTCACTGCAAGCTCTGCCTCCCAGGTTCACGCCGTTCTCCTGCCTCAGCCTCCCTAGTAGCTGGGACTACAGGCACCCGCCACCATGCCCGGCTAATTTTTTGTATTTTTAATAGAGACGGGGTTTCACCCTGTTAACCAGGATGGTCTCGATCTCCTGAACTCATGATCCGCCCGCCTCAGTCTCCCAAAGTGCTGGGATTACAGGCGTGAGCCACGGCGCCCGGCCGTCAATTGTTAATACTTCATGAACTGCAGAACTATTTGGAATGTGGGTGGATAATTACTAGAAAATGGAAGGGTTACGTAGTGCAGTTGATGTTCAACACTGCTGGTATAAAATACATCAGTAGCCATGCTTTGCCGAAAAAACAAAAACTAAGGCAGGACATCCAACACTATATTCTAATGGTCTACACAAATTAAAGTGGCACTGAATTAAAAATACATTCCAACTAAAAACACTTACTTAGTCTGGCCTACTCTATGGCATCTATCTTCTGCTTGTTTGTCATTATAAGGATTACAGTCAATATCGTGAAGTATAACAACATTTGCTGAAGTCAGATTTATTCCTAATCCACCAGCTTTTGTTGATAGCAGAAACACAAAGATATCCATATCGGTATTAAACTCATCAATTAGATGAATCCTGTAAGATAAACAAATTAGGTTAAATCTCACTAAAAAGTTGTATAATGTAATTAAAATGGAAAACAATCATTATCACATGAAAAAGAAACCTGAAGATGTATGTACATCTCTTAGTATTGCAGTTATTTCTCCTCTGGCTATATCACTGAAGAGCCTCCTCAATTCCCCAACTTCTTTTCTACGATATTGCTACCCCTACCAACTCTTACTTCAATTCAACTATTCAGATTCAATTAATTCCTAAATGACTATTTTGTCCTTTTTAAACTTGTGGCTTAGCTAAATTCTGTGTATGGCTTTTCAATCTTTAACCTTCTCAGAAGTATATCGGCTCCTACTGGCAGACAACATTTCTGATGAATCAAGGACTTCATGATCAAATTGTGTAAGTGGATTCTCTTCTTTAAAAAAAAAAAACATTACTTTTACCTTTAGTCTAATGCGGGTGGGAAAAAACCACTCTGGCCAACAGAAAAAAAATAAATCAAAATATATAATGCAATTTAAACATACTACACAATTCCGTCCTTATTAAGACAATCCCTTCTTTACTAAGCTCAATCTTTACAACCTTTGGGAATTAAAAAAACTTTAATTACCCTTAAAATGTGAAAGATTTTAAAACAATCTTGATGAAAGATAAGGTGTTTTAGACTTTGAAAAAAATTTAAAGGTGAAAACCATAAAAAATACAATTCTAATAGCTGTTTCAAAACGTATTTGCGCCGGGCGCGGTGGCTCACGCCTGTAATCCCAGCACTTTGGGAGGCCGAGGCGGGCGGATCACGAGGTCAGGAGATCGAGACCATCCTGGCTAACACGGTGAAACCCCGTCTCTACTAAAAATACAAAAAATTAGCCGGGCGTGGTAGCAGGCGCCTGTAGTCCCAGCTACTCGGGAGGCTGAGGCAGAATGGCGTGAACCCAGGAGGCGGAGCTTGCAGTGAGCCGAGATCGCGCCACTGCACTCCAGCCTGGGCGACAGAGCGAGACTCCGTCTCAAAAAAAAAAAAAAAAACAAAAAAACGTATTTGCATGTAATTCAGAAAGAAAATTTAAAAGAAAATTATTTATTTTTTGAGATAGGGTCCCGCTCTGTCACCCAGGCTACAGTGCAGTGGTGCGATCTTGGCTCACTGCAACCTCCGCCCCCCGGGGCTCAAACAATCCTCCCACCTCAGCCTCCCTAGTTGGGACCACAGGCGTGCACCACCACACCTGGCTATTTTTGTTGTTGTTGTTGTTGCTATTGGTGTTTTTAGTAGAGACAGGGTTTTGTCATGTTGTCCAGGGTAGTCTTGAACTCCTGAGCCCAACCAATCCGCCCGCATCAGCCTCCCAAAGTGTTGGGATTACAGGCGTGAGCCACCATGCCTGACCATTGAAATTACTCTTATTTTAAGGTAATGATTTGAAGTAATCAAACATAAAAACAACAAAATACTATCAATTGTTTGTTAGACAATTAAAATCCTAACAATAATAATAAATGAGTTATTTTTTTGTAACTAACATGAATTATACCAACCTTTCAGAAATCTGAGTCTTTCCATCTAATCTGAGGTACCTATGCTGATGATGTTTTAATAGAACCTCTAAGATATCCAGCATCATGGTAAATTGGCTAAATAACACAACTCTATCACCCTGTGAAAATACATACATGAATTAGAAATAGAAAAAATCGTTTTACTACTCAAAGCCTTGACAGGTTTAAACAGTTAGAAGTGTTACTTATATCATGTTGATAAATTTGCAGAAAATTCTCTGTGATAAACTGCTTCTTTAATACAAATCAGTAATACCGAAGACGTATGTCTTATTGCAGCCTATATATGAATAAACTGCCTTAACTTCAGGGCTAAAAGCTAGCTCTCAGTTTTGATTTTAAGAACAGTTAAATTACTTCCTTTTCATAAGAAAAACGTCGGAAAATGTGGACAACTGCTTATGTATGTATTATCTGGACTGTGATTTTACAAATTTAGGCTATTTCACACATAAACGGCAGCATTACTTAAATAACTAACAAATAGTGTCTTTAAAAACTAATTTTGAAGCACACATACAGATTGTCACCTATGAAATAATGACAATTAAGATTTTTTTAAAACATCAATACAGATACAGTCTACTAACTTTCTATTGTTTTTGTCTGAGGTTCAACAGAGGAAAGGAGGTAATCAAGAAAATACGTCAAGAAAATGTTCAAAACACTAAGTTCTGGAAGAATGCAGAACAGACATAGGCTAATTCAAGCAAGTCAGTGTGCCAGAATTGCTTTAAGAAGTTAAAGTAATTGAGAAAATACAAAAGAAACGCCATTCTTTTTTAATACCTTCTGTTTCAATTCAGACAAGATGCATCCTAAAACTCGAAATTTTCCAGAATCTAAAATCAAGTCCATGTCTAACTGAAAGTTATTAATGTGTCGGTACTGTTTACAAAGTACATGTAGTTCGAAGTCTGTCATAACTTCCATATCTTCAAAGATCAGGTCAGGGTTAGCCTCACAATGTGTAGGTTCCTTAAAACAAAACAAAACACAGTATACTTCAAAATAAAAATAATTAATAATATGATGAGAAAAGTTTAATAAAACTGTTTATACCTGATAAAATATCTAAATCATAGAACCTTTTAGTGTAACAGACTTATCAAGGAAAATTAGTATTAATCTTTTAGGTATAATAAAGGGGGAGAAGTCCTTACTGTTTGAGAGATAACATACTAAAATATTTACAGATGAAATAACATCTAGAACTTGGTTCAAAATAACCCTGGGGAGAAGTCTGGGGTATAGATGAAACAAGGGTGGTGTTATTATCAAATGGTAACTTTCAAAGGGGTGAAGTAACATATGGGCAGTTTCATTATGCAATTCTACTTTTATAAATGTTTGAAATTCTCCATAAGTTTAAAATAATAAAAAAAAATTTAAAAAGAAATGGGTTGGTCAGGTGCAGTGGCTCACGCCTATAATCCCAGCACTTTGGGAAGCCGAGGTGGGTAAATCACCTAAGGTCAGGAGTTCGAGACCAGCCTGGCCAACGTGGTGAAACCCCATCTCTACTAAAAATACAAAAATTAGCTGGGCGTAGTGGTAGGTGCCTGTAATCCCAGCTACTCAGGATGCTGAGGCAGGACAATCACTTGAACCTGGGAGGCGGAGGGTGCAGTGAGCAGAGATCATGCCATCGCACTCCAGCCTGGGCGACAAGAGCAAAAGTCTATCTCAAAAAAAAAAGTAAAGAAAAGGAAGAAAATGGGTTGCTTTCAACCAAAGATCAGTAAGGATAAATAAGGTTAAAATGTTAAAGGAGAAAGAGGCAAAAATAAAGAGTAATTGCTAAAATTATAAAGAAATAAAATGAAAAAGAAGTGCATTATGGAAGTCTAGACTAGGAGTTAGCAAACTGTTCCTGTAAAGGGCCAGATCATATTTTAGGCTTTGTAGGCAAAATGACCTGTAAGGCAAGTACTCAACTCTGCCCCTGTAGTGAGAAAGCAGTCCCAGAAAACAAAAACAGGCATGACTGTGTTATAGTAAAACCTTATTTATAAAAATAGTCACTGCCGTAAGGCCATAGTTTGCTGACTTATAATGTAGGTTATCAGTCCTTCTTTGTTTTTATGTCCCCCAGATCATTTTGAACTTAGTCTAAAATGTGTTTTTCGTGTTTCAGTGCAGTGACTGATGCCTGTAATTCCAGCACTTTGGGAGGCCAAGGCGGGCGAATCGCTTGAGCTCAGGAGTTCAAGACCAGCCTGGGCAACATGGCAAAACCCCATCCGTACAAAAAAATTAGCCGGGCATGGTGGTGCGTGCCTGTAGTCCCAGCTATTCAGCAGGCCAACGCAGGAGGATGGCTTAAGCCTAGGAGGCAGAAGTTGCAGTGAGCCCAGACTGCCTGCCTTGGCAACAGAACCAGACCTGGTCTGAAAAAAAAAAGTTTTTCTTAAATATGTAGTTAAAGGTTTAGTATGCCCATTGGGTTCACCAATCTTATAGCCTAACAACTTAACCTCTTATTAAAGCTTAGTGTTAACATAATATGAAATCCTTACCTTTAGCATAAGCTGAGACATTTCCTTGAGTTTTTCAGCTGTGTAATATTGGCGATGTAATAAAGGATGATTGGCCATTTTCCTCAACTGCATCATGACATTGCACATTTCTGTGTTTTTTTCTGTGACTCAAAGAGAACACAGTAAAAAATAAAACCAAGCGGATAACTGTTGAAATATATCAACTAAGTTTTAAAATTATTTCCTCAAATTCCAGATAATTTTTTAAAATGCACAAATCCCATTATATGACTAAACAAAATGCATCCCCAGTACAAGATTCTTTTTCACATAAAAGAGTAAAAATCAGATTATACCCAAGTTATTGATAGATTTTTTCAATCTGTTGAAAAGACCCAAATAGAGTTGCTCCTGCTTCTCCGACATTGCACACAACTCAATTCGATCTTTCTTGGGGGGTAACTGCTTGAGAACCTGAGACAGAAAAAACAGTTTAAGATAATCATTCTAGTAAAGAGAAAAACCTAAGTTTTAAAAACAATAAAAATAAAAAACATGTAGATATGCATTACCTCTTCTTTTACTCTTCTGAGAATAAATGGCTTTATAATTTGTTTTGCATGTGCTATTCTCTCCTTTTCATATATGCTTTGCTCATCTGCTGATTTCTGAGCAAAATAAAAACATATCCTTTTAGGAATTATTCACTTAAATTATTGCAATAACAGTATTATTACACAACATAAAAATCTCCCTCATTAGAGTCTGAGTTATTTTCTGCAGAAACTTGATTCATTCTAGATGGCACTTCACATCTGAATTCTGGGCTGCCATGTACTTCTTGAAGCTCCATATGTATTTTGAAGTTTTATGATACGTAATCATGTTCTCTACTGAAGTAATCAATTTGAACTGTACCAGATGGGTGTTCAGAAGTCATCAACTGATGAGTCATGTATCGATTACCTAGATAACTCTCATTGAAAAATGTGTCTAAGTGTGGGTAAGGAGGAGCGTGGGGGGTAGAAAATCCTTTATTTCTTTGTGGAAAATGGCCCCAAAAGGAAGCTAGTGCAGACTGATGCAAATCACTTGGTCTAAAAATGGGGAATAGTGCTTAGTCAGAACTGGTGACTCTGGAGAATTAAGAAGTAGAATTTTATTCTAGGATGTGAAGGAGTCCTCCATATATTATGAACTGAAGATAGAAAATGGTTCATAAAATCTGCTAGGCCATTTAAAACACTGTACATTAAGTGGGAGGGAATTCAAATTAGTAAATGTTTAAAAGGCAGTTAATTTGCAGTGGACGAGTATCACAGAAAATTCTTGCAAAAGATTAGTGATGTGGAAGAGAGCCAAGAATCAGTGTAAACACTGCGGTATTGAAAAAACTGGGAGTTCTTGAAGACTATACTTTTCCTAAACAATAAAGAAGTAACAAAACTTTTCTTGTGAAGAGGATTTCTTTACTGTCGCTTTTAGTTGTGACTTTGGTTTTATGAACTTTTATTTCAGAATATATTTCTCAGCATAGGCATTTTCTGGATATTCTAGCTTTGTCTAGTTTTATAGTTTACCCATAAAGAAATGTTACTAATTTACGTAGCCAATTTTGATACAGATGATGTAATGATCAAACTTTCCGCACATACTATATATCTGAGCTCTTCATCAATTTAAAATCGTCATCCTTCAGAAAATTAGGATATTAACCAAGACTTCTGGCCATTGATTAGGGAAATTGCTATTTTCTTTCCCATTATATTTTGGCTGGTTTCCAAACCAATCCAAATATAGAGTTATCACCTACTTAAAGTTACTTCATAGAGCATATGCACTATGAAAACAACAAAAGAGACCTAACAGAAGAATGGCCCAGATAAAACACAAATAACATATTTGGGAGAAAATATGCATTTATGCTTACTGTCTTAGAGGAAAACATTCTTCGTATTTCACTGGTGCTACTACTAAACATGTGTGGCATAACAAAATTCAACAGCGACATGAGTTCTAACAGATTGTTCTGTACAGGTGTGCCTGTGAGCAGCAAACGGTTATTTGCCTGTGAATGAAGGTAAAATTTATATTAGCTTTTTCTTAAAGAGCCACTCCTTTCATGTCTATCCTCCCCAGTGAAAGGTGAAGGGAGGAGAGATAAATTAAAACCATTATTAATAATTTAACATTCTGTGATAAATGATATAGTAATTTAAATAATTGACGTCCGCTATTATCAACAGCAATGAATACGAAAACCATTGGT
Source organism: Homo sapiens (assembly GCF_000001405.40). NCBI lineage: Eukaryota > Metazoa > Chordata > Mammalia > Primates > Hominidae > Homo > Homo sapiens. The sequence continues at coordinate 94,276,820 of NC_000004.12, read as the reverse complement.
CTTCTTTTATAAGTAGGTAACTTGTGTCCTCGTATCACCTTTATGAGATGATGAAAGATTATTTATAAATAGTTTAACATATAGAACAGGTAAATTATGGCTTATGACCTAATAATTTTTTAAAGGGTTGTTAAAAAACAAAATCAAAGAATACGTGACAGAGGCCATCTAGTCCATAAAGTGTGAAATATTTACTATCTTCCCTTTTACAGAAAAAACTTGCTAACACAGAATACTACATATATTAAACTACATAATACAGATTCTGCTAATAAATACTACATATATTAAATTACGTAATCTAAATTTTACAGTAATTTGGAAAACTTTACAAACATTCTCTTACATTAATTGTCATAAGGTGCTGGTAGCGAATGGAGCCCATATTCTTCAGCATATGGCCCTCATCAAAAATTGCGTAATTAAGTTTCAGCCGTCGAAACAGACTACGGTCATCAGAACTGCTGATCGCACAGTTATATCTGTCACCAAAAGAAAAAACATCTCTAAGGTTATACCTTTAAGAGCTTGGAGTCTAGTGAAATTTAATGTCTTATAAAATCATTTTTTATTTACACATTTCTAACAGCCAGTACTTAAAGCACAGCACTAGACACGGGTGATACTCAAATAAATACTGACGTACTTGTATTTAATAATTATTGATGTACACTGTAACCAAGCTATGAAAGCTGCAATACATAATTGAAAGAAAATGTTAAAAGGCTGGGAGCGGTGGCTCACACCTGTAATCCCAGCACTTTTGGAGGCCGAGGCGGGCGGATCACGAGGTCAGAAGATCGAGACCATCCTGGCTAACACGGTGAAACCCTGTCTCTACTAAAAATATAAAAAATTAGCCGGGTGTGGTGGTGGGCGCCTGTAGTCCCAGCTATTCAGGAGGCTGAGGCAGGAGAATGGCGTGAACCCGGGAGGCAAGAGGTTGCAGTAAGCTGAGATCGCGCCACTGCACTCTAGCCTGGGGGACAGAGTGAGACTCCGTCTCAAAAAAAAAAAAAAAAAAGAAAATGTTAATGTTACAATCGGACAACTTCTACATACCCAGGAGGAGGTCAATTTGGGTATAACTTGTAAGTAATCTGCTCCATGAAGTGTTATATTTTAATAAGCACAAAAAAGAACGTGAAGCTAAAACATGTTTCTCTTTAAAACTTAATATTTTATTAAACTAGCAGATTAGATCCAAGAAATAATAGTTAATAGCTAGCAGCTTGAGACTGCATATGGAGCCTGTTTTATTAAGAAAAAATAAAATTCCGCATGAATTTTTAAAGGACAGACTCCTACACAAGAAGCCAGTAGAGAGAAATAATAACTACAGTTAAAATAGAACTTTAAATAAATCAACTAATGTAACACAAGAGCATTAAGTTCTGTGCAAGATATTTACATCAATTATTACCAAGTAGTATTATTAGTATTATTTTTCATTTTTATTTCTGCCCTAACTCAAATTTTTCATTGAGAAAATGAAATTTCATTGTATTTATTACAGATACTTATTTGTAAGTTAAAAATATAAATAATTTTGGTGGGATATCTCAAATTTTACTTTAAGCTTAACTGAGAAATTACTATTACAAGACGACTTTTTTCAATAACTAGGCAAAACCTTTTTATAGTCACCATTAATGAGGTGATTCACTAACAAAAACCTCCTATATGGGTATTACACACCAAACTAAAAAATGCCTGAATCCTCAACATTAGTCATTCTATTACTTTCGTATCACAGTTAACAGCATAAACTTTCCTACATAGTACTACTACAATTTCTTTTTTAAATTTGGGGGCTGCATAAATATCCATCCTCCCCAAATTTCTCAATACTTACGTGGTCACAATTACATTGTAATCTTCATATCTACTATGAATGTTAAATCTAATTTGTTTACGTTCTTCTTGAGAACCTAGAATTTAAAAACAATAAACACATGACTATTTATTGTGCTGTACTTTATTTTTAATTTCCAAAGTTAAAAGCAGAATGACATATTCTTACCATAGTAACAGAGGACCTTCAAAGTAGGGCACCATAAATTAACTTCCCTTAACCAGTTATCTATGGAACAGAAGAGACATTATTTGCATCTGCTACAATAGGGTATGTTCACATGGTTAAATTAACACTAAACTTTGACAAGTGCTACTCAGAAATCAGTCTTTTATAAAAAGTAAATACTGGCCCAGCAAGGTGGCTCATGCCTGTAATCCCAACACTTTGGGAAGCTGAGGCGGGTGGATCACCTGAGGTCAGGAGTTTGATACCAGCCTGGCCAACATGGTGAAACCCCATCTCCACTAAAAATACAAAAATTAGCCAGGCATGGTGGCGGGCGCCTGTAGTCCCAGCTACTCGGGAGGCTGAGGCACGAGAACCTGGGAGGCGGAGGTTGCGGTGAGCCAAGATTGAGCCACCACACTCCAGCCTGGGTGACACAGCGAGACTGTCTTAAAAAAAATAAATAAAAATTAAAAATTAAAATATAAATACCATGGCGATTGTTTTTATCACAGACCCTTTACAATATTACTCCTTATGAAACCTATGTAAAATGATCTTGAGGTTTTGTGAGGCATCAAAATGAAGGGCAGATGACCAAATATTATATTTACAGTTGATTATTAACCTCCAATTTAAAGAGAAGGGGGTTTTCTTTGTTACATTCACATGTACAAATATTCTCTTATTCTAACTTCTACATCCAACGAATTGAGAAAGAATGGAACAGTTATGTGTGTAGGAATTAATTACGTATCTGTTTAATTCTACATTTAAAAGTACTCATTTTCTCTTAGTCACTTTTAAAAGTAACTAAAAGTATTATGAAACCAACATAAATCGTCCTTGGTCTAAAATTTTAAAACTGACTTACATTTGAGTTCTTTTTAAAAGACTGCCAATATAATCAAACACACATATATAAACAAAGGAGAAAAGTATAAAGAGACCATAAAATTAATATTCATCTCTACAAACTAAGAAACCACAACACCCCTCCGACACACACCCTTACACACACTCTCTTCTACCTATATAAAACATGATAAAGTTAAATACAGTTGTCTCCAGTATTACAAACCTATAGTTGAAGCTGGAACAACGATCAAATGAGGACCATTATTACCCTCCTGATAGAGGTATGCCAGAAATGCAATGGCTTGAATAGTTTTTCCTAGGCCCTAAAAAGTTTAAAAGACAATATATAACATTTTAAAACAAACAAAAAATAAATACATAAAAATACAGAAGAAAAAGCAGTAATTCTGTGCTGTATTCACTTTTGATTTCCCAGAATGCAACTCTAAAGGAATTTCTACTATGTTCTTAGTTCTCAAATGACAGAATTGATTATAATCTCCAAATGATGCTATAACTTACTTTACTGAGCAGTGGATAGATCTTCATTGCTAGTTCATATACAATACACATTAATATGGAAGACTTTTTGCATTGCATGGAAAGGATATAATTTTGGTTATTGCTTAGACACAGTGAATGTTTAATATCCACTGAATGGTTTAAGGGCAATGTCCCATGACTAAATGGAGGAAACATATGCCTAATCTATCCCAGCAATTCTACCCTTAAGAATATAATCATGAGATATGAGCGCTTATGTTGGCAAAAGGACTTGGGTAAGAATGTTCATAGTTTTATCTTAATAGCCAAACACTGGAAATAACCTAAATAGGTTGGGTGCCATGGTGCATGCCTGTAATCCCAGAACTTGGGGACGCTGAGGTGGGTGGATCACTTGAGCCCAGGAGTTTGAGACAAGCCCGGGCAACATGGCAAAACTCCATCTCTACAAAAATACAAAATTAGCCAGGCATGGTGGCGCATGTCTGTGATCCCAGATACTCGGGAGGGCTGAGGTGGGTGGACTGCCTAAGCTCAAGAGGTCGAGGCTGCAGTGAGCTGAGAGTGCGCCGCTGCACTCCAGCCTGGGTGACAGAGCAAGCACCTGCTTAAAAAGAAAAAGGAAAGAAAGAAAAAAGAAAAGAAAAGAAATAACCTAAATATTCATATCCAACAGAAGAAGATCAACAAATTGCACTGTATTTATACCACGGACTACCATACCACATGGCAATTTAAAAAAACAAAAACAGAAACAAAAAAATTACTGATACATATAAGAACACAGATAGATCTCAATAACATTATGTTGCACCAAATGAACCAAAAACAAATAGTATAGAGTATACTGCATATACTACATAACCAGAAAAAAATCCACGAGGATAGGTATAAGAATAGTGGTAGCAGTAACTGGAAAAAAGCATGAGAAACTTTCTGGGATGATGGAAAAGCTTCTCTGGGTAGTAGTCACATGGGTGTACATATATGTAAAAAGTCACTAAGCTGTATATTTGTACATTTTACTGCAACTAAATTAGACATCATTAAAATACTGGTTTAAAAAAGTTACTTAGGAGATACAGATCCTCAGGGGAACTGAATGCTATCAACTGTTGTGGACTGAATTGTGTCCACCTCCTTCCCACTGACAATACATACGTTGGAGTCGTAACCTCAAATGCCATTGTATTTAGAGACAAGGCTTTTCAGGAGGAAATTAAGGCTAAATGAGTTCATAAGTGTGGGGCCTGAACCCAATATGACTGTCCTTGTAAGAAGAAATATCAGGCATGTGTACATACACAGAAAAGGCCACATAAGGACAGAGTAAGAAAGTGGCTGTCTTCAAGTCAAAGAGAGGACTCAGGAGAAACGCAAGCTACCGATACACTCATCTTGGACTGTCCACCTCCAGAATTGTGAAGAACAAATTTCTGTTGTTTAAGCCACTTGGTCTGTGGTATTTTGTTATGGCAATGCTAGCTGACTAAGCCATCAACTTATAAATATTGTGTTGCGCTTTACAGGTTACAAAAATAGTTTCACATAATATATACCTCATTTGATAGCAAATGCAATCTTATGATATAAAGACTATCTACATTTTATTATTAGTTTTGAGAGATTAGGTCAACTGGAAAGGATCAGATAGCTCCTGAAAGGCAAAGCTGGGGACCCCAAACCCAGGTCTGATTTCCAAGTGCAGTCACACAACTGAAATGACATATATTCGGTAATTTCTGTAAGTATTTTGAAATCCTGTGAATATTATTCACTTTTCTATTAGATAAACAGTATCTGTGTTTTAATGACAGTATGAAATATATATGGGAAAATATCTTACAATGCTAAAGATTACTTTCTTAGAGGCTAATGAGGGAACAAATATCATTATCTGTGTTAACTTTTATTTTAGGAATCCAACACACAGTGTAACATTTTCTTTGCTGAACATGACTCATTTTAAATATACACTTCAAAAAAGTATAGCTGGAGGAATAGAGATGTTAGATTAAAGGTCAAGTTTCCATATGACAACACCTGGACTACTGGCTATAACAAACTTTGTGAACTCAGCTTTAAGGCAATGTGATTTGAGAAAGAACAGAGACCCGGAGAGACCGCTAATAAAAATAAAATAGCTGAAATGATGTTGCTGATATATATGTGGATTTGTTTACTGACAAGGACAGGGATCTAAGTTACAATTTTAAAGGCAGCTGTAGAAAAAGCACATATATGTATGTACGTACACATGTACATACACAACATCTGCAGAAGGTAGTATCTAGAAAAGAAGACACCAAACTAGTTCTTGTTTAAGTGGTAGAATTACAGGTGACTTTGATTTCGATTTTTTAATTTGTATTTTTATGTTTGCAACATGTATTTACTAATCTGATAATCAGAAAGACAATAAATCTATCTTCATCTTGGGGAGGAGTGAGGAGGGTAGAACTAACTCTATCAAAAACAAAGATGAGATAAAATATAAGGTACTGAGGTGGCAGTAGTTAACTACAGTAGCAAAAAAAAGTTTCATGTTTTAAATGACAGCAAGAATACCTTTTAATGACACTTTCAACAACAAATCTTAGAAATAAAGTACACTTACCATTTCATCTGCCAAAATGCCATTAAGTCCATGTTTATGTACCAATGCCAGCCAATTCAAACCAACCTTCTGATAGGGCTTGAGTGACAAACTGGTAAAGAGAGAGTTACCAAATATTACACATCTATATTTCTATCAGTTTTCTATTAGTTATTACAATGCACATAAAAACTAAAATGCCTAGGTCTAATCTTACCTTTTAACTGTTAGATGCTATGTACACCTACTTAAAAAAAATGAACCCAAGACATAAATGATTTTTCAGATCTTCTCAAACTTTATTCTCTATTCTATTTCTTCTGGCAGTAAGAATCAAGCATTTCCATATTTGGTCATAATATAGTACCTCCAAATTAATTCCATAAATGATTAGAATATTAACTATGATAATATTAATACTAAGCTAGTATCTATAATAGAAAATTGAATTGTGTTGATTTGATTTTTAGCACATTAAAGAACTTAAAAGTATTAGGACAAAAAAACACAAACATAATTTGCTACTTTGGCCAGGTAGGTTTAATAAATACTTTCTGAATGTGTGTCAATCACTCCTAATATCAGTGGTATGTATAATTCTGAAGCACGCATTTATGTGTGTATTATGTGCATACTACGTACAAATGTACACAGCACATGTTTAGCAAAATTATTTGTTTTGACACTTACATGCTACTTTCTACTCACTGATGTTCACTGATGTTTTAGCAAATGCTAAAAGACAGTGAACATCAGTGAGTAGAAAGTAGCATTCAAGTGTCAAAAACCTTATTTAATTTGGAAACATATAAACAGACTAATCCCTGAGAATGAATTGTTTGGAAAGTAATATGGCAGAGTTATAAGGAATGAAAACAGTGGCTCATGCCCGTAATCCCAGCACTTTGCAAGGCTGTGCTGGGCAGATTGCTTGAGCTCAGGAGTTCGCGACCAGCCTGGGCAACATTGACAAAACGCTATCTCTACCAAAAATACAAAAAAAATTAGCCAGGCATGGTGACGTATGCTTGTAGTCCCAGCTACTCAGGAGACTGAGGTGGAAGGATCACCTGAGCCTGGGAGGCAGAAGTTATAGTGAGCTGAGATCATGCCATTGCACTTCAGCCTGGGTGACAGAGCCAGACCCTGTCTCAATTACAACAACAACAACAACAGAATGAAAACAATAGTTCAAATGGTTAAAAACTATTAACAGTTATCACTTATTGAACATCTATTATACATAGGCACAGATATCATTTTTCAAACATCACCTCATTTAACCCTTTAAAAATCCCATAAAGTAGTTACTATCATCACTTTAACAGATAAAAAAAAAAAAAAAACTTAATTTGCCTGAGGTTGCATAGCTACAAAGTGTTAAGACTAAGATTTTAATTCAGGATGTCGATCTCACTCCAAAGCCTATTCTCATATTCACTAAAACACCTTACATTAATGTGAAAACATAGGACAAGGCCATGCCTCCCATTCTCCAGCTTTTATCCTGTCCCCTTAATCTCCTCTTGCATATATCCTGTTTGCACACAGGGAAGGGTCTGGACATAGCTATAGTATAATAAATTGTTGAAGGATCAAACTCTGAAATCAAGACATAATTAGAACTGAGTGAAGAACAGGTAGTTGAATGATGTCCATCTTAAATCAGAATCTATGTTTTAACTGTGGGGTATGCAACTTATAAAACATTTCCCATTTAATACAACTAAAAGTATAGGTAGGAGAAAAAGCAGTATTTCTAATTCTGCCTTTTATAATTCTTTTCTAATTCTGTCTTTATAATTTTCTAATTCTGTCTTTACAATTCTTTTGCTGAATTTTAAAAAAGGTCTTTGCTTTCCCAATCAATATAATTTCTATGCTACTACTATAAAAGTAGTAACAAATGGAACATGTTATCATAGACATTTTAATTTCCAGATCCAAAACAATTATTTCTACTATAACGGTGAGAGTAAATGCTAAAACTGGAATATTTACCATATTTCAGACTATGCTATGGGCTTAATATACATTATTATTTCATTTAATCCATATTAAAAATAGGAAATATTAATTATCTGCATTTTACAGATGAGAAGTTCACTGCGGCTCACAGAAGTTAAGTAACTTGCCCAAGGTCATGTAGCTAACCAAATCTGTATCTGCAATGGTAGTGTCAGTATCCAATCCAGGTGTGATCCAGAGCTCAGCACTTAACCAGTAAATAGTAGAAATGAAAAAATTATCTTTCATCCTGACCCACCCATCCTACGGTCAACACACTGAGTTTTCCATTATTTTTATGCATCCTTCCCAATTCTTTAGTCATCCTATTCACATAAGGCTCACAATTTACGACTAATGAAACTTGATAAGGTAGGCATACATCACTTATAAATGCAGCCAAGGACCCACATGCCATCCCAACATACAACCTATCACAAATAGCCACGAAATATTCTTAATAAACAAAAATTACTGAAATTCTTCATCACCAACACACATTGGGAAAAGAGTCTATTTAACTGTCAAAATACTCACTATAACATCAAATTTTAAAAAGTGATGAGGAAATTTAAAAAACTACACAGATTTTTAAAATTTAAATAAAATTGCTTTATTCAAAATGACAAATTATGGTAAGGTGTTTTGATCAGGACATGAAATGGTTTTATTACATTGAAATATTTGTTATAAAAATATAAAGTATTAATGTGTATATATGTTTGCTGTTCTGTTAGATTTGTCTAAATTACAAGTAGCTTTGTTGCTTACTATCACGGAACTGCTGCCAATTACAGATCCTTTCTCAGCATGTAAAAGGACCAAAGAAAATGCAATTTTGATAGACTCTGAACCCATTTATTATAACAACATTTAAAAATAGGATACCTATATTCTTTTCTAGTTGGTTCTAATATTTAGATGCTATATAATCATATTTCCCATCTATTTTGACGCTTCACAGTTTTCTAAGAATTTTCATGACCAAATATATATCTGAACCACCAATTTACTGTTAAGAACATGGGGATTTGCTCAGGTCTTCTGAATAAGTTAAGTGCTTTCTTCTCAACAGAGTATTAAAATATCTCTGAACTGAAGATTTTTTATCTCTCACTAAGGAAAAAAGTGATTTAAAGATTTTCTGAGATAATGAAAGAAAATGAGGCAACAGGCTATTTTGAAGTTATTGTTTTGTTAGGGGAAAAAAAAAATTCCCTCCAGAGTTACTATGATTTCTCCACAGTCTGAAAATTCAATTGGGTTTAAATCTGCCAGAGAAACTAGTTCCAAAATTATTTTCAAAGGTGAGAAAGGCGTAAAATAGAAACAACAGGGGTACATGTGATGTGATAAATTTGAGTTTAAAATACAGAAATACAGGGCTAGAGAGACTTGTTTAAAGCAGTTCATAGAAAACAGGTTACGGATGCTGTCCGACCAAAAGTTTATGTCCCGTAAGTATGACATGGCTGCTGCAAATACTACCACAATATTAGTCTGTAGTGACAGAAATGTTCAAACTAAACATTTACATCCTACTACTTTTGAGTTAGTGAAACCACATCTGCAGTGTTAATTTGCGTTCACATCACTGACAAAGGGTCTCAGAGCTCCTGTGTAAGAACAGGGTAGGAACCATGCTGTCAAGTTCAGGATGAACAAGATCAGAAGAACCTTGGCAGATTTAGCTCAAAAGGCAAGACACACTTGATTAAATATATTGTATTCTGAACATGTGAGAAATCTTTTAAGGCTGATAAATTATAGATTAATTAACTAAAGCTTTAGAGATGGCTACATCTATAGTAAGAATAAAACAGGAGAAATACTAAGGATTTATTTTCTTTTTCCTCACTGTATTATATTTTAAACAATTTAAATTTTGACATTTTAAAATAAAGATTATGAAAGTAATGGTTTTGAAGTACATATGAAAACTTTAGCTTTTCCCTATAAAGATGTCATTTTTCACAAGGAATTCCGGAATATTTGTATTTCTAAAAGGCAAACTTTCTTCTCCTACAATTCACATAAATTTGCAACAGTTTGTAGCAAAGTAAACTTCGTCATGAAGAACTTGTTCTGTTTAGAGAAAAATGCAAGCATGATAGGTTATTCATCAGGATAGTCTAATATTTTCCTCTGTGCTAATAAATCCTTTACTAAAGCAAGGAGACAACTTTAAATGTCTACATACTAAGTACCCACAATGCCTGGCCAGTACACCAAGTAAAAATTGCTTATGCAACTCTTACCTTGGCTGAAGAACAAAAATCAAGACAACAAATTCTAACCCCTAAAAGTGCACTTAAATAAACTTTAAAGAGACTATCCATATAGGTTTTAGAAGTTGTACTTTGGATAAGATCCAACAAGCACTTAAAAAAACAACAACAACAACTATTTTTCTCATCTATTAAGTATTTCATTTAAAAAATCCTCAGTCTAATGGAAAGGATAGTTTATTACCTGATCAAACTATTTACAAGTAACAGGACTTTGTGAATGTGGTTTTGAGAGAGAAATTTTTAAAGTGATGCAATAAAGCACTTGATTTTTAAAAATCCAAATTATGATAAAGTAGACTCAACTGGGTAAGTCTTGTAGAGTGAAGAACTCCCCATATCCAATGCTGGAGAACAAGAAGCAGCAGCTCCAACTACACTTTTAGGAGATGAAATTTGCTGATATAGTTCTTTCTATGCAACAGAGAAAAGAGCTTCTTTGTGGGAACTGCATCACGTTTCCCTACACCATCCCATAGCACCCTAGAAGGGCACAGAAAAGATTGTAGCTTACTATTAAAGGCCAGTAATCATCTTGTTTTTTTTTCCATACCTTGATTTTAAATTATTAACCAATGATCAGCAAATATGCTTTGATCATTAACTTAGAAAAATATCAGAAGTAAATAAAATCAGCAACTAAGGCAATTAATTTTAATGAGATCCTACTGCTAATCTTAACCTATCAGAAATACTTTGAACAGATGTAACTCATTTTGAAAGTTGTGTAACATTGCAAAGTATGGATATACCATAATTCATTTCAATTATTCCCTAATTTTAGGAACTCCATTTGTTTCCATGGTTTTGCCACTATAAATATCATACTATTAACAGTTTTATATTATTTTTTTTAAAAAGGGAAGTATTCTGAACAGTTCTGAGTCTCCAAACTACTTAAAAATATACAAACTTTTAAAGGAAGTTCAACACAATTTCCCCCACCCCAATCTGCCAACAACATGCAAAATGTGGGCGATCACAATTACAAAAACCACTTTAATATGTACTGGCCACTAGACAGTATTTTTTTTTTGCATGAATTCTGACAAGTATTTTATTGAAAGTAGCAAATTGGGGAAATATGTAGACTTATATGATCTATTTAATCAAAGTATCTGTCCTTTCCCTTGCTGATGTATTTCTACCCCAAAAGGAGATTTAAAAAGCTGGCCTTATCATTTAAAACATTTCATCACAGTATGGGATATCATTTCATTTTATTTATGATTAAAAAGAAAATGGGCTAGGAAAGGAGGTTTTACGCTGATGCAATTAAGCAGCTGACTTTTTTTAGGATATCAAATTTGTGTATAGGAGTAACTAAAACCACTTTTTCAGTTTCTCTGATTATATAAACAATTACCTGTTATGAGGCAAAAAAGACACTGGTCATATAGTATCATACCATCCCCCCCTTTAATTTATAATGATATGATAGAATAAAATACCCTACTTGGGGGTGGGGGAAATCAATGAAAAACAGTTCATAGTCCACTTATGTGCCATTACAGAAAACCTGGGGGTTCTCTCCTACCACTAGTTGCCATATCACTTTCTAGGCACGATACAGAAATAAATTCAGATATTTTGTATAATTGAGATAAAATACGAATAAATATATTCAACAAAGATTACCTTTGGTTTAGAATGGAAGGTTGTTCTATGTTCCATCCACCTCCATTTCCAGTAAGCATGGTAACTTGTTTGGTCAATTTATTTGAAATGTCTTCACATTTGTTCATAAGCCTTATAACTACATCTCTTTCTTGGATCAGTGTTTTACAGTGCCATATCAAATCTTCTGATAAGCCATTAGTTTTGGACATCTTTGTGAACTATAGCATAAAAAGAAAAATAATTGAATAGTTCAGATCTAGGAAAGAGAAAGGCAATCCTGATTTCTTTATGAGGAAAACAAGTTTGCTAATTTAAACTTTTACTTAATGAGCTTATAGTCAACTACTAAGAGAACCTGATTCTTCATGTTTATATTTGAGTTGCTACATGTTTCACTTTTATATTCTACTGTCACACATCAAACTCATTATGTTAAAGTAAAATATATCTTACCTCAAAAAATGCATAATCCCAAACTTGTTACTTTGACCCTGGCAGCTATTCTCTTATAAGAGAAACATTCACAAGTAATTGTTACTATCTCCTATCAAGTTTTTAAAAACATTTCAAAATCTTAAATTCACTTTTCCCTAATACCAAAGGTAATAGTATCAAATGTAGTCACTGCAAATCTGATCTCTCACCTCTACTTGTCATTTCCTATGACTATTACATATTAAGATTAATCTTAAAAGATATTTTTCCACATCTATCATCAAAGTATAGCCCCTCAAGTTTTCAAAACTCTAATTATTTGTCACTTGATACTTTACTTCTAAACAGACTATCACACGGAGAGATATCACATGAATCAAAAGTTAACTATGACCAATTCAATAATTAGATAAGGTTTTTAAAAACCAATTTCAATATAATACTATAAATGGTTCTCTGTGAAAACTCACAGAATTTCTTTCAAAATATAGTTGTATTTATTTTTCAAAAGGAGGCACTGAATACTTCATATGTAAAAGCTATATCAGAACTAGAATTTTTCAGATAGATAGCTGAAAATATATATTCTATAAAACATGACAAAAAATATTTTTAGTGGAAAGGATGAGAAAGTCCAAAAGCTATTTGAAATACTTGGGGCAAAAATGAAAATCCCATAAGCCAGAACTAAATCTAGGAAACTAAAATAAAACCATCTATTAGGAAAATACCACACGATTTTTATTCATGTCATCCTATTTAGCATATTTTTCCAAGTTATGACAAGAATCACATTAACAACTCTAAGTAATCACTGTGATCACAGTATTTCTAAGTTCAGCAAAAAGCTCAAGCAATAGTAATTAAGTGCTTTTTGGATATACTAAGATAACTAAATAAAATACAGTTTATAGCAATATACATTTTCCATATTTATCCTAGAATAACTTGGAAATATACAAAATATCCAATCTATTCTTAGCACTTCAAAAATGGCACTGTTAAATACTAAGTTTATTTGCATACTACTCTATATTTTTCACAGGGACAAAATTCATAATCACAATATGATCTCCTACTCCCCCTACTTTGTGCTTTTCAGGGGAAAGATCTATTCATAAGCAGCAGTATAGATAACAATCAGTGTCTTAAGGAGGTTCTATTAGAACTTTTAGCTAAAATACTTTTATTTTTAAATGCAACCAAAAATTATAGGCCATAAACCAATCTCATGCTGATTGTAGTATGTGTGTGTAATACATTGAAATGTGAGAGAAACCCAACAAATTAATCAGGAAATAAGGAATGAACATACATTAGGTGCCATTTATGTGCTAGTAACTATTAGATACCTTTTATTCAGTAACTCATTAAATCCTCGTAACAACTACCAAGACTAGCCTACCAAATCTAGATGAAAAAACTAAGGTTCAATTTCCAACATCACAAAGCTGGGTAAGAGAAAAATTCCATGCCCTTTTCACTGTATAACTAGTACCTCCCTAAATAAAATAATTTAAGACCTTAAAAGTTCAAAATACACTTTTTTTTTTCTGTAACCAACTACCATTTCTTTTCTTTCTTTTTTTTTTTTTTTTTTAACAGAAATTACTGTAACTGTTGAATTATCTGGGAGATAGACACAGCCCTGTCCTTGTGGTCTACGAACATTGGGAAACACAAGTAACAATTTCAAGCATAACCTCTGGTATAAACAAGGGAAACAACAAAAGTTCATGGGCACTCATCACAAAAAGACTAATAAAATCTAAGACCTAGTAATTCCTTATGGAGTAAGAAGCCAGAAATAATAAAAGAACTGTTTTAATGGAAAGATAAATTCACATGTCAGAACCTAGAGAAGCAACAGACAAGTCTGAACAGGAAGGCAGTAAGGGTATGAATCATTTTAATGCGTTCTAAACTGAACTTATGGGCATTAAAAAGCTATTGAAGGGTTTTAGAGAGTTCCTGTTTAGAAAGAACTCTATGAGAGTAATGTGAAGAAGGCTTGAGAGCAAAAAACTATTAAGAAGGCTTTGAGTTGAGAGACAATAGTGGTCTGTGTTGGACACGGAGAAACTGATAAGATTCACGATCTTCAGGAGGTAGAACCCATTAAGTGTGGGGAGATGAATGAAGAGTTAAGCCTGACTCCCAGACTTCTGGCTTCAATGCTAACAGATTAGTGGTACCATCTATTGAGATTAAAATTTACCAAGATGGCAAAGGAAGTCTGTTTCTGGATATATTAAATTTGGGGCAGCTACCAAATTTTCGAGAAAGAGCCAGTGGTTAGTTAAATAAAGATCTGTATCTTAGGGAAGAGATGTAAGCTGGAGAAAAAGATGCCACACAGGTGACCATCAAAGTCAAAGATGCTGATGAGATTACCTAAGGAAAAGCACATGAAATTGGAGATTAGAAGACTGAGAGCAAAACCTTGAAGAACACCAACATTTAGAAGCATTTAAAAAGACAGAGCAAGAAGAAATGTAGGATGTGGTATCAGAGAAGCCAAGGAAGAAATAATTTCAAAAAGTGAAGTGTTAAGTTTTAACTGCCAAAAAACAATAAACTGGCCGGTTGTGGTGGCTCACACCAATAATCCCAGCATGTTGGGAGGCCAAGGCAAGAGCACTGTTTGAGCCTAGGATTTCAAGACCCGCCTGGGCAACATGGCAGAACTCCATCTCTACCAAAAATACAAAAAATTAGCCGGTGTGGTGGCACGTGCCTGTGGTCCCAGCTACTCAGGAGGCTGAGGTGGGACGATGGCTTGAGCCCGGGAGTCAGAGGTTGCAGTGAGCCAAGACGCCACTGCATTCCAGCCTGGGTGATAGAGTGAGACCCCGTCTCAAAAACAAACAAACAAACTTAATCTTTCACCAATTATAATGAATTTATATAAAATACACCACATGGTAAATAATTTCTATAGTATTTCTCATGGACAGTTCTGAGTAATTAAATACGTAACTATTCACAGTGGTTATAAATGTATAATTTTATTCATAATAGTTATGCTTTGAAGATATGTGCCAGAAACACATGGAGAGGTAAATATTCATCTAATAACATATTCACAATTCGGTAGAAATCTAAAGATGTTACTGTATTGTTGAAGGTTAGTGCCTAAGCATATTATGAGTTTAGTGATAAATAACAGTCAATATTTTCTGAGAAACAGATAAAAAGTAAAATGTGTACTGTGAAGATTCCTAACATGTAAGTCACACAACCATTATTAAGAAAACCAATGTTAGATTATACTAAGTGGATATATTCAAAGTGAAGCTGAAGCACACTGAATCTTTATAAAGCAATTACAGGTTTCTTTTTTTTTTTCACTTAAAAAAGAATATAGTACTATTCAAATATTTTCAAAAGCTGTGTTACACGAGAGGTAACTCTGAAAAAATTAGCATATTGTGATCTAATCTGTCATTATCATATTTTCTGCCACTGAACAGCTTTTTGAAGTGTAAAATTTCCTTCATAGCTGAAACTTCCTAATATAAAAAAAATTACAGCAGACATAAATCACAAATTCACTTAAGCTGTACCAATTTACACATTTAAGTTTGATGTCTTTTTATTTATTAAAAAAATTTTCTTCCTTTTACTTATTTTTTGAGAGCATAAATTAATTATGGTCATTTGGAAGCCACAAGAAAGGGTTAAAAGGTGGGGGTGACCAATCACTTTGAGAGCTGGAAAATTAAAGGAAAGAATAAACATTTATTCTGAATTTTGTATATGAACGGCAACATTTAGAGTGGTAGATGTAAGAAGTTCTTTTATAGATACTTCCTCAACAAGCAGCAATAACAGTATTAAAATATTATTTTTGCAGGCCAGCATGGTGGCTCACGCCTGTAATCTCAGCACTTTTGGGGCCGAGGCAGGTGGATCACTTGAGGCCCCAGGAGTTCAAGTCCAACACAGTGGAACCCTGTCTCTACTAAAAATACAAAAATTAACTGGGTGTGGTGGTGCACGCCTGTAATCCCAGCTATTCAGGAGGCTGAGGCACAAGAATTTCTTGAACCCAGGAGGCAGAGGTTGCAGTGAGCCAAGATCACGAAACTGCACTCCAGCCTGAGTGACAGAGCGAGAGACTGTCTCAAAATAAAAAAAAATAAAATAAAAAGTATTAATTTTGCAATGGCTAATGAATTATGGATCCAGACATGTAGCATCAACAGATGCTAATGTTACAAAAAGTAACAATCAGATATTACTGTCTTCTGATGAAAGAACACATCACTAACTATGTAATAATATTGGTGGGTGCATTTAACCTTCTAATGATCGTTTTACAGAAAGTACTAGTCCAGTGGAACATGTTAAACTACACTGGGGAGGTATAATCAGAAAAGTTTAGACAGGAGAGTTATAGAACAAATGACCCAGTTTCTTTACCAAAAACTGGAAAAACAGAAGGGGGAGAGAGAGAGGGATGAGGAATCTACAGATTAAAAGACCTATCAAGCAATCTTAATAAGTGGACCTTACTTGGATCTTAATTCAAACTAACAAACTATAAAACAAATGAACAAACACTATGGCATTTATGAGACAACTGGAAATTTGAACTCTGAATATTTTGATATTAAGACATTATTGATGATTTTTATTAGATATAAGAATGTTATGGTTTCTTCAGGAGATACACATTTAAAATTATAAGGATAAAATGATGTCTGAGATGTGCTTCAAAATAATATGATGGAAGGAAGTGGACAAGAGTATGGAAGAAACACATGGGGGTTCATTATAACACTGTGTGCTTAAATTTCTTGTAATAACAAAATGGGGGAGGCAATGAAGGGGAGTACAAGGTCATTCTTACTTCAGGACGCTTTAACAGTTAAGGGTTGGTTATGAGATTTTTAACTGAACTTCACTTTTTGGTTATTTTGAAGTTGAAATTTCAGAACAACTCCTTAGGACCCCTTAACACTCCCTACCTCTCCCCTCCCACACAGGTAAACCAACTTTAGAGATGATCAAAATGACTGCTGCTGATTTAGAATTTAGATCTATCTAATAACAATCCACTAACCACGAATGTAAAACAGCAGTAGACAGTTTTTTAAAGGAAAAAGAGTTTAATTGAATGAATTTACTGTGATTAGATTCTGCTGTGACAGTAAACCCAAATATCACAGGTTTAAATAAAGTTATTAATCTCTCATGTAAATAAAAATCTGAGGAACTGATTCAGATTTGGTATGTTGCTTCCAAAATTAAGGATTCTTCTAACTCTGTTGCTTCAATAACCTCAACATCCACCATCATATTGACCCTTCTACCGGCAGGAAGAAACAACACTTTCCAAAAGTTGTAACATACCACTGCTCACATCCCATTGGAATGAACTTTGTCAAACGATCACAAGGGAGGCTAAAACAGTTAGTCTTAATATATTGTGGGTAATGTGCCCATAAGCCCAGCCATAAATCTGATTTAAAAAGCTATAGGGTGGGCATGGATATTTAACAACAACAAAAAAAGAAGAATAGTTTGATTTTAGAAAGTTTGATTCAATATGGCTAGAACTTAGTGGACAAACAGAAAACAACAAATAGTTTCTTGGCATTTCATTAATAATATACACAACACTTGCAATGCAAATTATTGTGAATATCTGCAGCTAATGTTTTTAAAGAGCCAGGCAACTGATGGCATTTAATTTTTAGACTTTCCCATAGGCAGGCACTATAATTACACCCCACTTACAGATATTTGCTTACAGATATGTAAGCTGTTAGAAAATGACAGACAAGAATTCAAAATCAGGTCATCTAGCTTCACTATGTTATTCATCTATCACCTAGTATGCACTTACAAAACCAATGGAATAAAAAAAGTGGCATGCACTGAATTCAGAAACAAGAGACTCAAAATGAGAGAGACAAAAGGATTCTCCAGGATGACAGGAAAATGAAATGCTAAGGCCACTTCCAAATCAGAGCAGGTGATAAGATTCCTGATTTTCTAAAAGAGATGAAACTGACAGATTACCAGAGGTGTCTAAAATCTGACAGGCCCAGGTAATCCCAGCACTCTGGGAGGTGGAGGTGAGCGGATCACTTGAGGTCAGGAGTTCAAGACCAGCCCGGCCAACATCATGAAACTCCGTCTCTGCTAAAAATACAAAAATTAACCGGGTGTGGTGGTAGACGCCTGTAATCCCAACTACTCAGGAGGGTGAGGCAGGAGAATCGCTTATACGTGGGAGGCAGAGATTGCAGTGAGCTGAGATCGCATCACTGCACTCCAGCCTGGGTGACAGGGCAAGACTGTCTGAAAGAAGGAAAAGAAAAAAAAAAAATCTGATGGGAAATTTAGGCAACTGGAAAAGACTTTAGAGTTGACCTAATGACAAGTATATAGGAAAATAAAGAGAAAAACCGAGACAAATAACAACTAGGAAAAAAAATGAGAAAAAAATAAAAATCATGTAGTACACTACATGGTTCATCTATGAAAGGCATTTGCATAGTCATAACAATGTAGACACTAAAAATGATCTTCAAAATTACCATATTAACATATATTAACAGAACTGGGGAACAGAAAATGGGCATGTGAAGTGAGGTAGACAGTGAGAACTAAATCCTATTGTCTATAATATTAAGTTGATAGATAAGACCTACAAATGACAAAAAGTGCATTATAACTATATTACATAAAGATATGGAGGTGATCAGAACAATGAGACAAAAAGTCATGAAAGAAGTTATCTGCAGCATGGGCAACAGGCTGGGGAAAAGGGTGGATATAGATTTTTTTTTGTGGGGGCGGAGAACAAGCCTATAGAATTATTTGTTAATCTAAGTATATGTGTAAATAATAAAAGTATAAACATTAACAAAAAGTAAATAAACAATTTGGGGATGGGGAAAGAGGGGCTCTCACTTAAGGAAAGATGTAAGAACACTCTACTGCCACCATGTTACTGTTTTCTGAACACAAAAATCACTTAATCCTGTAAGTTACTTAACTTTCCCCCAAAAAAGATTTAAGAAATACAAAGTACCCTGTAAATGTGGGATCTATTAGTAAATCTGAAGTTACTGAAAACCACAGAAAAGATGATCCTGCTTACATGGTATGAAGTATACAAATGTATACATAAATAGATGATGCTCAAAACACCTTAAATGGTGGGTATCTTTGGTAGAATTTGGGGTAAACTTTACTTTTTCATTTCTGCACATGCTGTTTCAATTTTAGGTAAAACAAATCATTCTCAAAAAATGATAAATCTTTTTTTCAGGAGGAAGAAAGTTAAAAAGCTAATTGCTACTTCCTGAATAATTACATGAAAAAAACTCATCAATATGGCCCCAATCATATCTCTTCATTAAAAACTCAAGTGACTACTCAAAGGACTTTTTTCTTTCAAAAACAGTCAGCATCTGAAGTATCACTCTCTTGCCACAGTGTGTCACTCTTACTGTACAGATATTTTTGAATTTCCATAGGAAGGAGGAAACTGTTTAAAAGCAGATTTAATTTTCAAATCATTAAATCCCCACTTACCAAAAGACAGCCCTGAGGACAGAATCCCAAGCTTATTCATTATTATAAATACCTGGCAGCAGCCTACAAAGTACTCAAAATGTACTTGCAGATTTTTTTAATACAAACTTATCAAACTTACACAAATTAAAACAAAGCCTGAATATATAGTAATCTTACAAATAAATTCACTGGTGCCACCTTATTCAGAAGGAAGAAATATGTATTACCATGCTTTAAGTGGCCAATTTAGGCCAGGTATTTTACAGAAATCACCAGTTAAACAAAGCAAAGGACCAGATGCAGTGGCTCACGCCTGTAACCCCGGCACTTGGAGAGGCCGCAACAGGTGGATCACCTGAGGTCAGCAGTTCCAGCCCAGCCTGGCCAACATGGTGAAACTCCATCTCTACTAAAAATATAAAAATTGGCCAGGTGTGGTGGCGGGCACCTGTAATCCCAGCTACTAGGGAGGCTGAGGCAGGAGAATCGCTTGAACCCGGGAGGTGGAGGTTGCAGTGAGCTGAGATCATACCATTGCACTCCAGCCTAAGTGACAAGAGCGAAACTCTGTCTCAAAACAAAACAAAACAAAAACCAAAAAAGAAAATCCACAGTCTAGTAGATGAGAGTAACATAATGAGGAGCACAGTGTGTGACATGGACTAAACCTGAGTTGCTTGGTTATCAGCCAAGGAAAACTGGATCTACACTGATCTAAATGTTAACAAAGTAGATGCATATATGAAAGTTTCCAGGTTGAGTTACTGATGCATGTCGCATTGGTCAGCATAAAAACATTACTACTCTGATTAACATATAAAGATGCAACAGAGTAGTATTTTTCACAGACATAATAATATCCCCTCCCTACTGTGTGCAAGGCTAGACAAAAATCCAGTAAGTGGATGGTGAACTGATGCCATCAAATGTGTGAAATTTGGCAATAAAAATTCCAATTTTTACCACAATAACAGTACAAGTTTTTAAACTAATGACATTTTTGGCTTGCTGTATTTCTGAACCCTACTTGATTTAATGATGAGGTTTTCTCACAATAGGCACCTACATTACTGCTATTATGCAGAAAAACTGTA
Source organism: Homo sapiens (assembly GCF_000001405.40). NCBI lineage: Eukaryota > Metazoa > Chordata > Mammalia > Primates > Hominidae > Homo > Homo sapiens. Next base: position 94,255,859 of record NC_000004.12, on the reverse strand, counting down.
AGTAAAATGGAAAAAATTATGAAGAAAAATTTAAAAACAATATTTAAATTTTGACTAATAAATGATTATAAAGCTGAAGCATAAATATCCTTTTAGGTAATATACTTTAAAAAAAATCAAATTTTCCTCATGTAAAATGAGGGTGACTAAAATCTTGAGTATTTTAGTTTCAAAAAGCATAATTATCTGACAAATAAGTCATAGTAGTATAGAAAGGTAGTAACCTCTAAACTTACTGAAATTAGATTACCAAGTAGGTAATATTAATAAGTATATTATACTTACATTTTATATATATCTACTACACTTATATTACATTTATATGTCTACTACCTTGAAAACAACCCAATGATCTACAACTTTTCAAATGTTGTTTTAAAAGGCACAATATAATTTTCACATTCAAATTACTTTTATAATAAGACAATGAAATACTAATGATTACATTTAATCATTTAATAATCACCAACGTTAAAGAAACCTCACTTTTAACAAAAATTACTATTGTATATATGTACTTTATTCACGGGCTCAAGTATGCATTTTTTAATGAAATATTTATGAACTTTACAGTTTGTAAATAGAAATTCCCCAATTCTTAAGACTAAGTAAGATTAAACAATGATTTCAAGAAAGAGCAGACTATTTGTTAGCAGGTTGTTCTTAATATATTTAATACCTTGTAATTTTCATTAAAATATGACTGAGCAATATGATTAAAACCTCAACTAATTCTCAAGGAAATTTCTAAATATGGCAGCTATCAACACAAAACAATTTTTTTGGCTTTTGTTTCCTTTTGAAGTTGTTTAGAGGTACATTATCAAACCTCACTGATTAACAGGGAAAAAGCAAATTATATAGCTTTTAACTAAAAAATATGCATAATATTGACTTTTGATAATTTTATTAAGATATTAAATCTGCTCTAGGGTAGGGTTTGGGCTAAAAAAGTACTCTATAAATAAATCACATTTAAAATTCTAAAGGTTTTTAAAGTAGGAGCTCAAAGTTCTAAGCAAATTAAAATTTAAAGCATATCTGTATTTACTTGCTAATTTACACTATTAATTTGAAAAAGCTCATTCACCTACTTTGCTGTCTTCACTGAACTCAAGTAGAAAGTTTACTTTTCAGATACATTTAGACTGTTACATAAAATATTTCACATTTGGATGGATGGTTAGAACAAACAATATAGTCTTTATGTTCAACTTTTAGAAAGGGGCAAGATGTTAGGAGGTTTAAGTAAGTAATGCATAATCTCCAAATTCATGTCAAGACTAATTTAAACTCTGCTGATTAATTAGTAGGGGAAATATGCTTTCCACATGTTAAGTTGCTGAATATTTTTTAAAAACATCTGGCACATATACCTCTGGTAAAATTGTATAATTTACTTTTACTATAAGATATTCGGGCAAGTATTTACAGCAACTAAACAAACTAGTGCAGATAATTGCATATCTTATTAAATAAATTAGAATCTCAACAAGCCTGAGCAACCCAACTCTGCAACAACATAAGAGACCATTAAAGATTAAAAGAAAGAAGAAAAGGAAGAAAAGAAGAACAAGAAAGCCCTTCAGCAAATACTTTAACAAATAAATCACTCAGGCAAAGCCAAACAAGTTTTGAAAGGGCCTGCTTTGACAGATGTTCTCTGGAAAAGCAAAGGCTTCAGGCAAAACAAATGGTTTTATTATTATTTTTTAAAGCTATGGAATATTATTAATGTTGTTTCTGTATTTTTCAAATATTTTAATTAAAAAAATGTATTTACAACCATTGTTCAGGGACTCTCCCCTATTGCCACTTCAAGACACTTATCAGGGCATTTAATGCTCATTTAGATTTGTTTCAAGTATAAAATTAACCACAAAAGCAACTTTGCTCCCTAACTTAGGGAATAAAACTTCCTAAAAAATTTTATAAAGCATCAAGAGTCGCTGCATCTTTTAAAGCTGTAAAAAATCATCCATATTGCTTTTACAACAGGCCTATATACAATTCCTGCTATAAAAGCCCACGTAAGGGTTGAAGCAAAATTTAAGAGTTCTTATATTTATCTGTATGAATAAGATTTGATGACTGTTGGCATTCATAAAACTCAAAATGCAGGTATTCTGTATACAACCTGTTTATAGAAAGTCAAATTCCAGAAAATGATCATGCAAAGTGTACTTACCAGTGCTTATGCCTTCCCTTCACCTAACGCTTGAATTATAGGCTTCCAGAAATTTTTCTATCTTTCCAATTAAAAACGCTGCAGCCTGCTACACTCCATAAAATGGCCACGTTGCTTAACCAACAAAAACATGTTAGAGACTGAGCTGTTACTTTTAGAAGAAAAAAAGAAAATAAACAATTGCTTCTTTTGTGGTGAAGCATAAAACACTTAGGCTGGCATTTTGAATCATGGAGCTCCCCTGGCCGTTGCTATTGCTCTTCAAGTAGTTGTAGTAAAATTTCTGCCACATTCTTGCTTTCTGCATGGTGTCTCAGCAGTAACAGATCAGAACAGGCTAGCAAACAACTCCTTCCTAAATGTAAGCTCTAATTTCTTCTTCTGCAGTGAAATGAACGAAGTTTCTATGCAAAGGAATGAGTGACAGTATTCCCAGCCAATCAGCTTGGGTTTTTTCAGGAAAATCACCCCTTAATTCATTCAAAATTAGGTCATATGACACTATTTGAAATACTATTGGCTTACAATGAAAGTAATGTTTGACTTTACACAGGATAAGGCCACCCATCTATGCTTACCTGGGCTGAAGACAACTTGACTATAACCGGTACTGTGAATTAAATACACACACACATACAAGGGGAAAAAAAGAATAAAGCCTTACCAGAGCCTCCCAACTATTAAAGGGCCGGAGTTCTGTTATCTTCTGAGCCTTTTTCTGAGAACACTGAGGAATCAAAGTAAGTTCACCAATTGAAGCATCTTGAAGGAAGTGAAGAATTTTACCTTTATAGCCATCCTCCATCACTTCTTCACCACTACTATAGTCCTCATCTAGTGAACTACCGACATCAGAACCTGAATCATATTCAGAGTCTTCAACAACTCTCTTTGGATTAAAAACATTTTTTTTACGTTTCTTGTTAAAGCCATTTTGTGCTTTCATTGAAAATTTCTGTTTTAGTTTTGTTTTAGTTGCATTTTTAGGGTAATTTTGACTTCTTGAAGAAACTTCTTTTCCATTTGGAACCTCACTTTGTGATACATATTGCATATCTGTATATAAAAGACAAAAACAGTAACTAAATTAGAAATACATAAATATAAAGATAGACTTCAAATAAAAACTTAAAACATTTACCTATTCCTATTGAATACAGAAGAATTCAACGACAATTTATTGTTAAATTTGATACACTTTAAAAATACTTAAGTAGAATTTGAAGTTAAACAATTGTTTCAAAAGCAGGTGATAACTTGTTTTTAAAATGAATTAAATATAAATCTCTGTTTTCTAACAAAGGTCCTGAGAACACAAATGGCAGCTGCGTATCTGTATGATGTCTCAGATATTCCTAGCAGCCCCACTCAACTATGCCAACACTGAAGAATATAGCAGAATGATGCTTACACTACTATAAAGCTTACTAATAAAAAGTGTGTATGTTTCAACTATCCATAATTTTCCAATACTATCTTCAATATTCTAAGTTGCATCGTTACTTAAAAAATTATTCAAATAGGCTGGGCATGGTGGCTCACGCCTGTAATCCCAGCACTTTGGGAGGCCGACGCGGGCAGATCACAAGGTCAGGAGTTCGAGACCAGCCTGACCAACATGGTGAAACCCTGTCTCTACTAAAAATATAAAAATTAGCCAGGCATGGTGGTGCATGCCTGTAATCCCAGCTACTCAGAAGGCTGAGGCAGGAGAATCGCTTGAACCTGGGAGGTGGAGGTTGCAGTTAGCCGAGACTGTGCCACTGCACTCCAGCCTGGGCGACAGAGCAAGACTCCGTCTCAAAAAAAATAAAAAATAAAAAAAATTATTCAAATACAGTATTATCAAAAAGCCCCACTACTTTATCACTGATTATCAGTTTACAGAATTCTAAGATGCCTGTGAATGAAGGTAACACCATTATTTTATGTACCAGTGAGAAAACATGCACCAATCTATAATACAATACTTTATTCAGAAATTTTTACTTACTCAGAAAGCTATTAGACTTACACAGATTATCATACCTTTATTTTTGTGCATTTATAAAAAATAAGCAAAATGAATTGGCTAAAGTATTCCTCAAATGTTTTCACATTCATAACATGGCTCTTCTGACTCATTTTTCAAACTCATATTTGGTGGCTTTCTTTTTGCCACAGAATATCATTTTCTGTGCCATCAACAGTATTGGTAGTATAGCCTTTTAAAACAATTTATTAAAAACAAACAAACAAAAAAACCCAAACCAAAACACCAAAAGCTACCATGCTGGGTTTGCAATTATGAAGAGCTAGTCTACTTGATTCTTCCTTAGGTATGTTACTAAACATGTATGACTCAACTCTTCCTTACCACCTCTCCTCTATCATTTGGTTCCTAGAATTAAGAGTGTTCCAAAATGTGTTCATGCCTATGATACCCTTAAGTTTTTGATGCTAGTGCTTTTGATATCTGTGCAAGTATAGGCTAAGACATCTACATTACAGTAATGACATGATATCACCAATCACAAGATCCATCCTGACAGTTGTTAAAAAGGTTATTTTACACTCAATAAAACATGGCAATTTAAAAGTAGCCTTAACTATTAAGAAAGACTGAACAAATAGAAAAAGATATTTATTGTTTTGTTTTACACTATGATAAAGAACAGGCAGGTCAAAACATTTAAAAACTGGTTGTTAAAGAATGTTTTTACATCATTACTTTCAACATCTTTTGCAATCCCACCCTCTGATTAACAGCTAATAGCTTTTCTTATATACCATTTTCTTATATACTAAAATACAGACTATAATGAGAAGTATGTATTTTCTATGACCCAGAATAATTACCTTGGTCTTCTGCAAACACTTTTAGAGATTCTAAAGCTTCTGTGTACATCCATTCATGTTCCTTGAGTACTTCTCTAAGTTCCTAGAAATAAGTCATTTATCTTTTTGTTAAAAATCTCAAATTAGCAACTTGCAGAAAACGTCTATGCTCTTTTAAAAATAAGTTAATCACCTGAAAACAGAGAATTCACATCTGATTATTTTGCACTTGTTTTTACACTGCTTTACAAATGCTTTCTGTGTAATTTCACCTCCACAAATACACAATAGTCTTCAAAGGAAAGAAAACTTGACATTTTTTTGCATTTCTAATGCTCACTATGAAGTACTGTGAACACTAGAGGATCAAGAAATGTTTTCTCAATTAAAAATGAAATTTCAATATGCAGCTAGGCTTTTACAAACTGCTAACTTCAAAACGTAGTTTCAACAAAGGTAAAGAACCAATATTGCAACAAGATTTTGCATTCAGCTCATCAGAATTTAGTAGATGTACTATCTGAACATATATACTCAAATAAATCAGTGCAAGTGTAAATGTACTCTAAATGCTAAACAAATATGTGCTTCTATATATGATCATGGGATTAAACAGAGGGCCTTTTAGCAACAGGATGCGTGGCATGAGTCTTTTTTTTTAATGACTCTGAAAACATTCTCACTATCTGGGAAGTAGTAGAAAGCTTATAAAATATTAAGACACTGAAATGGAATACTTTTTAAATTCTTGTAAGAAATTTCAAGAATGAGAACATGAAAAAAACTAAGCAGTTACTTGATGGGGGCAGGGTTACAGATGACTTTCTAGATGACTTACATGTTATAAATGAGTTCACAATTTTTATTACGGTTATTTTTTAATGACTTAGGGATACAGTATAGATACTATAGTAAACAAGGTAAATAAACAACATAAATAAACAGTATGAAAATACTTTATAACATTGATAAAAGGAGAACATTTAATTAGAAGAATACAAAACTCACCCTAAGCTTTTATGTGGTTGAACTCTTAACACTATTTTATAATAAAAACACTTAGTACACACTGATTAAATTTTCATACACGACTACTCACCTGTTTATCAAAATTGGGAAATTCCTTTTGCAATTTCAGTACAATACTTTCCTGCTTTTCCCAATTACTGCTAGATTCTGCAGACTCATTTGATTCCTCTCCCTAATGGGGAGAAAAAAAAAAGAAAACAATTTAAGAGATATCAATAACAATGGTCTTAAGGCAATTATCATTGTATTTTGACTTGATCTGAAAATTATCATCATCAGTCAGAAGAATCCAAACTGTTTCTTTTTGTTTCTGTGAACATTGACATATTTATGTCTTTAAGGATGAAAAATATTGCTGACTTAAGATCACTGAAAGACCCTGATTGCATATCCGGTAACTCAAACTTTATTCTCAGTGCTTAAAATGAGATAAATCTCCTAAAAAACTAGAATGATCCTCAAATTAACTCAATATAATTCAAGTATACTGATGCCTTCTCCAAGACAACGGTAAATTTTAAAAGGATACAAATATCTCATCTATGTTCACTATTATATATCCACCTATAAATTTCAAATTCTGAGAAGAGTTTACTTTTACTTCACTCTTGATTCACAGAATGGCTTAAATATTAATTGTTCAGTCACAACATAAAACTGAAACAATGATAAAAGGAATTTAAGTGGAACTAAATAATGTATAAACCGAACAGATTAATTAATATGAGAATTGTGGCTATACATAGTCTCACTTTTCCTTCTTCTCTGTCACTTAACTTCACTTGAAGAAACTGGTTAAAGTCCACATTTAAGCAAAAAGAAAAGACTCCTTGTGTTCATGCATAGGAAAAATTTTAGTCAATCAAAAAGCATTTTTCTACTCTGCTTAGAACTGCACCACATGCTATACACACAAGATGGAGAAAAATACAATCTTCTTCTTCAACCTCCTTTATTATCCAACAACTGAATTGCTATTTTTCTCTTTCAGTACCTTAGATAGAAATAACTAAATTCTGATACCTCCTCTGCACAATGGAGTAAAATAAAATTTCATAAAACAGAGACCAATAAAATGCTATGGATATCTGGACTAAAGAAGAAAATTGCATGTGTTTCATAATACTAAGTGGTCTACTTGGGCTCAAATGCAGAGAATGTTAATAGGTTACAAGGATGAAGAATTAAACCAGAGCTAACATGGAATAAAGCCTAAGGTTAGTCTTTTTTAAGAAGCAACAGGATTTTGAGCAGGGGAATAATAAGACATACTGGTGAAACCCATCTGGAGAAACCATTTCAAAATCTTCAAAATTCATACTGCCACCTTTACAGCCCAGGCACACTGAAATTCCAAGAACAGTATTTTAAAGCTCACAGATGGACAACAACCAGCTGAGGAGGGAACAGATCCAAGTATCTAACTCTAGACCACTGCTTTTTCACTACATAAGTGAAAACTAAACTTCAGTTGTTCATTTGTTAATATATCAAATGTGCGTCATGGACAAATTGTGGTAAACACATAAAATGGAATATCACTAAGTCATAAAAAAGAATGAAGTACTGATACACACCACAACATGAATGAACATTGTAGTATATCTGAAAGCATTATGCTATGTAAGAGGCTAATAAAAAAGAACAAAATCATGTTCTTCGCAGCAACACAGATGTAGCTGGAAACCATTTCCTAAGCAAGCTAATGTGGAATCAGAAAAATCAAATACCACATTTCCCACTTATAAATGGGAGCTAAACATTGGGTACACGTGTTCATAAAAATGAGAACAACAGACACTGGGGAACACAAGAAGGCGGAGGGAGGATGTGGGGGAAGAGTTAAGGAAAACTACCTATGGAGTACTATCCTTACTATCTGGGTGACAGATTCATTCATACTTCAAACTTCAGCATCACGCAATATACGTTTGTAACAAACTTGCACATGTACCCCAATTCTAACATAAAGTTGAAAAAAGAAAAAACAAATAAAACACATTTTTCTGAAATTAAAAAATAAGAGGCTAGACATAAAAGGTTACATATTATATAATTCCACCTAAATGAAATGTTCAGAATAGGTAAATCCAGAGACTGAAGGCAGATTGGCGGTTGCCAGGGGTTAGGGGGAGGAGGGAATGGGGAGAAACTGCTTAATGGGTATAGCATGCTATTACGAGGTGATGACAGCGTTTGGAACTAGACAGGAATGATGGTATACAACACTGTGAATGTACTAAATAGCATTAAATAGTTCACTCTAAAATGGTTAATTTTATGCTATGTGAATTTCACCTCAATAAAAAAATACATAAAATATCTGGAAAACAGTAAACAGCTCTTCGGAATCAAATATTTAGTAGATGGTGTGCCTATCATGTGTTGTTTGCTCTTGGGTCCCACACTTATGCCAGCTCTGCTTATCCCTGGTGACTGAATATACTCATGTGGTCCAGGAGGTTACACAGACACTTTACAAAAGCTAGCTGATAAAATTTGGGACTGTATCTGTCTCAGCGGGCCCAAGGGATATGATTCGACCCAGTGCTTATTTTTCCATCTCCAGAATCATAGTTGGAACAGACATATTTGGCACTGGCAGAAATCCCATACTATATCAGTTCCCTGACCCATGATGTATGGGCTACTATTATAGGAAACACCAAATCCAAGTCCCTAGAATTGTCCCTCTCAATCAAAACAATAAGCAATTACTACAGTCCTAAAGGAACTGCAGATATTGACACCACCATCCCATCCCAATGTAAGATGCCTCCTTGACCTATACAAAAAGTAGATGAGTCTTGCAAGTATTTAAGAGTATCATAAACAATCAAACTCCAGCTGCAGCTGCTTTACAGGATGTGGTATTTTTGCTGGAGCAAATCAATATGGCTATGCAGTTATCAATCAAGTACTTGCTTTTTCCCCTTTCCCAATTAGATCAAACAGAAACAATCCGTTTTTATCTTGGCAGGTTTAATGATATACCTTCAGTCTTCAGAGTTAGAGTAACTTTCCTGGCTCTCTCAAATAATACAGTACTCATGGACTTAGATGGTTTTGCACAGTCTAGAGAGTATCACTTGATCCACTATACTGACATCATGTTGACTGGACTTGATACAGGTAGTGGGTATTTTCAATGGTACTGGTCAGATACGTACATGCCACATATCAGGGTGAAGGAATAACCATCCTCACTCTGAGGCCCACCACTTTCGTGGGAGTGTAGTCTGGAGCATGTTGCAAACTCCACTCTTAAGAAAAAAGAAAGGCCGCACCTATCTGCCTCTTTAGACTGGACATTGGGAGCTCACTGCACACTGGAGGCAAGATATACTTCATTAGGGTGTGTACTGCTTGATTCATTTTATAAAATACCTCTTAAGATTGTCAGTTATGGCTGGGCACGCTGGCTCACGCTTGTAATCCCAGCACTCTGGGAGGCTGAGGCGGGTGGATCACGAGGTCAGGAGTTTGAGACCAGCCTGGCCAACACAGTGAAACACCGTTTCTACTAAAAATACAAAAAATTAGCCAGGCGTGGTGGCAGGCACCTGTAATCCCAGCTACTCGGGAGGCTGAGGTGGGAGAATTGCTTGAACCCGGGAGGCGGAGGTTGCGGTGAGCCAGGATCATGCCATTGCACTCCAGCCCAGACAACAGTGCGAGACTCCATCTCAAAAGAAAAAAAAAAAAAAAAGAATGTCAGTTATGAATGGGGCCCAGGTTAAGAGACGGCTCTGTACCAGGTCCAGAGTGCAATACAAGGTACTCCGCCACTTGGGTTTCGTGACCAGCAGATGCAATGATTCTCCAAGAATCTGTTGCAGGTAAGGATGTTGTATGAAGTCTTTGGCAAGCCCCAGTGGGAAAATCGTTTTAGAGAGTTTTAAAGAAAGGTCATCATGTCCTCTTCTACTGACCACAGTCAGTTTTGCTGTGACACATATATTTCCAAAAATTACTGCATTATGCAAAATTGTTAAAAATTGCAGCCTTTAGGAGAAAAACTGTTAGAGATACAATGTCAAAAACTTCATCAGTGACATATAAAAAGAGAAGGCAATCTAATAAAAATGATACAATTTTACACACATTAAATAGTTAATACCTAAATACTACAATAAATATGAGCTGAAGTTTGCTTGTGGACATTGGAAGAGTTACAGCTTACGAGTTATTGTAAAGTGGCAAAAAACAGGTTATCTGAAAATGAATGGAAATTTTTAACACCAGATACAGAAGGTTGTAGCTCACTGTCCTTGTGTTATGTCTGCTGTACTAACTTAAAATATAAAGAATAAATAAAATTTCTGTGGTGTTGCCAGCCTCCTCCTTTTACACTAAAGCTGCCTGTACGGTTCCAAATTCATCCGGATGCCACACAAGACTATCCTAATATCTTCAGCAGTAAAGCCATTATCTTCAAGGCAGTCCAATTATTTTCACAGCATTTAAAACATCTGATCATTTGTATTACACTGTCATGGCATACACAGACTTCTGACTTTCATTATCACTGTCATCGACATCTTCTGCATCCATACAGCCATAAGCAGCAAGTTGCTGAATGTTTTCTGTGGTTAGATCATCAGGACAGGACCCTAGAAACTTCTCAATATCCTCATTTTTGACTGCTCCGAGTCCAAACTGTTTTTCTTAGATCAATATAGCTTGTTTTAAACTTTTAAAATTTCTCTGAAGTATCAAATTCTTCAAAATAAAGAATCAAGTCAAAGGCAATTTTCTGCCACACATAACACAAACACTCTCGGTATATTACTCCAGGCTTCAACAATGACATTGCAATGTTAAACCTCTTCCAACATTCTGTAACCACTTCTGCAACCCTGCCTTAGATAACAGCAATTAATATCTAAAATGTTCACTTTAAATAGTAAGCTATAAACACTGCTGTCACACACTTAAAAAGGGGCTGTTATCAGAGAGGTGGTTTTTGGAGGCAAAAGGAAGAATGTGACATAGGTTGAATTCTGCTTTTGTAGAGAGAGAGCTTGATACACTGTAAGAATTTTTAAAGTTAAGTTTTTTTTTTTTTTTAATGTTTTGGGGCATTCATCCTCTTTAACAGAGAAGAACTAAGTAAAAATATAAATGCAAATGTGGGCAGCCATCCATACATTTTTGCTATACCTGACATGAACCTCAAAGGCTGACGTTAACAATATCTTTTAAAAGGCTCAAAGTTTGGTGAGTGACATTATTGGCTTCAGCTTCAAATCTCCATTTGGCACTGGTGCCAAATATCACAGTTATGTTACCTTTAGGAGCCTTAAATCCTAGAACATGTTTTCTGTCTTTCATATTTGGGTTATTCGAGGCATGCGTTCATAACAGATATTTGTTTAATCAAAACCAAGAATTTAACACCATGCACAGCTGCCTTCAATTTACTTCCCTATCACTGCTGAAAAATTCTTTTGCAGCTTTCATATCTACACTAATAGTTATGTCTGACAGCCAAAGGCTTAGGAAACTGTAGCATTGTTTGTAGGAAACTGTAGCACTGTTTGAAATCATTAAAGCAACCACTACTAGCACTAAAAGGAGCCACTTATGCAGGGTACAGTGACTTCTATTTTAGGTCTGTGTATATAATTACAAAGATCTGTATGAGAAAGGTTGTTCCTTAAGTTTTTCACCCTTTGGTCTTGAATCCAAATATTTGACAATCTTTCTTTTTCTTCTGTTTCTTTATGCCTTGTTCTTATGGACTTTCCAGCACTCGAACCTGGTCCAGCCATACATACACTTTTATTTTTGTGGCATTATCTTTGATGGTCCATAATGTGGATTCCTTTATATCTGTTGCTTGGGATGTATCGTTATGTTTTTATCTTTCCAAATGTTTTCTTGTTTCAAGCTTCTCCTTAATACTCAAAACATTCCCTCTGCATGTACTGTGTGGCATTTTTGAACCAGAATGCTTAGGTAGGTTTGAGATGTTGAATGAGTGCTTTTTTCAAATAGAAAAGATCACAAATGTCAAAGAATAGCATATCACCACCTAACAGGATAATATACATGGTAAAAAGAGGCAGCCAGTGGATACTGGAAACGTGTGTGTTTTATGTGGCTTGGTTCAGCTGGAAGCAATTTTCTATGATCACCTACTATTTCTCATGGACAAAACTGCACATAAGCACATGCAAATTTTGGATTATGCTCAAATCGTTCTCTAATGTATTAACACTGGAATAAATTCACATTTTAAAAACAGAACTGACTGATGTATTTTTGTGAAACAGCTATTGACTTGACAATAAATCCTGATAAAAGCAGAATGGTTGACCACAGAACATCAAATGACCATGAGACTTGAGCCGTTATGTGATCTGGGTATCTGATTTACCTAGCCTAAAACGGAGCATTGGCAGCAGCAACCCATCATCAAGTAGAAATGGTATACTTGAGAATGGACTTGAGTAGGTTCAAGAGACACAAATAAATTGCATGTGCAGATGTCTCAGACTCTCATGGTACCTGCTTCTGCATCACTGCTGCCCCTTCTTCAACTATTACCTGAGGCATTATAAAAAATTCTTTATGACCTGATAGGTTGGGCACAGTGGCTGCCGCCTGTAATCCCAGCACTTGGAGAGGCCAAAGCAGGCGGATCACCTGAGGTCAGGAGTTTGAGATCAGCCCGGCTAATATGGTGAAACACAAAAATTAACTGAGCATGGTGGCACACGCCTGTAATCCCAGCTACGTGGGAGGCTGACAGGAGAATCACTTGAACCCGGGAGGCAGAGGTTTCAGTGAGCCGAGATCATGCCTGGGCGACAGGATGAGACTCTGTCTCGAAAAGAAAGAAAAGAGAAAATTCTTTATGACCTGATAAAGAGGGAAGAAATCCTTAAACTTCATTTGTATGTTGTGAGACAGGTCTCACTGTGTCACCCAGGCTGGAGTGCAGTGGCATAATTATGGCTCACTGAAGCCTCAACCTTCTGGGCTCAAGTAATCCTCCCTCCTTAGCCTCCGGGTAGCTGAGATTACAGCTGCATGTAAGCATGCCCAGCTAATTAAAAAAATTTTTTTTTTTTTTTTTGCAGAGACAGGAGTCCCACTATATTGCTCAGGCTGGTCTTGAACTCCTGGGCTCAAGCAATCCTCCTGCCTCAGCCTCCCAAGATGCTGGGATTATAGGCATAAGCTAATGCACCCAGCCTGAACCAGCTTGACTTTACAAAGGATTTGCATAATTTTAGAACCAGCCAAGTGAACAACTGCTATAATATAAACCCAACTCAGAGAGTAGCCCTGTGTACAACTTTGGGCAGTACATCTTGTTGCCCATTTTGTGTACCAAGAGATGGCCAGAGGTAGAGATCAGCAATGTATCAGGAACAGAGGCTAAAAAGAAGACTTAAAAAACTGGTGACCAGGAAGTCTGGGGAAGAGGTACATTGCTGAACATCTCAGAATATAAGTTATTCTGAAAATACAGCCGGGCGTGGTGGCTCACGCCTGTAATCTCAGCACTTTGGGAAGCCGAGGTGGGTGGATCACTTGAGGTCAGGAGTTCGAGACCAGCCTGGCCAACATGGTGTAACTCCATCTCTACAAAAAATTAAAAAAAAAACAAAAAAACAGCTGGGCGTGGTGCTGCACTCCCGTAATCCCAGATACTCCGGAGGCTGAGGTGCGAGAATTGCTTGAACCAGGGAAGTGGAGGTTGCAGTGAGCCAAGATCACACCACTGTACTCCAGCCTGGGACAGAGTAAGACTCTGTCTCAAAAAGCAAAACAAAACAAAAAAAAAGAAGTTATCCTGAGAATAGAATAGAAGGATAACGGTGTTTGTGTGAATGTTCAGCCAAGGGTGCACACGTGGCAGAGAAAATTTTTAAAGATCAGGTATACAAGATCATCCATTTTGTGAACACCAGTTAAGTCCACAGCCACTTGAATGCCTGCTCAATAGGCCCATTTACAAATGGCCATGGCAACTGGGCTTGAGTCTGTGCATGCAAGTCAACAAGGTAAGACTTTCTACACCAAGATTAATCTGGCTATTGTTACGGTCAGTGCTCAACCTGCAAGGAACAGAGGCCAACGAGTTCCCATTATAGCACCATTCCTTGGGAGATTCAGTCAACTGTCTGGTGGCAGGATGATTACACCTTCACGATTCATCATGAAAGATATAGTAACAGATAACCTGCTCTAAGTATGAATTTGCCTTCCCTATCCACCTGCTTCTGGAAACACCACTATTATGGGTTGTGTCCCCTCCAAATTCAAATGTTGAAGTCCTAATGCCCAGTACCTCAGAATGTGACCTTATTGGAGACAGGGTCATCAGTGAGACACTCAAGTTAAAATGAGGTCATTAGAGTGGGACCTAATCTGACTGTTGTCCTTATAAAAAGGGGAAATTTGGAGATGAACACGCACACAGTTCAGAGAACCCAATGTAATGAAGAGGGCAGAGATAAGCAATTAATACTGGATAAATTTAAAAGAAAGCAAAAACAGTCACAAATTATATGCAAGCACAAATTATCTGGCTTAGCTGTGAAAGAAAAGAAAGAATGATTCATTTAGACAAATTTTCAGGTCTGATATCCACAGACACAAAATAGTCTGTGCTTAAGCAGGCTTCATACTGGATAAATTAAAAAGCAAAAACAGTCACAAATTAAATGTAGACGTAAATTCCCTTAGTTGTGATAGAAAGGAATTCATTTAGGTGGATTTTCAGGTCTAATAATATCCACAAACTCCACATATCCTAACCTTAAGCAGCCAATTTTGATACTGTAATTCAAATGTAAACTTACATGATCCAGTCTTGTCTTTTTTATAGATTGATCATCATTAAATTCATCTTCCTCATATGGCTCTGAAGAAGAAGATAATTTTCTTTTCCTGGGCCCACCACCTTTTAAAGCAGAGCAGCACACTCAAACTTTGCACAGAAATAGCAAAAAATCAATTTAATGTAAAACAAAGGCAAAAATGTATTATAATGAATACTAGACAGTTCTCTTGATATCAGGCCCAGTGTTTGTTGTTCTACATATGACTGAATTGAAAAAAAAAGTAAACATTCTTTGCAGTCTTTCAGAAGTAGAAATCACTGTAATACTATATTCATAAACCATCACATTATTTAATCTAAAAATATACATCTCTAAATTGATGAGTAATTCTACAGAGCAACATTAGGAGGGAGGGATTCTTCCAAGTGGCTGAGTGTTGAGCAGTGAAATAAAGCTGACCCCCACCAAGTGTAAGTTATCTGAATACCATCACAGAAACCAGCAATTTCTGAGTCTACTATGTACCAGGCCTTGCACAAGGTCTTTTATAAACTATTGTTTCATTTACTTTTCACACACAAACCTACAAAGTAGGTAACATTTTTATTTCACAAATGAGGAGGATAGAGATACAGAGAGCTTAAGCAACAAATGCTTTTAATGTAAAAACAAGAGAATATAACATAGAGTACAGCAGTAACAGGAAATCTGCATATTGTCGTGACTGGAAGAAAACAAACTAGAGCTACATATGCTACTTATGTATGCTTGTATACATTATGTATATATTTACCTACTTCTTAAATACTTTTGCTTTCAGAGAACAAGTTTGTCAGACATATTGCTGTGCTACTATGAAAGCACCTGCTAAAGACTACAAAGGTTTAAGATTTCAGCATTAATTATATCAGAGCCCTAACTATGCAGCTCAAATACATACATACATGTCAGCTTAAAAATTTCATTAACATGGCTATTACAAAATAAAAATGGAATGTTATTAACATTTTAAAGCAGAGTATTTGTGTCACTACAAACACTAACCACAATATTCTAAATGTAATATTTTAAGTCTGAAAAAAACCTTCAAACCAGATAATCTTGCCACATCACCTAGACATGCTGAATTCTTTCCTAAAAAGAACAGAACAGAAGCCAGGTGCACAGCTCATGCCTGTAATCCCAGCACTTTGGGAGGCTGAGGTGGGCAGATCTCTGGGGCTCAGGAGTTCGAGATCAGCCTTGGCAATATGGTGAAACCCCATCTCTACTCAAACTACAAAAATTAGCTAGGCGTGGTGGTGCATGCCTGTAGTCCCAGCTACTTGGAAGGCTGAGGCGTGAGGATCACTTGAGCCTGGGAGGCAGAGGTCGTAGTGAGCTGAGACCGCACCACTGCACTCCAGCCTAGGTGACAGAGTGAGGCCCTGTCTCAAAATAAAAAATTAAAAAAAAAAAAAAACACAACAGGGCAGCTAGAGAGACTCCGGACAACATCAATAAATTCGTACTCTTATCTTCTGAAGTAGAGTAAAAACTTTGGATATACATTTTTTTGTTTCTGTAATTTCATATTCAAAAACAAACTTTCAAAACAAACAGCATAAAAACATCCCTAGTGTTTAATACGCAGGATGATACTGTCTGTTAAGACTGCAATTTGTGGTTAAAAGAAACAATGGGAACTGTCACAATTTCTGGATCTGTTAAAGATCACTTACAGGTATTTAAAAAGGTCTTTTGTTGAAAACTGTCCTAAAATGGCAAGTATAGTTTCCTGTCTCAATAACATAGTATACTGAAGATTAACCTTATCTTCAAGGTTAGACAAACCTGTCATTCTATATACTACCTCAAAGTGCACTACACTAAAAATGAAGATGTCTGATAAGACTGTTCTGTCCGTTCCATGATGCAGCATGGAAGTTTAATTAAAAAACCAGAAAATCCTAATTTTTTATTTCCTTGTAATTTGCCATTTAACATTTTTTTAATTGAAATAATCTGAAGTACAATGGAATAAGAAAAAGCTCAGCTGAAGTTAAATAAATTTAATGATTGTAAACTCTTATGACGGCAGAGGTTGTATCCACTGTTTCCTCATGTAACCTCAGTACCTAAGCCACAGCCTGTGCTACCTAGTAAAAGCAGCATAATAAATATTTGTGAAATTAATGAATAAGTTGAATAAGATGAATTGCTCAAGAGAAAAAAGATTAGATACCACCGTGGAATAAAGTAATTCCACAACCTGTTTTTAATGAAATGTTTATGGACTAATGAGATAATGTGAGAGCAAGAATGTATTGGGAAGCTACAAAACTTCCCAAGCTATTTTGCAGCTCAACAAATGTTCACTGAGCGTATCATTTTTCAGGAGGTTTTTTCTTTCTTTCTTTCTTTCTTTCTTTTGAGACAGGGTCTTGCTCTGTCACTCAGGCTGCAGTGCAGTGGCACAATCCTAGCTCAGAAGCTTTTAAAGTAAGTGCTAGGGACGAAATAATGAGGAAGACACAGCTAACATTCACCTCTAACTTTTTTTTTAAATCATCAGATGACCCTTAAACAAATAGTTGCTAACATTTGGTATGCACTCACTATGTACCAGGCACCATAAGAAGTAGTATACATTATTAGTTCTTCACAACGACCTTTGAGTTTGGCACTATTATACTACTTTACTGCTAAGGAAACAAAGACAGAAGAGTCAAGCAACACTGCTCAAGGTCACACAGCTATTAATAAATAGAAGACAAAAAAGAATCTTGATACACTGTAGGTAGCACCCACAAAATACTGTCTCCTTGCTCAAACTGGAGGAAATTAAAGGTTTAAAATATTTCATATGGATAAAATAAAAATCTTATGTAGAATCTACTTGAATACAGGCCACTTAGTGGAAGAAAAATGAGGTGGATAATTATTGGAGAATGATGGGTCCATGGGAACACATCGTTTTGTATTTTTGTACATATTTTAAACCTCGAAAAAATTAATAGTAGTAAGAATCCACTTAGAAAAATGAGCATTCAGAAACATACTGTTGATAAAAGCATAAACTGGCATAACCTTTAACAAAAGGACATGGAAATACATATTAAAATTTAAAATGTGCATACACTTTGCTTGAACATCCTAGTTTGAAATTTAGCCTATATAAATAACAGAAATTTTTGTTCTATTTATGTATAAGGACATTTACTTTAGTGCTATAATAATGAAATAATGAAAACGTAAGTGCTAATAGGGAAACAGTTAAACTAATCCTGTGGGTAGTCACAGAGGAATGTGAAGCTATCCATGACAAATTATTATATGATTTTTTAAAAGATGTAAACCAATATATTTACATTTTGTAACCTAATGTATGTGTGTTGTATGCCAGTGTATATAAGCAGGAAAAAAGTTGAGAATGACATAAAAGGTGGTTATAATTTAAGGGTGGTTAATGAAGTGTGGGTTTGCTTTCACTATTTAAATACTTTTTTAGTAGTAGGGTCAGGTGATTTTTACTTTTTTTTTTTTTAGTATGTGTAAGTTAAAAAAAATCGAGTCAGCATTTATTTAAAAACTGGACACGCTTCTATATTGCAAGCTCATTCAAATGCATTTATTTTTGTATCCCAAGCCCCTGAAACATGAAAAAATATTTACTAAAGGAATGTTGATTACCAGCTACGCCTTTCCCTAAGACATTATGTTCCTACTAAGATTCGTAAACCTATAATAAAACCACAATGCAACTAGAAATTATACTTTAAAAAGAGAGAAAATATATCCTACAAAACTTCACTGTTACAAGATTTGATTGGTAGAAAAGCAGTAAAATTATCAGTGAGAAACTTCTTCCCTTTTTAGGGAAAAACAGTGAAACTATTAATACCTCACAAATTCCTGTAAGAATTCATAAAGGTGTTTGATAAACTGTGGAGCAATATTAATGAGAAGGTACTATTATTATGACGTAACAATAAATCGACATGGCTTAAAATTAAGTCAAGCATACCTGCATCACCAAACATCAGCAAGGCAGCAGCAATTGCTCCATCCATAGTGCTTGTTGATTCAATCAACTAACAGAACGAGAAAAGATTAATGTTTTAAATCAGCACTTTAAGAATTATTTCAGTTACTGAAATATTTAAGAACAAACATATTAAATATAAACATGACAGGAAAGTATGTGTGTCATAGTTTAAGTTCATTAAGTCCTATGATAAATTTTCAGAAAATCTGTTTTATGTAAAAGGTCTGAATTTTAAGCATATTTTAAAATGTATCAGGTTGACTCATTCTTACTATAAAGGAAAAATTAAAACACAATCACATATATACAGTATTTTCTAGGTTTTTGCTATTTTAATTACAAAGTTTTACACAAAACTTCCTACTTAACATGTCCAGGCCACTCCGTGCCTGTGTGTGCATGCTCACGTTTGTGTATGTGTGTGTGTCAGATGGAGAGAGAAAGGGGAAAGAGGAGACTGACAGACATCTATTTACTTTTTTTTTAATTTCTAGGGGAAAAAGGACAATTCTGCTCTTTTAAAAAAATCTAATACTGCTCGAGATAAATGGGATAGGGGCTCTTAATTTTTACTCTATTTCTGAATTGTCTGAATCTTTTCAAGAACATATGCATATATTGCTTGCATGACATCATTCTAATATACTGTTTTTATACTGCTCAGTAATTTTAGATTTCAGAAGAAACTAAAATCCCCTATTTTTCTCCTATTATAGCTTCCCATATTTCAAATGA
This sequence comes from Homo sapiens, assembly GCF_000001405.40. Lineage (NCBI taxonomy): Eukaryota > Metazoa > Chordata > Mammalia > Primates > Hominidae > Homo > Homo sapiens. Next base: position 94,236,262 of record NC_000004.12, on the reverse strand, counting down.
GTTACTTGTTTTAAAAAGATCTTACTTTTAAATAAGCTACTTTTTGTATTAAATCAAGTAGCCTCAAATCAAAGTGCTCTCTTCCACACTAATTTTTCCTAATCTTGGATGCTAAGATATATCCTATTGGCCTTCTTCATTTTCAAAATAGCCAAAGCATATTCTTAGCAAGCTTAGAACTATTTCACAACCTCTTGAATTCTTTTACATGGATTTAAAACCTTTTGTTGAGTAATTTATAAACATTACCTTTAAATTTCTAGAACTGAAGGGGATCACTTGAAATAGAGATTACTTCAAGAGAGTGCTCTGGAGTGTGTGATATACTAAATTACACAATTTCAGATACTGATTTATGAAACATTCAGGGAAATTATGCATATCAATCTTATTTTTCCAATAAAATTACAAAATTAGAAAGATTTTTACAAGAAAAAAACTCTGAACTACATTAAAAATTGGCAATCAAGTGAAAGTATTTTTAAACTGAGATTTGGCCCTTTATGTTGAATATTTTAATACTCCATGTTTATTCTATTAGAAGCTCTTTCCTTATTACTGCTTTAAAATACTTTAGCCCTCATGTCTACATTTGTTTCCACAAAAAAAAAAAAAAAAAAAATTCACATTAGCAGACAAGTAACACTGCTGTCAGAGAAAATGTAGACTCAAGATATCACTAAAGTTTCATTTAGCTAATAGTAAGATGGTATCAAAATGATCTGGGTGGAAAAAAATCCAGTGGATTCATGTCAAAAATAACATAGATTAAAAATAATGTAATCTACACTTAAACTGGCAGGCACAGGACCACCTATGGTTCACAGACATGTGTTGTTTGGCTTGAATAGCATGTTTATTTTTATCTTTCTTTAAATTAGTTAGCATTAAAAGGAACAAAGTACATCCTGCAACAGCGACGAATCTTTTCCACTAGGTGAAAGCAGCCAGTCACAAAATATCACATATCTGAATCCATTTATATGAAATATCCACAATAAGCTAAAAAAAAAAAAAAAAAAAAAAAAAAAAAGGATTGGTGGTTGCCTGGGACTGGGAGAGGGACAAAACTGGAGAGTGACTGCTAATGGATATAAGGTTTCTTTTGGGAGTCAGTTGCATTATTTCATAAATATAGTAAAAACCACAAAATTGTATATTTTAAATGGGTGATTTTAGGCATAGGAATATAGCTGTTAAAGTGGTGACCAACCCTCAATAAAAATCCAGCCTTATGGCTTTATTTGAAAAATCTGAGTATCCAGTAAAAATGGGCTATCACTGACAGCTCACATGGCCATGTCCTGCTGAAGCTAGACAGCAGCTACCCCTTTAAAAAAGAATATGTACTCTATAGTATACTAGTCTCTACCACTTCAAAGTTACCTGCCTAGTCCATACAGATATGGTAACTCCTAAGCCTCATATGGTGAGGAGGAGAACTGGTAGTGGTAGCAGCGAAGACAGATACAAAGGTGAAAATACAAAGGACCTGCAATTAAATGATTCCCCTAAGATAATTCAACTAATAAGTGGCAGAGCTAGGAACAGACTGTTTATTAATCTTCAGAAATTTATTCTCTACCTAAAACTAAATTGGTCAATTTTTATTTACTCTTATAATTAGAGATACCTAAACATCACTTTACATTTCAACTATACTCCTTTGTTTCTGTAGTTAAATCAATATTTCTCAGCAAGAGTGCTACTGGCAGGACTATCCTTAGTTATGGACTGTCCTTAGTACTGCAGGGTGTTTAGCATCGCTGGCTTCAGGGCACTAAATGCCACTAAAAACCCTTGTCACAGTTGTGTGAGGTGGTTCCTGACATTTCTGAGTATTTCTAATGGAAATGGGGAGGTTATGCATTTTAGAAACATTCAAACACAAAAAAACTCACAACCTATGTTCGCTATTAAGGCTTTAATTACTGCACTATTTACAAATAAATAACCTCATCTATTAAAAAGTTAAGACTTTCAATAAATAAATGTCTGGCATTTACTTCCTTTAGATTTAATAGTTAATATCTTCAAACGTAAGATATCTTTAGAAAAATGACTATCCACTACTAACTATAGCACTGAATGCAGGAGAGATTTTATCATCATTACAGCTACAATAACCAATGAATATAACCTTAAGTAAATCATTGTCACTTCTTTGTGGAAAAAGTTCCTTCAAAGTCTGAAGTTTAGCATCTTTAAGGTCTTCCAATTCCGAAAGGTCTTCCAGTTCTGAAATATCATCATTTCTACGTGCCATGGTAGGAAGGCCTTGGGACTCTTCATCTTCAGATGGCTCAGAACTAAAAATATTTTTAGAGGAGCAAAAAACATTTTTAATGTATTACTAATGTTATTTCATTATAGTGTCTATGTGTATACATAGTACAACACATCTGCAGTTCTTTTCAATAGTAAATGCAATCTATACTTGTCAGAAAGAGACCTTTTTTTTCCATTTCAGTGTAGTTATGTGAAAAATCTGCATTACCAACATCAGTATACACTGAAAAAATCTCAACCCTGAGCTGGGATGGAAACGAACAAAAGGAACTTCCTAGCATTTATTTTGTTAGGACTCACACGCATTTATTGCATGCCCACTTCCTCTTTACTCATCTTCTTTCACCAATACTCTCTATGTCAGACGAAGTTATGCTACTCCTAAGAAATTATGAAGATTAAATGGATACAAAGATAAAGTAATTTTCAGGCCTACCTAGGTGTGATCAGGATCTAACTGCTAAAATCAGAATGGTCCCATTGAATATAGGAATCTCTGCCAGAAACAAAACATTTCCTCAGCAAACAGGGAATATTTATTTCATATGAGGGTTTATTCTCCAACAACTAACTTTATTCCTGTTCTATTTAACTTCATATGTTTATCCTTTATAAAAGACATTTTGAGTCAAATTTTACTCATTTATTCCCTAAACAAAAAAATCTCATTTTGAAATTTTGGTTTTCAAACATGGTAGGCACTCTAGAGATCAGAACTAGAACAGTAACAAATGAATGTAAGTTATAGAGATCAGAGAATGAAAGCAAGATGGGACTATACTTAGGTATAATCTTAACATTAGTGAACTCAGACTTTGCTATGCTGCTAATTCTATTTCTGAATAGCTCTCTTAGACACATATCTAGAATATGCAATTTCTCTATATGTACTCATGTTATTTCTGTTGTGTCCTTTATGGCACAACATGTGATGCCTAAGAACATCTAAAAGCAAATTTCCAAAGAACAGAATATGTGTGTTTTTTCTTTTTTTGAGACGGGGTTCCACTCTGTCACCCAGACTGGTGTGCAGTGGTGCCATCTTGGCTCACGGCAACCTTTGTCTTACAGGCTCTAGCAATCCTCCCACCTCAGCCTCCTGAGTAGCTGAGACCACAGGTGCTTGCCACCACACCTATTTTTGTGTTTTTTGTACAGACAGGGTTTTGCCATGTTTCCCAGGAGATTTTATCTACTGCCAGAGTTTCTGCCAGGCTTGTCTTGAACTCCTAGGCTCAAGCGATCCGCCCGCCTTGGCCTTCCAAAGTGCTGGGATAACAGGTGTGAGCCACCATGCCTAGCCAGTGTACGTATTTCAAAAGCTTCTAGGTTGACTTCCTGAGATCAGCTCTGAGAAACCGCTCTAAAGTAACGAGGCAAATACACCTCTTCCTTTATCACTATGCCTGTCCTTCAAATATTTGAGGACAATCACATGCATTTCCTTTGCATTATTATACCTAGACTTCTCATTCCTGATGTACTCAACTTTGAATTTTCATTATGCCTCTCTATATTCCCTGCTCCCTACTTGACCTTGCCTCTTAGGTGACTGAGAAAATGAAAGCATTCAGGTTAAAATCCTTTTATAATTCCTGCCCTGGATAACCACTTTCAAAGATATTTACTCTTCTGGTGGTCACAACCTTTATCCAGTGATCAGACTCAATGATCTAACAAATTCATGTGCCTCATGATGTAATAAATATTGATGCTGACAATGAATATCACTATGGCTTGGATTTATCTTCCAGACTACAGGAAATACAAGTGATAGAAAATAAATAATGTCATGAAGAAAAAGAAAAACCAGCCGGGTGCAGTGGCTCACACCTGTAATCCCAGCACTCTGGGAGGCCGACGTGGGTGGATTACCTGAAGTCAGGAGTTCAAGACCAGCCTGGCTAACATGGTGAAACCCCATCTCCACTAAAAATTAAAACAATTAGCTTGGCATGGTGGCGGGTGCCTGTAATCCCACCTACTAGGGAGGCTGAGACATGAGAATCATCTGACCCCAGGAAGCAGAGGTTGCAGTGAGCTGAGATCACACCACTGCACTCCAGCCTGGGTAACAGAGCAAGACTCTGTCTAAAAAGAAAAAGGAAAGAAAAAGAAAAATCTGTTTTTTCTGAGAAAAGACTTGATCTCTTTAGAGAAGCAGAAAAGGGGAGTGGCCCATTCTAGATTAACACAGTTGAAGCCTAATAGCCAAATGTAATTTAGATCTTGGTTTTGAAAAAAATCAGCTATAAAAAACATGAAATCTGAACCTAAGGTACAAGTTAAATGATATTAGAGAATTGTTCATTGATAGATGGCAGATACATAACCAGTATTAAGGGGAGAAATGCTGGGATGTCCGTAATTTAAAATACTTCAGCTAAAAATAATAATAGGTGACACAATAAACAAATAAGGAAAACAACTGTTAAATCTAGGTGGAAGGTATACAGGTGTTCTTTATATACTATTTCATTTTCTTGTGTGCTTGAAACTTTAAAAACAGAAGAAAAAAACCTGTAAGAACAACAGAGTTGACCACTTGCTCTTTTTTCCAGTCTCAGATAAAGAAGTTCCTTCCTGTTAAAGACAAAGTCCCCTCTCACTGCTAAGGCATTCTAGCCCTTTCTACATCTACAAGACTCTGCTCTAACTATCTACTATGTTTCTCCTGAATCTTTTCTCTCTTCATAAGCTCTTCCTCCCCAATCGGCAATGTGCTCAAGACTGCATTAATTCAATTAATTCCATGTGCCAGGGTTTCCGGGCACTGTGGACACAGCAGCAAGAAAAAAAACAAACAAAAAACCCCATTCTCCTCCATTTCACAGATTTTATTAGACTGATTTTCTACATCCTTTCTTATGGAGTTCTCAAACTTATTGTTTTTACATCTTTCGCACAACAACTCAGTGAAACTGTTCTCACTAAGGACAATAATGTCTTTTAAACTGCTGAATGGAATAAAAACTTTTCACTGCTTATCTAAGTTTTCCTGTGTTGTCCTGTACATTGTTGACAAACATATCCTTGAAAATTTGGCCCCACCCTCACCTCAGGGGTTCTGCAACATTACTTCTGATTTTCCTTTTACCTTTCAGCCTGTCCTTCTGAATCTCTGTAACAGGCTCTTCTTCCTTTGTTCACCTTCTTCAACTGCTGAAGCTACCTAGGATTCTGCCTTCAGTTCTTTCTTGTCTATGAATGCTTCCTAGGAGATTTTATCTACTGCCAGAGTTTCTAGCATACACATCAGTGGGTTCTCAAAGTTGGGGTAGGGGGTAGTTTTGCTGCAAGGGGATATTTGGCAATGTCTGGAGATATTTCTGATTGTCTTGACTAGGGAAATGCTACTGGCATCTGCTGGGGTGAGGTCAGAGATACTTAACTAACCATCCTAAATGTACAGGGCAGCACCTCACAACAAAGAATTATCTGGCTCCAAATGTCAATAAATGTCAAGCTTAAGAAACTGTGATAACCAAAATGCCCATACATGGGGAATGAATGAATAAAATAAGGAATGTTCACACAATGTAGTACTATGGAGTTGCAAAAAATAATAAAAATTTCTAGAACTGATATGATTTCCAGGAGATATATACATATATGCTAAGTAAATAAAAGAACAAATGAATATACACACATGTAGTATGCTATCTTTTGTGTAAGAAACAAAAAAAAAAATACACGAAAGTATGACAATGAACTAAACAAACTGGTTAGTTCTAAGGTTTGAATGGAGAAGGGACAGAAAGAGAGTAAGGGATCTGAGTATATCCTTTGTAGAGTTTTGATTTTTGGAATCTTGTTCATATTTTAAATATTTGAAAGTAAAATTTAAAAGAAAAGAACAAGGGAAAAACCCTAAAAGGAATACAAAATAATTAATGGTATTTCAAATGAATAACAAAACATTTAAATTAATTAATTAATAATCCAAGTGCATTGACTGTATACCCTCAATGGTCAAGTAGTATGGGTGTAGCTATTCTAAAACTATTTTATGCATACTTGATGACTGAACAGATTAGTAAAATATACTGATACTGGTAGAAGTCAGGGTTCTCACTGTCAGAAGAAAACAGAATGAGAGGCAAAGAAAAGACCTGTAGTGATAGATTAGAATTATCAGTATCACTGTAAACAAATGATTAAAAAAAAAAAAACACCACACATTTTCACATTTTTCCTTCTCTCTCTCCCTAACTCCAACCCCCTACACCCGAGTATTTCCTAGGTCCTTCTGCTGAAAGGGCAATGACATTAATTCCTACCTCACCAGCAGCAAAGAAAGAACACAGAAGAAGTTTCTATATTTCCAAGTATCATTTCCTACTAAAAAGAACCAGAACTACTTGGAGAAATTGCTAATTTTTATTTCAGGCTTGAGGTAGGAGAAGTAGAAGTCTGGGATACCTTGTTCCAGAAAGGAAAATGATAGGAATCCCTCAAACAAACACAACAGCCTGTTTGAAGAGGCCCTCAGCTGCCAAAACTGAGAAATTTGTGCACCAAAATGAATAATAATAGTACTAAATTATAAACCACTGAATAAGTACACATCTATAATTTCATTTTGATATTTATTGTACCACATAAATAAAAGCACAAATGGGGAGAAAAAGGAACATTACAGACTACCAAATACAAGTGTTAAGTTCTAGAACACTGGTTAGTATACCACATTTTCCCACCATCATTATCATAAATTAATCCGACAAAAATCAATAGATACTACAACTACTGAGTGAAAGCTGGCTAGCGAATAGGACTATTACCCAGTCTCAAAGTATCTCTCCACAGATAACTTATTTATTACAAAGGGAAAAATGGTAACTTGACAGACAAAACCTAGCAGGGGCCACGTTAATTGAGTCATCAAAGTTCAACAATAATGGGACAAATGGATATCATGTGTCTCCTGACACATGCCTCAAGGTGATATGACACACTGAGGACGACACAAGATCATTTAGGTAGTAGTATGTAGTAGTCTTTCCACTTAACCTAAATTTAACCATGAAGAAACATTAGTTAAACCCAAATTTAGAAAAATTCTAAAAAAACCTGGCCTATTATCTTCAAAGGTCAGTATCCTGAGAAACAGAAAAAGACTGAGAAATAGTTTCAGATTAAATGAGTTTAAAGAGATATGACAAACTAAATCCACTGTAAAAAAAAAATTACCATAAAGTACTACTGAAAATATGGTCCAGGGACTGACTGCTAGTTCTCCAACTGTAGTCTGTCCATGACAACATAAGGAACTAGCAACAGAACGTAAACAACTACGTTACTGAGCACATTGCTTAGTTCAGCTGTTTTTTTTTTTTCACTGCAAGATATTCTTGGTGAAGGAATCAGTACCCTGATTTGCATTCTAAGACATATTCCTTATTTATAAATCAGTATTTTGAGTAGCAATGCTCTAAAGGACATTACTGGTATAACTGGCAAAATTGAAATATGAAAAGTATATTAGATAATAGTACTGTACTAGTGTTAATTGGTATTTCTGGGTTTGAAATATTACTGTTAATATGCAAATGAATGAATGACCTTGTTTTTAGGAGATAAATGAGAAAATACTGCAGGCAAAGTGTTCAGTAGTTATTGTAATTGCTGTTTACGAAGAGTGATAATGCAATTGTGGGAAAATGCTAACAAGGGTAATTCTGAAAAGACTGTGAGAGTTGATAATGCATTTTTTTTTGCAACTTTTCTACAATTTTTCCAAAATATGACAATTTTCCTCAGGATTAACCATGCAGGATCTTCACTACATTTTATCTTGGAGTACATTTCAGAATTAGGCATGTTTATCACAGCTTCATGTGAAAAGTTCATTTTAAGATGAAGTCCTCATCTTATCAGAAGTAGACAGTCCGATCTCTTGCTCTTTCTTACAACACTTTATCTTCACTTAACTTCTAGAAGACCATGTAGCCTTTTACCTCAATAGCTGCTCCTCCTCAGAACCTTCTACAGGTTTCTTCTCATCTCCCTGATTCTAAAAATCCAGAGTTCCCCTAGCCTCAGTATTTCAACCAAGAGGACTTCCCTTCTTCAGCTATACTATACTAGTGTCCCTTACACTGATTTCATCTGATCATATGGCTTTAAATAGCAAACCAATACTCTGTCACCTAGTAAATTCAGACATGTAATCTCTCCCCAGAACTCAAATGTCCCAAATCTAATTATACCTACTTGACATCTCCATTTAGACGTCTAGGAGTGTTCTCAATCATAGCATGTTCAAGAATGAATTGCTGACTTTCCTTCAAAAGGTGTTTGCCCACCCACAGCAGAAACAGTCACCTTTATCTCAGTACCTAGTAACTCCATCCTTCCAGTTTGCTCAGGCCAAAAATCTTAGGGTGATCCTTGACTCCTTTATCTCCCAACCCACATGAAATCCAGCAACAAATCCTCTCTTGCTCCATCTTCAAAGTATATTCCAGAATCTAACCACTTATTATCCCTCCCACAGGCACTAGCCTCATCTAAGTCTCCATCATTTTTTGATGGGTTATTACAACAATATTTATGCTTTTACTACTGCTCCCTCACAGTCATTAAGACCTTTTAAACATCTAACTCAGATAATTTTACCTCTCTGTTCAATATTCTCCTAGGAATTCCCATCTCAGTCAGAATAAAAACCAAACAGCCTATGGAACTAATGTGATGAAGCCCCTCCTTCATCTCATCCTTTACACTATGGCTTCAGATCCTTCACTCCGCATCATGTCCCTCCCACTTTCCTCAAAAACACCAGGCATAATATAGTCACTGAACATGATATTCCCAATGCCTGGAATACTCTTTCCCCCACATCTACATGGTTCACTTTCTCACCCCCTTTATGTCTTTGCTCCAGCACTGTCTTCTCAATTAAGCACTGTCTTCTCAATTGAGGCTTTTCTGACCACGCTCTTTAGAAACCATTCCCTGACCCTCGAGCCAGGTGTGGTGTCTAACGCCTGTAATCCCAGCACTTTGGGAGGCTGAGATGGCAGGACTGCTTGAGGCCAGGAGTCTGAGAGCAGCCTGGACAACATAGCAAGACCCCACCTCTAGAAAAAACAAGAAAAAAAAAAAGAAACGATTCCCTGACCCTAACTCCCTATTCCTCTTCCCTTTGCCCATAACACTTATCTTTTGACACACTACATCTTTTATTACTTTTCTACCTGACTAGAATATAAGCTGTGTGAGGGCAGAAAGAAAGCTGGGGATGGTTTGTTCACTGTTGTATTTCTAATCATAAAACAGTGCCTAGCTCAGACTGTTTCCAATAAACATGTTAAAATGACTTGATTCATGGACTTTAGAATAAATCATAAAGCAGTTATACACGATCAAAGGTACTAAACAATTCTTTTAAACTTCCATAATAAGGAAATTAAGTATCTGCTCTCAAAATCACTGTTATCAAAAAAAAAAAAAAAAAAAAATCACTGTTATCCAGAAAACACACACATTGTACCTCTCCATGACTATAAGTTAGAGAAAATAACCAAGATGTGGCCAAGAAAGGCAGGTGGGGCAAAAAAAAAAAAGAAAAAAAAAAAAAGGGAAGTCACCAAAATATCTCAAATTAGGTAGGTTTTTTTCTTGGAAAATCTCACACACATGCAAATACAATATATCTATTAATCAGCTTACACTATAATCACTGTATCTTTGTTGAATGTTTTCTCTTGAACTGTATTGGAGCAATTTGGGGAAACGACATCTTCACTATCAGAAGACAAATCAATATACTGTATTCCTCTTTGATTTTTGAAATATGATATACTTGCTTTTCTTTCATTATCTGGAGTTTCTGGAACACTAGAATCTTCTGCAAGAGAATAAAAAGGAGAAAAATATTTTGAGCAACTGGAAAACGAATCTGTTGTTAGTTATAATCATGTGCTAAAATCTCAAATTTCATTCATTGTTTCCAATCTAAAAATCAAAATTCTCACCACTTTTTAAAGAAAAAAATTAATCATCAACCAGGGCTGGTGTTACATTTTCTGTTTCACAGGTTGTTTACTAACAAGACTTTAGTGGAAACTGCAAAATAACATAGGTTTGTGTTTTATATTCTAATACTTTCCTCTTGTACTTTTACTTTGTAGCACTTAGGTTTTACTTGAGACAGCATGAACACCACAGCCCAAAAGATTCCAATCCCACCTCTTCATCTTATTAATTTCTCTAAGCCTTAATTTCCTCCTCTGTAAATACAGATACTAATAATCACAAAGTTAATATGCATATAAAATCAGATTATATATGTAAAGCATTTAGTTCAGTAATTGGCACATAGCCAGCATCCCATAAATATTAGCTCTTATGAATATGTGGTGTATGGGCTGAACTGTGTACTCCTCCCCATCATTAAGTCCCAATCACCAATACCTCAAAATGTAATTGTATTTGGAGATGAGGCCTCTAAAAAGGTAATTAAGGTTTAACTGAGGTCATGTGTGTGGGCCCTACTCTTTGTGACTATATTTGGAGATTGTACCCTCAAAATTATTATGTTAAAATGAGGCCTACAGGATGGGCTCTGAGTCCAATATGACTGATGTCCTTATAAGAAAAGGGAGACACACCGGGATGCAAAAGAAGGAAAGGCCATTTGAAGACAAGGCAGGAAGGAGATCACCTTACAAGCCAAGGAAAGAGGCCCAAGAAGAAAACACATGCCAACTTGATCTTGGACTTCAAAGCTACACAATTGTGAAAAATAAATTTCTTAAGTCACCGAACCTGTAGCATTTTGTTATGGCAGTTCTAGAAAACTAGTATGATTGGTATCATCTGTCTGTTCAAAAACAGGTCAATAAAGTATTACACCAAGATCTCTTCTCTCCAAGGGGTAAATTCCAACATTATTTTCCCTTTTGCCAATAAAACCACCATTTACCCTTACATATTTTAGGAGGAATGGATCAGATTGAAGGGAGTCGTATTAAAGTAAACACAGTGCCTGGTCTAGGAAATTAATTTTAAAAAGCAATGACCAGTTGAATCTTTAGTTCAAAGGTTAAAAATGATAGCTGTCATTAATTCTCTCGTAGGTCATTATCAAGTCTTCAAATATAATAAACATTTAAACCTCACAATAATCATGAGGGACACATATCCCCCATGAAAGAGAGAAATAAACCCTGAGAGAAAAAGCAACTTGCCCAAAGTCATATAGGAGAAAGTAGATCTGAAATCCAAGTCCAAAAGTCTAAACTGTTATACCCTAAAACTATTAGCCACCTCCATTAAATCGTAACACTAAATTATAACAATCATTATTAGGGCTCACGAGCTGTATCTGTAAATACAGATTGAACATCCTGATCCAAAAACCCAAAATAAAAAATGTTCTAAAATCTGAAATCTTTTGAGCACTGACATGACTCCAAGAGTGGAAAATTCCACATCTGATCTCATGTGATCAAAAATGCTGTAAAAACTTTGTTTTACGCACAAACTTGGTGTATGTGAAATACAGATCAGCTGGGTTTTAGACTTGGGTTCCATTCCCAATCTCATTATGTATATGCAAATATTCCAAAATCTAAAATGAGAAACATTTCTGGTCCCAAGAACTTCAGATAAGGGATACTCAACCTGTAACAACAACCAAGTACTATACAACTACTATTTGCTCTAGAGAGCACCAAAACACAAACATTTCTCTATTTCCTACAATGCAGTCCTAGGAACAACAGCAAAAAGCAAATCATACTTTTTTCCAAAAGAACAATTTTATAAACATTGCATGCAAGTTGAGCAAACAACTCTGTAGTGGAATAAATCACATCCATGTTAATTGCCATAAACATGAAGAAACCTACATATTATCATCATACACAAAGTAATAAAACAGTCCAAACTCCTATATAGTAAGTATAGAGGTACTTTAGACTCTGATTTTACAGTTTTGCTGATGTATCACAAATCTAAAAATACATAAAACTAAAAATTTAGATCTTTACTGTATTAAAAATGAGAACTAAAGCTAATGCCTGTCAATTGAACACTTTAACAATAAAGTCCTACTTTCTGACACTTCAGGAAGACTATGAGAGGCCAGGTGCGGTGGCTCACACCTATAATCCCAGAACTTTGGGAGGCCGAGGTGGGCGGATCACAAGGTCAGGAGTTCGACATCAGCCCAGCCAAGGTGGTGAAACCTCGTCTCTACTTTAAAAAAAAAAAAAAAAAAAAAAAAAATTAGCCGGGAGTGGTGGTGCACGCCAGTAGTTCCAGCTACTGGGGAGGTGAGGCAGGAGACTCACCTGAACCTGGGAGGCAGAGACTGCAGTGAGCCAGGATCGTGCCACTGCACTCCAGCCTGGGCAACAAAAGCTTAACTCTGTCTCCAAAAAAAAAAAGAAAAAGGAAAGGCTATGAGAAAATGAATTGTCCAGTTTTCCTTAAAAACTCTCTTTATTGTTATTTATTTATTTATTTTTGAGACAGAGTCTCGCTCTGTCGCCCAGGCTAGAGTACAGTGGCGTGATCTCAGCTCATTGCAACCTCCGCCTCCTGGGCTCCAGTGATTCTTCTGCCTCAGCCTCCTGAGTAGCTGAGACTACAGGCGCCCACCACCACACCTGGCTAATTTTTGTATTTTTAGTAGAGATGGAGTTTCACCATATCTGCCAGGCTGGTCTCAAACTCCTGACCTCGTGATCCACCTGCCTCGGCCTCCCAAAGTGCTGGGATTACAGATGTGAGCTACCACGCCCGGCCCTCTTTATTAAAAATGAAGACAGGAGGGGTTACAGCTCAGAGGCAGAGCACTGGACTGCAGATAAAAAATGAAGAATAATCTTTTCACCTGTAGGGGGGTCTAAAAATTTAATTAGTGAGGATTAGGAGAACTAGAACTTCCTGAACATGACTCTTTATTGACCTTTTCTTTGTTTTTCTCCCTTAAACAGACTGTAGTACAAAATACATGGTGAAGACATAACAATTTTTATTTTATTTATTTTTTTTGAGACAGAGTCTTGCTCTGTCGCCCAGGCTGGAGTGCAGTGGCACAATCTCAGCTCCCTGCAACCTCCGCCTCCCGGGTTCAAGTGATTCTCCTGCTTCAGCCTCCCAAGTAGCTGGGATTACAGGTGCCTGCCCCGACACCCGGCTAATTTTTGTATTTTTTTGTAGAGACTGGGTTTCACCATGTTTGCCAGGCTGGTGTTGAACTCCTGACATCAGGTGATCCACCTGCCTCGGCCTCCTGAAATGTTGGGATTACAGGTGTGAGCCACCAAGCCCAGCCTCAATTTTTAAAATTAACCTTTAATATGCTTAGTTAACAGAACAGAAGAATACAGAAAAAATAAAATAAAATTTGGCTTACTTCCCATTATGTACTCAATTACTTAGCACTTATCAGATATGTAATATATACTCTCAAAATATATACATTAAACATGCAGACTGTACTGAACCAAGTGGCATCCTCACAGCCTGCTTGGCAAGTGATTAACAGAGGAAATAGTATAATGTTGGGGGTGGGGGGCTGGGTGAGGAAAAGCTATGATACAACATTTCTCCAATTCAGAACCCCTTCGTACTCTTTAAGTCCCAAAGAGTTTTTCCTTATGTCAGTTGTATCTCTGATACTTACCATACTTGAAAATAAAAGTGAATGTTTAAATATTTATTTACTTAAAACCAAACATTTCACATATTAACATAATATATTGAAGTAATGAAAAACATGTCATTTCAAAATATGCCAAACCATTGATATGAGTTGACAACACTGGAGAAATTGTAGTTTCAGAAATGGGTAGCTGACTCATCTCTTCTTGCATGCAGCAAGTCATGAAGGCTCCTCTGGGAGGGGTACCCTCTCCGTACCAGGGCAAATATATAGCCCTTATCACCAGTGACTGAGAATTGAGGGTTGCACAGACCTGATTAAATATACTTACCAAAGTAACACTTATCTTCCACCAGTTTTACACCCCCCATATGTCTCCTAGTGACTCCCCTAAAAGTTTGCTGCCCATTGCCAGATCCCCTTTGTCCTATCATTTCTTCTCAAATTTATTGCTCTTTGTCTAAAAAGTAAAAAAGCATCTTGCTTTGGTCAGTTCTTCTGATTTCTCTCGGGTAGATCTCCATGTACATATAGACCTAATAAAATGGTACGCTTTTCTTTTGTAATCTTCCTGGTGTTGATCTGGTTTCTAGATTCAGCCAAAAGAGCCCATATAAGAGCTAAACGGGAGTTGGAAGTGATCTCTGGCTCCCCTACAACATCTTCATGAAAACTATATATCCAAGCCACAAGTAATTTATTTAGTCAGATGACACTGTTTTATATTTGTCAAAATCTCTGGTTTAATACAAGATGGCTGGATTCTCATATCTGTTTCTACCTTTAATCTGTTGCAATACATTGTTTTCATTTCATTTTGTGAAAAAATTATGCCTCACAAAGTTATGTAGTTGGAGAAAGGAGGGGTACTTTCATAGCCTTTTTAGATTATTGTGAATATTTTTCTTTGATACTAAACCCAAACTTGACAGGTGGTAATTTCTTAGAGTTATTTGCAATGTGGAAACTGGAACCATACGAAAAAACATTTTGCATTCTATTACGTTAAAACCGTTAACCATGTATTATTTCCTAATACTGTGCTTTGGTCATTTGGAAAATACTAGTTCACTGAGTAATACACATCTTCCAAAGGTCGACACATTTCATGATATTATATTAAAAAATTACTTTTGTTAATATCACCATTGATCTTCTCAGAAATGTCTAAGTATCTGGAAGCTGTCAAACTCACAGTCATGGACACTAGTTTTCCAAAATTCAAACTTTCCTTTGAAAACTGGGGTTTTATCACTGGAAATACATACTGTGTTGTTTTCTTTGTATTACTTTGTTCATTTTGAGAAAACATCTGCCAAATTCCTAAGTTTGTATAACCATACTTTGTGAATCAGTGGTGTTCTGGGAAAGAAACGTGACTGGTTAGCACAAAGCAATTGCTCAAACGCCTTCCCTTGAGATCACTGTTGTACGGTATGCAGTGATGCGTACTTCACATTTTGTTTCACAAAGTATTAAAAAGACATCTCCTAAGTTGAGATTTAATAAAATTACTAATTTTTACTGCTTCAAGAGTCTTTAAGTGATACTGGCATTTACACAATTTTAAGAATACATTGACTACTAGAACCGTCTAGAGCCTTGGCCTTGATCCGTGGTGCTAAGGCACCAGCAATTTTACCTATGATTGCTTTTGCACCATGAGTGCAAATATCAATATCGTGAAAAAGGCAAGTAGTGTCTTAATATTATTATGACAATAGTTTTGATCTTGTAGACACCCTCAGAAGTCCTCAGGGAACATTCAAAAAGTTCACAGACCACACTTTGAAAACTGATGAGGGCTGGACACGGTGGCTCATGCCTGTAATCCCAGCACTTTGGGAGGCCGAGACGGGCAGATCACTTGAGGTCAGGAGTTCGAGAGCAATCTGGCTAATGTGGTGAAACCCTGTGTCTACTAAAAATACAAAAATTAGCCAGGTGTGGTGGCACACGCCTGTAGTCCCAGCTACTAGGGAGGCTGAGGTGGGAGAATTGCTTCAATCTGGGAGGCAGAGGTTGCAGCGAGCCAAGATCACGCCATTGCACTCCAGCCTGGGCAACAAAGCAAAATTCCATCTCAAAAAAATAATAATAATAAATAAAATCAGTAAAAGCCGTTTATAATATATCAACATACTGGTATAGTCAATAATCAGAATTAGAATAGTGCTGAACACTTAGATTTGTTTATCTGGACTATTTTCAGAAGTAAGCAACAGCAAAATAGCTAACAGCCAATGGCTAAAAAGATATTCCTGCTGCAATGACGCTTTTTAATTCAAAGCAAATAGGCACTTTTAAGTAGTACCATAAAAGAGACAGGAAGCAAAAAGGAAAACTACAAAAACAGAGGAAAGAATAGTGAAAAGCAGAAACAGTTATAAAGAAAAGACATCTGCTACTATTCAATTCTGACATATGCTGAATATTGTCTGTGTTTAAGGCATTGTACCAGGTGGGGGATATTAAAGCAAAATAATGGCAAGTTACAGTTCAACTTGCCCTTTTGAAATAGGAGTGAAGTAGCCATGTTCATGAGTAACTATGTTATAAGCATAATTTGTGCAATGAGAGAATACACAAAATGCTAAATGAACAGGAGGGAAAACAGCCTGTCCTTCCATATAAAAACAATAGGAAAAGCTAACTTGTTTTAAAGATATTTTCTTATTACCAAAGGTAATGGGAACTTACATTATTAGCATATGCAGGAAGACTCCATGGCCCTAGGGAGTAATTCCAAATGAAATTTCCCACCAGTGGTATGAGTGGTATGCATAAAAGAAGACAATCTTATATCCCAAGTTTATCCAGTACCCTTTACCCGTTCTCGTATCTAAGTCTACCATAAAACAAGCATTCAAGCTTGCCACTGGTTTTACCTTTTCGGTGGTCCAAGATCAAGGCTCCTTCAAACAAAAAATCACTAGTAGGAGATTAAGGCTCATTCGAACAAAAAAAATCACTAGTGGGAGATTATGAATTCACATAGAAATACTTTAAATTAATTTGATAATCCATAAACAAAGGTGATCTCCCAAAATAGAATAAAAACACCTAAACCTTTATACCTGTCTTGCAGAATTATAAATCCCTGCCGTTTCTGATATTCAAATCATGTATTGCTCTACACTGTTCAATCCTTTAGATGGCAACTGATTTTCAAGGCAGTTCCTTCAAATACCAACTAAAACACATCATATATTTGCCCTCTTAGAAGATTACCAAAATATGGCCAGGCACAGTGGCTCACACCTGTAATCCCAGCACTTTGGGAGGCCAACGTGGGCAGATCACTTGAGGTCAGGAGTTCGAGACTAGCCTGGCCAACATGGTGAAACCCTGTCCCTACTAAAAACACAAAAATTAGCCAGGCGTGGTGGTGCACATCTGTAATCCCAGCTACTTGGGAGGCTGAGGCATGAGAATTGCTTGAACCCAGGAGACAGAGGTTGCAGTGAGCCATGATCCCACCACCACACTCCAGCCTGGGTGACAGAGTGAGACTCTGTCTCAAAAGAGTTATTACCAAAACAATAGACTATAAAATCTGTAGTCTTAATTTGCATATCATGGTAGACAGGAAAATACCTTTAGCATCTTAATAAAAGATGAATCAAACTCTCTAATAAATACCCTAGAAAAGACAAACAATACACTAAATATAAGATTAAAGAGTAGTTTCTAATACATCATTCTAAGACAAAATGAGGGAAAAAACCCCATTTCAAATTTAAGTCAAAAGAAAGGGTGAAACATAAAGGAGTCTGGGTGCGGTAATCCCAACACTTTGGGAGGCCAAGGCAGGTGGATCACTTGAGGTCAGGAGTTTGAGACCAGCCTGGGCAACATGGTGAAACCCTGTCTCCACCAAAAATACAAATATTAGCTGGGCGTCGTGATGCATGCCTGTGGTACCAGCTACTCAGGAGGCTGAGTCAGGAGGAGGTCCCAGCTACTCAGGAGCCCAGGAGGTGGGGGTTGCAGTGAGAGAGATCATGCCACTGCACTCCAGTCTGGGGGACAGAGTGACACTCTATCTCAAAAAAAAAATAAAATAAAACAATTAATTAATTAAAACATAAAGGAAAAGAAAGTCATGCAATTAACACTGAACAAGGCAAAAGCGTTAAACCTAAAGGAGGGACTTCTAAATAATAGACTTTATACCTACAATAAAAATATAACTGACATATCCCAACTCCATACTAATAATGAAATGCATAAAAATTGTAGGATATATAAGGCAAAGAGTCAAGAGACAAATATGAAGCATTAACTTTTCTCTATGCTCTTAATAAAGCAAGAGCACAAAAATAAACAAGATGTAGAACAGTGTTTTTCAAACATTTTTGACTGAAACCCACTGTGAGAGACATATTTCAGATTATGATACTAAGCACACAGATTGTTAGATTTGCAAGTGTAACTGAAAGAAAATGTGAGCAGCTCTTACTATAAGCAATACACTTTGATAATTTTCTATTTGTTCTACTCCATTAAAAATTGTAGTTATACATATTTAGTCAGGACCCAAGAAATTGATTTTATGACACAATAAATGTTTATGATCCAGTTTGAAAAACAAAGATATAATAAAACTCATCTATTATTCGACATATAATTAAATCTGTACTTAGATTATGTTTTCTTTCCAAGCACCCTTGAATTTTTACAGAAATTAAATATTAGGCCACAAAGAAAATCTGAGTTAATTTCCCCCAAAGAAGAAATACTACAGACCACATTCTCTGGTCACAAAACAGTGAAATTAGAAGTAAATGTTAACAAAAATATGCAAGCAAAATTTCTGCCAGTTGGAAATTTTTTAAAAAGAGACAAAACCTCATAAAAATGGCTTCTAAACAACTTTCAGGTCAAAGAGAAAACAACAACAACAAAAACACATCAAAATCTAGGATACATCATATATATGACACTATAAAAATTAAAATAATCTGGTAAATTAAGATTAGAGGAACAGATTAACAGACCCAAAGATGCAAACAAACATGGGAATTTTAGACTATAATGATGACATTTTAATGTAAGAAAAAGGATTTTTCAATAAATGAAAAACTGACTAGTAACTGGTGAATAATGAACAAAGGAGAAAACGATATCACCCTTTCTTTAGTCCCTATAATGAAATAAAATTCAGAGGAGATTTAAAGTTAAAAATCAACACGAAACCCAAAGTGAGATACAAACTCATGTCCATTATGTTGGCTATTATCAAAAACACAGGAAATAACAAGGTTGGAGAGGATGTGGAGAAACTGGAACCCACCACACTGTTGGCAGAAATGTAAAATGGTGGAGCACCTATGGAAAACGGTATGGAGGTTCCGCAAAAAATTAAAAATAGAATTACTATATGATCCAGCAATACCACTTCTGGGTATACAACCAAAAGAACTGAAAGCAGGGTTTCAAAGAGAATATTTACACATTCATGTTTACTGCAATACAATTCAAACAGCCAAGATGTGGAGGCAATCCAAGTGCCCATTGATGGATGAATGGATAAACAAAATGTGTATATACACACAGTGAAATATTATTCAGTCTTAAAAAGGAAGGAAATTCTGATATATGCTACAACATGGATGGATCCTGGGGATGTTATGCTAAGTGATGATTCCACTTTAATGAGATACTTAGAATAGTCAAATTCATAAAAAGACAACGTAAACGGTAGTTGCCGGGGGCTGGGGGAATCAGAAATGAGGAGTAGTTGTTCAATGCATAAAGAGTTTCAGTTTCACAAGATGAAAAGAGTGCTGGAGAATAGTTGCATGACAATGTATATGTATTGAACTGAATGTACTGAACTGTACACTTAAAAATGGTTGAGATGGTAAATTTTCTTATGTGTATTTTATCATAATTTTTAAAATTAACAGACATACTAGAGGAAAATATGAATGAGTATATTTATAGTGTGGTAATGCGGAATGCAGAAGACTTAGAGGAAAGGATGAACAAGGTGACCACATAAAAATCTAAAATTTTTCTATGGCAAACAACAAAGGGGGTGCTATGGTCTGTTTGTGCCCCACTCCCCAAAACGGTATGTTGAAATCTTAACCATTATGGTAATGGTATTAGGAGGTGACATTTGCTGGAGGGAGGAAGGGGTATTAGGTGATGGGGGCAGAGCACTCATGAATGGGATTAGTGCCCTTATAAAAGAGGCCCAAGAGACCCCTCACTCATTCAGCCACATGGGGTTAAAAGATTGTGGTCTAGGAATAGGGCCCTGAGATACCTAATCTTGCAGCACCTTGATTTTGGACTTCCCAGCCTCCAGAATTGCCAAGAGTAGATTTCTATTGCTTATAAGCTACCCGGTTCATGGTAGTTACAGCAGTTCTAACAGACTAAGACACGTGGAATTTAAGATATACTTACAAATAATTTATCGGAGAGACATGTATTAGAAAAACAGAAAAGCATAAAGAAACACAAAAAATCCAAATGGCTAGTAAATTTATGAAAACATACTTAAACTAAAAAATAAAGAAAAAGCAACAATAACATACTTTTGCCTATTAGCTTATTAAAGATAATAAAGGTCTGCAATATTTTAGACAGGTATGAAAAAGCAGACATCAAAACCAAGATGTAGTCTGATACAAACTAGTGAAATTTGTGTGTAGGGTGAAGTGACAATGACTAAAATAATATTTCTATCCCCCTCCTCCCCCCCACCCCCCTTTTTGGGACAGAATCTCACTCTGTTGCCCAGGCTGGAATGTAGTGTAGTGATCACAGCTTACCATAACCTCAAACTCCTGGGCTCAATCAATTCTTCTGTCTCAACCTCCCAAGTGGCTAGGACTACAGGTGCACACCACCACACCTGACTAATTTTTTCATTTTTTGTAGAGACAGGGTCTCACTACATTGCCCAAGCTGGTCTTGAACTCCTGGTCTCAAGCAATCCTCCTGCCTCGGCCTCCCAAAGTGCTGCGACTCTACAGGCATGAGCCACTGTGCCCAGCCAAATACATGCACATTTAAAATGCACTTAAGATTCCTACTTACTTTTGAGTACTTATTGTACTTTCTGTTACAACAATTCAGCACTAACCCTTTAACTAAGTATTGCTTTTCAATTAACATTAACAGACATTAAGAAACCACAATGACTATCTACAGGTTTAACGATGGCTCACATTTTGGCCACAGACACCTACAAAAAGACTGAGTATTGCGCAATGGTCACGGAATTATGAAGCTAAAATGATACATTCAGTATCATCATTCAAAGGATAATAACCATTTTAATGTGGGCAAGGAATACAGAAAACTAAGCAAAGCCAGGAGAAGACTGTAAGACCCAAACAGTTGACTTTTTACTCAAGATCATACAATCTGTATGTGGCAGAGCAATACTCTCAGGAAATCTTTCTGACGACTGGTATAGTTTTAAAAATGTCTCTCACTTATCAACAAGTGCTACTTTCAATATGACAACCACCTTGAAAAGGCAACCACTCTAGAGGACTAAATCTATTTCAGCAAAAAAAAAAAAATTCATCAAACATATACTAAAACTTTCCTCCATTCCGCCAATGCCAAAATAATCTATGAACCCATCTATTTTTATCTCCTTCAATTATCCCCCCCAGGGAAAATATGTCTTTATTCTTTTGCACAGTTAAACAGTCCAACTGTTCTTCAGTTCTCATCACTTGATGCCTCTCTTCAGATACCTCCCTCCCTCAGTCCTTCCCTCTCCACTAGCTTCTTGTCCTTGGTTAACAAACGCTTGGCCAGGTGCGGTGGCTCATGCCTGTAATCCCAGCACTTTAGGAGGCCGAGGCGGGCAGATCTCAAGTCAGGAGATTGAGACCATCCTGGCTAATACGGTGAAACCGGGTCTCTACTAAAAATACAAAAAAAAAAAATTAGCCCGGCGTGGTGGCGGGCACCTGTAGTCCCAGCTACTCAGGAGGCTGAAGCAGAAGAATGGCATGAACCCGAGAGCAGAGATTGCAGTGAGTTGAGATTGCGCCACTGCACTCCAGCCTGGGTGACAGAGTGAAACTGTCTCAAAAAAAAAAAAAAAAACAAAAGAACGCTCAATTTTCAATAATCCTGAAACATATTTTCTTGACATTACTTCCCAATCAGGTTACCTATTTCTCTCTTTCCTTTCCTGAATGAATAATCTCTATCTCATCACCATTCTACTGAAACTGTTAAAGGTTAGTAGTTACTTTTAATTCCAAGGAAACTGGTCACTGATCAGTCCCCACTCAACTTGACTTCTCTACAGGATTTGTTACTAGACAACTAAATACCAAACTAGGTATTTAGGTATCCAGGACACTATCATTTTCTATGACTATTCTAGTCATCCTTCAAATTTTTCATTGGTTTTCCTGCCCATTGTCAAATGATGTTTTTTATTGTACACCCTGCTTAGGACATTGATGAGTCCCAAGTTCTAGGGTTTAGACCACTCTCTGAGCTCTAATATTCAACCATCTACTACCTTGGTACTAAAATAGGATGGGTAATGCAAACACAACATAATTTTTAGTATCTTTCTCCTAAACTCACCTCTTAATTCAGTCCATGGTGTCAATCCTCCAGCTGTCCAAGCAAGGAACATTTGAGTTATCTGTAAATCCTCCACATTCAACTGATCACCTAATATCATCAAATGCGTATCATTTACAACTCCCCTCAGTTGCCTCCTCTGTCATCTCTACAGTCATTTCCCTACATTGAGGCTTCAATGAATACAACAGCTTCACTAATAGCATTTCCATAATGAAATGCTCTATGATGTGTACCAAATAAGATCTACCGTCCCTGACACAGGATATAAAGGCCCCTCACAACCCAATGGTTTACACTTCTATCTTTTCAGTTTCATCTATATTGTCTAAAACCTCCTGTTCTATAATCTGCCCCCAACCCTCCACACACATATTAGACTCTTGGAGGCAACATATATTTTCAACTCTCTCATCATTTGTTCACCCAGTAAACAATGATTTCATTGTTTAGAGTCCACTCCAAAGGTCATATCTCTGTGACTTTTTGTGATCCTCCCCTGAAGAATGGATAATTCAATCATTTGTGAATTACAGATAGTGATTCTACTTTGCTTAGTATTTTGCCCTATTATATGGTTTTATCACACCATACTATTTTAACTATATATTTACATACCATTTTCTCCTGGTGCTCTTGGAGGATCAGGCTTCACTCATTTTTATTCTTTATTCATAAAATATAGTAGGATCTCTCTTCCCTTTCACCTGCCATTATTTCAATCCCTCCAAACTCACTGTACTCCCAAAAGTCAAAGAAAAAAAGGAGAAATAATGTGTAAATAACAATCATTGACAACTTTGGGCACCGAGAAGAGTAAAATAAATCAGGGGGCAGAGGTTAAGTGTATGCCCTCAAATCCAAAGGCTGGCTGGGATTTAGAGGGGCATTAGGGAGGATGTCCTGTACCAAAAGAAGCTTCAAGCAACCATGGCCAAAGAACACCTGATGGCTAAAGGGACTATTTTAAGGTCCTATTTTAAAATAAAGGTGTGGTGGCTCATGTCTGTAATCCCAGCACTTTGGGAGGCCAAGGCAGGCAGATAGCCTGAAGTCAGGAGTTTGAGACTAGCCTGGCTAACATGGTGAAACCCTGTCTCTACTAAAAATACAAAAATTAGCCGGCTGTGGTGGTGTGCACCTGTAGTCTCAGCTACTTGGGAGGCTGAGGCAGGAGAATTGCTTGAACCCAGGAGGCAGAGGTTGCAGTGAGCCGAGATTGTGCCACTGCACTCCAGCCTAGGTAACAGAGCAAGACTCCATCTCAAAAAAATAATAATAAATAAATATGTATAGGGCTGGGCGTGGTGGCTCATGCCTATAATCCTAGCACTTTCAGAGGCCAAGGCACGTGGATCACTTGACGTCAGGAGTTTGACACTAGCCTGGTCAACATAGCGAAATGCCGTCTCTACAGAAAATACAAAAATTAGCCGGGCATGGTGGCATGAGCCTGTAGTCGCAGCTCCTCGGGAGGCTGAGGTATGAGAATCACTTGAACCCAGGAGGTAGAGGTTGCAGTGAGCCAAGATTCTGCCACTGCACTCTAGCCTGGGCCACACAGTGAGATTGTCTAAAAACAAATAAATAATAAATAAATTTTAAAAAATGTATAAAGTACTAATAATGCCCACTCATCATGCAATAATATTTACTTCAATGCACTTATTGAGGGCCTACGACAAGCCAGTCGTTGCCCTGAACAATGGAGATAAATAGGTGAACACAACAGATAAGGTCCTGCTCTCATGAATCATATGTTCTAACAAGGGAGTCACAACTATATAATGTAATGTTAGCTAGTGATACACAACTACATAATGAAAGGTTAGCTAGTGATAAATACTATGAAGAAAAATAACAGTAAAGCTGGGGTAGGGTGGGCTGGGGTGGGTGGCTATTTCACAGGGTGATCAAGGAAGGTCTTCTTAAAAAGGTGACATTTTACTGAGATTTAATGAAACAAAGCATCTGAGTCATATGCAAATATCAGCAGGAAGAGTCTTCCAGGCAAAAAAGCAAATTGGAAGAAGCAAAGATGGGACCTTGCTTGAAAGATTCAAGAAACAATGTGGTGGTGGCACAGTAACTGAAGGAGGGTCATAGGAAATGAAGTCAACTCACTAGATAAAATAACAGGATTAGTCAAAAAGAGTGATTACAGGTAATTTTGACTACATACAATTTCTGTCCTGTAAGCTGACTTAGTTTGACCTGACACTTTACTGTAAATAAACTAACGCAGCATTATCCCACAATGGGAGTATGAAAAGTTACCACATGATAAAGAAGTAAGGTCAATAGTCACATCCTATTTATAATTCACCAATTTTCATCTCCAGTCCTGACCTTAAAATCTAACTTCAGTATCTTGTCCTCTCCAGAGATCCAACACTCAATTCTGAATCCCCACTTCCTCAGCAATCCCTAGACCCCAGGCTAAATTAGCACTTGGGGGCAGGACCTTTGATTTTTATTCTTATTTATTTATTTATTTTGACATGGAGTTTTGCTCTTGTTGCCCAGGCTGGAGTGCAATGGCACAATCTCGGCTCACTGCAACCTCCACCTCCAGGGTTCAAGTGATTCTCCTGCTTCAGCCTCCCGAGTAGCTGGGATTACAGGCATGTACCACCATGCCCAGCTAATTTTATATTTTTAGTAGAAACGGGGTTTCTCCATGTTGGTCAGGCTGGTCTTGAACTTCCAACCTCAGCTGATCAGCCCGCCTCAGCCTCCCAAAGTGCTGGGATTACAGGGGTGATCCACTGTGCCCAGCCAGACCTTCGATTCTTATTTGAATTCTTAAAGACATTTACCTTTTTTTTTTTTTTTTTTTTTGAGATACAGTCTCTGTCCCCCAGGCTGGAGTGCAGTGGTGTGATCTAGGCTCACTGCAACCTCTGCCTCCCAGGTTCAAGCAATTCTTGTGCCTCAGCCTCCTGAGCAGCAGGGATTACAGGCACGCTCCACCATGCCTGGCTAATTTTTGTATTTTTAGTAGAGACGGGGTTTCACTATGTTGGCCAGGCTGGTCTTGTGATCTCAGGTGATTTGCCCACCTTTGCATCCCAAAGTGCTGGGATTACAGGCTTCAGCCACCGCGCATAAAAATCTTACCATTCATCTTATCTCATTCCCATCAGGGATCTAAACCCTGCCCTTCATTACTTTGAAACCTCTCATATCTCTTTCTTCTCCATTTCTACCGCTATCATTAAGCTCAATTACAGGAGTTGCCTAAATGTTTTCTTTCCCTTCAATCCCTACCCTCAATCAGTGTGTACTAGTCACTACTGCTAAACTGACTTTTAAAACTTTCTTTCACCATTTTCCATTCACTCTGTAAGTTCTTCAATGGATATCTAATACTTACAATGTAAAATCTAAACTTCTCAGTTTTCAAGATTCTCCAAAATTCACAGTATCATTTAAAACAATCTTTTATTAAAGCAAAGTGCTCCATTCCTACAAGGATTAATTCTCAACATTCCTAGAACAAACTTAGTTTTCTTATTTCCCGAAGCCATCAAGGCTGATCATGTAATTCCTAAAGCAATCTCAGTTTTTAAGCAGAATTTATGTATGGAAAAAAGTCCCAATAAAGAGAAAATGAGTGTTATCATTAGAAAGAAATAAAAACAGAAAAATATCTTCTGATCACTAAAGGAAATTAAAGATTTCACATGACCAATACTGATAAATAACTAAAACATTCCACTGAAATCCAGTTTACAAACTGCTTTCACTTTCAGAGATGAAAAAAGTGTGGATCACAGATTTCAAATGACTTGTCTAATGTCCCACATTTAACAAAAATGAAGAAGCAGAAGCTTCTATGGACTCGAAATCCCATGTCTACACCTTGGCTTTCCTGAACTATCTAACTACAGAGGAAACAGACAAATATATTCATTGGAAAAGCATTAAAATACCTGGATGTCAAATATCTATTCAAAGAGTGAACACAGGGATTAAAATCCTGGTGCTTAAAATCCTTCAGTTGTTCCCTATAGCATTTAAATTCAAAACTACTTAGACAAAGCCTTTGTAAATCTGACTCCTAATCCAATCTACCAAATCATTCTGCCAATTTCCAATTACACCAAAGTATTTAAAAATGTTATTCTAATGATAACTTGCAGAGGATCTGCCATCATTATTACATTTAAGTAGAAGGGTGGCAAACAAAAAGATACCAAGGATAAACATGTGTGTTACCAATCTTTCAGGCTACATTAAGTTAAAAGCTGTTTACGAAACAGAGTTTTGCATAAAAAAAGATATTACTGAAATAAATATTAAAATATAACTTCCAACATTCCTTTCACCTTTCCTAAGAAACTAACTAATTAGTTTATGCTCAGGAATCATACTGCCAGGACTTGAGTTCAGGCTCTACCAAGTTCCTAATAACCTCTCTGAATCTCATTTCACATTAACCTCTATGTCAGTAATATCTACCTTGTAGGATTATTGTGCAAATTAAATGACAGAAGGTGAAGCACTTATCACTATTCCTATAATACAACAAGAGCTCAAATATATTCCTCTAATAGTTAACTGTTCAATGAACATAGATTCGAGTGGAAATCTTAATTTTTGGCTTATCCTCAAATACTTTTGTCTCTGACAATCTGCTGATGAGGTTAAAAATGTTCATTCACCATGAAGAATACCAATTACTCATTTGCATTCTGAGGACATCCAGGAAGTCAGGTGGATGCAAGAACTTGATGTGATCTGATCTTCCCTTGTGTACAGAGGTTGTCTTTAGGCACCTTGCTCAATGTCTAGCTCACAGTAGATGATCAATATTTTGAGGGAATACTGGAATGAATGAAAATGTCTGCCCAAATAGCCTCAAAGTTTATCATAGGACTGAATCACTGACATCGCTCTTCCAATAGCAACCGTTCTGACCTATGGATGCCCTAAATTCTAATTTCAACTTCCACCATGGGGCCATATTCGAAGAACTCATATAAAAGTGAGGCGACAATGGATGGATGCTCAGTTGAGGGTACATGGTGCTTATGGCAGTCCCAAAGCTGTATTTAAAAGGGCACACCGCAGGACAATGCATCAATATATATGACATCAAGAATAAAAATGAGAATCCCTTCTGCCTTTCATCTTTTAAAAACTGTCCTTGATGTTACATCAATTTTAACATTGTAACTCACCTGTTTTTTCAGTTATATCTGAATCAGGAGTGTTTGCCCTGCTAACTTCCCCTTCAGCATTCTCCTCTTCAGCACTAAGAGAAATTGGTGAAGAAGGGCCAGGCTGGGAAGGTTGAGGGGTTGCTTCGGGCGCTTCCTCAATCTTATTCCTTTTCTCAAAGCGAAAACGGTCCAGGTTGAAAAGATTCATATTGGTAGAAAGCACCACCTTGCAGGGATGGGGGCTTTAAATGAACTATCTGCAGGGGAAAAATAAAGAGAGGAAAAAAGGCCATGAAAACAATATACGATACAATGCCACAGCAGTTTATTCCCAAGGCAATAAAGGGCCCGCAAACATGCCAGTGGCTCAGGACTGTTATGGCTGCGCTTCATTGTTAGGCCGCAACAATTAGAAGGTGGACGGGGGTATCTTTTAAAATTTTCCATTGCTTTTCACTCCCCTTCGTCCGCCTCCCCCGCCCGCCCCTCCTTACTGAAACCACGAGCTGACCCTCATGCAACCTCCTCTTACCCAAGCACGCGCAGGCACGTTCCCCAGTATAACCCCCTAGCGGGCCTCGCGCCCGCCCACAAAGAGAAGCTCCCTGTGCTACCGTGCCCCCTGCCTCGAGAAAGGACCTGCCAGGGCCCGCGCCTCGACACTGCGGGGACACAAAGGGGCCAAAGAAGGGGAGCGGCGGAGGCCGTGCTGGCGGGCATCCGCCCGGAAGTTGACGCGGCGCGATCCCAGCTGAGAGGAAGCTGATAGGATTAAGAACACACAGGAAGGTTCAGAGGTGGAGTGCATGCTAAGGCATCTTTTTAACGTTCAATCGCTCGCTTGTTCTTTCTTCCCTCAGTACTTACGATCTTGTAGCCTCAGTGCTATGTAACAAAGGTTGAAAATAAAAAAAAAATTTCCTAGCGTGGGGCGACGGTAGCCGTGCCGGGACCTTCCAAAACACCACGGAGAAACCTTAAGAGCGCGTAATGATGACGCAACACGCAGCCTAGGCTTTTTCTTCCCAAACAACGCGCGAGCCGACAATGTCGAGGCGCGCGCTGTTGTCATGGTAATTCGTACCCGTCTCCGCCGGCTTGTAAGGGCCAGATTGTTCTGTACCTTTGTCCTGTTAAATTATCTAGAGAGTTATTAAATAGAACAATAGTAAATAGCATAATGACAAAAAATAACAATATATAATACAATTAGTATATATTGTATGTATTATAATCTGTAGTGTTTCACCTATAATATAATGTAGATAGCATAATAGTAATAATACTGTGCTAAGCTTTTTCAGTGTATAATCCCAATCCTTACAAGAAGCCTATGTTTACAAAGCAAAGAAACTGAGACCTGCAAATGTATAGGTAATTAGTGACGGATAAGAACCCCGGGATGCTGAGCTTCAAAGCATTTAAAGTAATTCCTCACTTTCGGCTTGATTGTTCTTAGAATGGAATTTGATTAATTAATTAATTTTTTAAAAATATTTTAATTTTTAATGTTTGCGGGTACATAGTAGGTGTACATATTTATAGGGTACATGAGATATTTTGATACAGGCATGCAATGTGTAATAATCATATCAGGGTAAGTGGGGTATCCATAACAAGCATTTATCCTTTGTGTTTCAAACAATCCAGTTATTTTAGTCATTTAAAAATGTACAATAAGCTGGGAGTGGTGGCTCACGCCTGTAATCCCAGCACTTTGGGGGGCTGAGGCAGGTGAATCACAAGGTCAGGAGTTTGAGACCAGCCTAGCCAACATGGTGAAACTCCGTCTCTGCTAAATATACAAAAAATTAGCCGGGCGTAGTGGCGGGCGCCTGTAATCTCAGCTAATCGGGAGGCTGAGGCAGGAGAATAGCTTGAACCTGGGATGCGGAGGTTGCAGTTAGCCGAGATCACTCCACTGCACTCCACCCTGGGCAACAAAGCAAGACTCTTGTCTCAAAAAAAAAAGTACAATAAATTGTTGTTGACTGTAGTCATGCTATTGTGCTATCAAATACTAGATCTTATTCATTCAAACTGTATTTTCGTACCCATTAACCATGCTCACCGACCACCGGGGTCCTCCCCCGCCCCACACTACCCTTCCCAGCCTCTGGTAGCCATCGTTCTACCGTTTCTCATACGTTCAATTGTTTTAATTTTTTAGCTCCCACAAATATAATAAATGAGAACATACCAAGTTTTTTTTCTGTGCCTGCCTTATTTCCTTTAATATAATGACCTCCAGTTCCATCCATGTTGCAAATGACAGGATCTCATTTTTTTTAATGGCGAAATAATACTCCACTGTGTATATGCACCACATTTTTCTTATTCATTCACCTGTTAATGGACACTTAAGTTGCTTCCAAATCTTGGCTGTTGTGAATAGTGCTGCAACAAACATGAGAATGCAGATATCATTTCGATACACTGATTTCCTTTCTTTTGCATATAATTCACCTATCTTGATGGAAATGTTAGCTTAAGAATATATACTCCTGGCCGGGCGCAGTGGCTCACGCCTGTAATCCCAGCACTTTGGGAGGTGGAGGCGGGCGGATCATGAGGTCAGGAGATCGAGACCATCCTGGCCAACACGGTGAAACCCCGTCTCAACTAAAAATACAAAAAATTAGCCGGGCGTGGTGGCGGGCGCCTGTAGTCCTACCTACTCGGGAGGCTGAGGCAGGAGAATGGCATGAACCAGGGAGGCGGAGCTTGCAGTGAGCCGAGATCACGCCATTGCACTCCAGCCTGGGCAACTCCATCTCAAAAAAACAAAGAATATATACTCCTGGGCTAGGAGCAGTGGCTCACGTCTGTTATCCCAGCACTTTGGGAGGCCAAGGCAGAGCTGGGGCAACATAGTGAGACCCCATCTCTAAAAAAAATACAAAGTTATCCAGGCATGATGGCACACGTCTGTAGTCCCAGCTACTTTGGGGGCTGAGGCAGGAGGATCACTTGAGCCTGGGAGGTCGAGGCTGCAGTGAGCCATGTTTGCACCACTGCACTCTGGCCTGGGTGACAGAGCAAGACCCTGTCTCAAAAAAACAAAAAACTAAGATATACTCCCTTTGTTCCAACATTAGACAAGCAATTTTCTGAGTTATAATTTGAGCTTCTGGTTGGCATTTCCCATAAAGAGGAATTGCTACAAATGATCATTCTGCCAGATATATTAGCCATTGTAAACTTAAATTGCCAGTTTGTTTTATAAGTCAGTGTTGTGAATTGTATATTTACAACACATACCCACAGTTTTATCAAATGTGGGCACATTTATAAAATCAGGTGTCTGGGCCAATAAAACTCAAGATCAAAGCCTGAACAATTAGGACTTCCTTTATACCTATCTTTAATATCCCATGAAATGCATTAGTTTTATGCATGCATATTAAATTATGTGATCAAAGAATATATTTACTTATGGCCAGGCACAGCGGCTCATGCCTGTAATTCTAGCACTTTGGGAGACTGAGGTGGGAGGATCACTTGTGGCCAAGAGTTCAAGACCAGCCTGGGCAACAAAGGGAGACTTCATCTCTCTTTTTTTTTTTTTTGAGACAGGGTCTCACTCTGTCACCCAGGCTGGAGTTCAGTGGTTCAATTGTGGCTCACTGTAGCCTTGACTTCCCAGGCTCAAGCGATCCTCCCATCTCAGCCTCCCAAGTAGCTGGAACTACAGGTACTTGTCTCCATGCCTGACTAATTTTTGCATTTTTTGTAGAGATGGGGTTTTGCCATGTTGGCCTGGTGGTGGGGGTGGGGGGAGGCGGGTTGGGGGCATCAAGGCTGCAGTGAGCCATGATTGAAAGAAAAAGAAAAGAAAAAAATATATATTTACTTGTAAGTAGTAAATTATTTTTGGTGATGAAGACAATTTGATTTCTATTTAGAGAGATCTGACATTGAAAATGGACTCCTCTAGCTGAATGACCTTTCTAAGTCTTACTTTCATCATTCTTTAAATGTGATTAACAATAATATTGACGCTTAGAGTGCTTTTCTGCAACAGTACCACCTCTTGACGTTATAGCTGGGACAAGATTGAAAATGAACCACATAAATTAAAAATGTCTAAATATTTAAACATTATAAATATAGCCAACAAAGTGTAAAAGTTAAATATGTTCTTCCTATTTTGAAAATACCAGGGAAGCCAGGTTGAATTTAGAATTTCTATTGTGTCAGAATGTGGGTTAATGAAAGAGAATTGATTGGCTCATATATCCTGCCTTGCTAGTGTCACCTTTTCATACACAATTTGATACTAATGGTATCAATAACGATATCATAATGGGCCATGTGCTTATGCACATAGATGCCCAGCATATGGACACCCAACTCTGGCCCCCAACTAGGGTTACCATATTTGTTTTTTTTAAAAAAGGGATGTACAGTTAAATTTGAATTTTAAATAAACAATGAATACATTCTTAGTATAAATTTGTCTGATGAAATACTTGGAACTGATACTAAGACATTATTTGTTGTTTATCTGAAACTCAAATTTAACAAGTTGTCTTGTATTTTATTTGGCAAACTTACTGCTCTCCCACTCCTTTGTCACCTCTTGGACCTTGGGGCCTTTTGGCTACATTTTTGGCCTAGGGTTATAGATACTGAAAGCACTGTTTGCCCTCAGTAGGAAGGACCTCGGGAAAAGTCACTGTTAGACTTCTTGGGGCTGTGTGAGCAAAGAATTTTAGGGACCAGGTACTCAAATTATTGTCTAAAAGTGAAGGCACAAGTTCTGAATGAACACGTCTTCTTGGCCCCAAAGATTCCTTTAGGGCAGGGCATAGCTGGAAAGAACTAGATTTTGCCCTTTAAAGCACTAGACCAGGATAGGGACTCCTTTTGACCAGTTCTAAGGGTAGGATTTTTCTGCAACCTTCATTGACCTGGGAGAATTATAATGATTCATGATTGGGGTTCTCTTTGAAAGTGAAGTAGAAGTTTAAGGGTATGTATTAGTTTGCTAGGGCTGGTATATTAACAGCCTGGATGACTGAAACAACAGAAATTTATTTTCTCTTGGTCCCTGAGGCTAGATTTCCACTCTCAAGGTTTTGGTAGAGTTAGTATATTCTGAAAGCCATGAAGGAAAGATCTGTTGCAGACAATAGATGAAATCAATGAATTAGCCAGGCGTGGTGGCACACGCCTGTAGCCCTGGCTACTCAGGAGGCTGAGGCAGGAGAATTGCCTGAACCCAGGAGGCAAAGGTTGCAGTGAGCCATATCATGCCACTGCTTTAAAGGGTGACAGAGCAAGACTCCATCTCAAAAAAAAAAAAAAAAAAAACAATGAAATATGAAGAAATGATAAATATAAGATTCAGAGAAGTGAGAATGAAGCTTTGAATAATAGGTGTAAACAATCATACATACTCACACACACATACCAAAAAAAAAAGAAATAATGAAAAACATAATAGAAAACGTTCATGGGCTTTCATTTAGTCTGCATGTGAAAGAGCTTAGTGAATTCAGGCAGAATCAATTGAAAGAGACTATACAGTAAAAATATCCTGCAGAATTTGTTTTAATTTCAAGAATTTAAAAAATGTCTTGCAAGCATTTTTCAGAAAAAATCTACAGCCTACAAAGGGAAAGAAATCAAGCAAAAGCTTTTTTGTTAAACGTCAGAAAGTAATGATGCAATATTTATAATGATTTGGGGAAAACGATTGTGACTCAATAATTTTCTAGATCACAAATATTCATTTGTGGAAGAAAAAAATTCAAACTTCTAGTTTCCTGAAAATATATCTTCCTTAAAATATTCCTAAAGACATAAATCCAGCTGACAATGTCAAAATGAGAATTTCAATATGGTGAATTCATGGTGTAAAAGCATTCTGTTGAGACTAAACACATGAGTTAATGATTGTAAATATGTTGTGTTAGTCAGCTATTGTTGTATAACAAACTACAAAATTTTAGTTGCATAAAGCAATAAGCTTTTATCTCTCTTTCATGTTTCTAGTGATTGGCTACTGTGGCTCAACTTCAGACTATAATGCCTGCACATAGTAGAGGATCAATGAATATTTGTTGAGTGAATTAATGATATTAATAACTAGATAAATTGTATGAGTATACAGATAACCACAAATAAAATGTAAGGCAAACTACCATTCAAGTGATATATGTCACAAAAGTACAACATAAATCAGAGTTCATAAATCTCAGAAAAGAAGTGACAGATCTCAAGAAAGGAAGAGAAAAAAATATATATATTTTAGAAATGGAGATTAAAGTAGACCTAACAGATAGATAGGCAAACATAATGGATAATGCCTTTAGAGGAATATAGTGTGGAAAGGGAAAATACTTTAAAAATAAAAATAGAAAGGTAAATAGATTTTTAAAAAATAATTATTGAAGATAAAGAAGATCCAATATAATTATAATAGGAGTTGTTACAGAAGAAAACCAAAGCAAAGGAGTAGAATAACTAAAAACTATCTTTCAAAAAAACATTTCCTGAAAACTATAAGGATTTAAAACTATATATTGAAAGAACACATCATTTAGTTAAGCATACCAACACAGATGGCCAACCCTAAGACATACTCTATTAAAATTTAGATTTTAAAGGAAAATAAAAAAGTTTCTTGGACATCTAGGATTTAAGATAATAAAATGTGATCCAAGAATTTTATATCAAGCAAAAGTGCCTTCCAAATATAAAGGCACAAACACACTACTAACATCAGGTAAGAATTCTGTGGGTATTGTTTCCATGAGTACTACTGAGGTATCTATCAGAGAATAAGCTTCACAAAACCAAAATGTCTATAGAGACAATGTTGTAAGGATATGTATTGAGCATTAACTATTGCAGAACAAAGATAATATGATGTTTAAAAGAAAGACAGTACAGTTTATAATGGTTATATGATCTGTCAATGTTCACCTCCTAAAAGGCAAAGAATGATAGGAACATATGAAAAAAATGTTTAACTGGTTTTCAGTAAAACAGTTGAAGTGTATTTAGTGTTGCTATCCTGAGACCAATGTGTGTATATTGTTGGGTAAAACAAATTAATAATTATATTCTAATTATTTCTTTTTTTTTCGAGAACCACAATTCTCAGAGTAGAAGAAAGGAAACAGAGATATAATAGAGAGAGGTTATAGTACAAACCCTACAGCGCAAGTGGAATGGTCTTTTATTTGAATTGGAAATATCAATATGAACTTATGAGATGTGATACACACACAGACACAATGTGTGTTTGTTTTCCATCTTTGTCCACCGAAAAGGCCTAGGAAGTGACTAGCCCAGTACACAGCCCTAGTACCATGATCATAATCTTTGAATATCATTTACTGCTAACAGAAACCTGGACTTCTTTGAAAAAGAGCAGATTACAGTATGCAATGGAAAATGCACAAGGTGAGACTGAAATATCTTCCTATACCAAAAAGCAAGGAAATTATCAAAGACCACTAATACCATGTCAAAAAGATTCAGAGGTCAACTTGAGGTTCCTACTGGCCAAAGATGGGGCAGTTTGAGCTTCAATGTGATTAAAAATTGCAGTGATTTGAAAGCCATCAAATATGTTGAAATCCAGGAGTTCTTACTGATTTTTTTTTAAACTGGTTGACTTTGGAGGATGAAAGGAAAACAATTTATTATCGTGAAAACTGATAAACAGATGGAAAGAATTAAGCTTTATCCTGTCTTTACTCTTTGAAGGCTTCTACTAGATAATTGAAGAAGAGGTAAGGGAAAGTGTCTCTTTATAAAAGTATTCCAACTAGCAAATGAGAAAAAAACTATAAATTGGAATTACTTAGCAAGCCTGGCTCATTTACAAAATCATGAGATATAAAAAAATGGCTATTGTTCTAAGCCACTAAATTTTGGGAGTAGTTTGTCATGCAGTATTAGATAATTGAAACATATCCAAATATTTTCTACATTTTTGTCTTGAGTGTACCAATTCTTCCAGTTAAAATTAAAATGTTTTCTTTTTTCTATCTTAAAATCCCTATACTCAAAAACTGCCTGAAAATCTTATGCTCTTTTTGTCAAGTTTTGAGTAGTTCAGTCTAAAAATCACCTTTTAATATACTTTGTGTCCTTACATTTTCTCTATCTTCTTTTACAGAATAATTATTTCCCACAATAGTGTCTAATTCTTCTTTCTCAGGAGTGTAAATGAGATTAAAGGCATCTCTTCTTTAGAAATAGCTACTGAATCATAGAAAAGCATCATTATTTCTAATTTTTGTTAAAGGGCTTTATGGGATTAAACATGGCCATTAAGAGAAACTTCCTAGAATATAGACCATAAAATAGAATTTTGTCAGCAGGGCAACTCAAATGTGGTTAGAATAAGATATTGCTTCAAGGGTCCCTATGGGGATAGAATTCACCTTTCTTTTATTCTTTTTCTATTCTTTTATTATTGTTATTATTTTAGACAGGGTCTCACTCTCACCCAGGCTGGAGTACAGTGATCATGGCTCACTGTAGCCTCGACCTTCCCAGACTCAGGAGATCCTCCCATCTCAGTCCCCTGAGTAGCTGGGACTAATGTTGCACACCACCACATCCAGCTAATTTTTGTATTTTTTCTAGAGATGGTGTCTCGCTCTGTTGCCC
The DNA here is from genome assembly GCF_000001405.40 of Homo sapiens. Taxonomy (NCBI): domain Eukaryota; kingdom Metazoa; phylum Chordata; class Mammalia; order Primates; family Hominidae; genus Homo; species Homo sapiens. The sequence goes on along the minus strand of NC_000004.12, from coordinate 94,199,968 downwards.
AGGTTGGCTTTGAACTCCTGGACTCAAGCAATCCTCTTACCCCAGCCTCCCAAAGTGTTGGGATTACAGGTGTGAGCCACCATGCCCCACAGAATTCACTTTTTAAATTAAAGTACTTATGTATGGCTGCAAGAATCATTTTAATTACCTGTTAGTTTTTAATGGGCTCAGTGAAAATGTTTGATAGAATCCTCAAATTTCTTAAATAGGAGAAAAGACTGTGGGAATTTTATTGTTATTTCTTTTTGCTTCATACTTACCAAAATAAAACCATGAAGCAATTTGAGGAAGGAGCAGCCCTTCCAAAATTGAACTGAATTGATTAAGAAACCAAACAAAAAAACGAACAGCAACAGAGATTAAAAATGAGATTTGTAAACTTGGATCCTTTCTTAACTTGGTATCTTAGAAATGTAAACCACACCTGGTTGGTAATGGAAACTTGTGTAAACTAATCTTGCCTCCCACACATGAATATAAAATGGAAAAGACAAGATACCAAGTCATAAAACTAAAAAACAACTTTCTTCCTTGGTAACAAGAAAGTAAGCCAAATATTACCAATTCGTAAGCAAATACTTCTTTAAGTAGAGTAATGATTCTTAATTTGGGAAGGTAGAGGGCATGGTTATAAATCTCTCTTAGGAATCCAAATTTTAAAAAGTCACAAACCCCTTCCAAAAAAAACTACATATGCACATGACAGGTGGCACATAATTTCAGGGGGCTCATGGAACGCTTCGTGCTCTGTGAGCTTCACATTAAGAAATTCTGACAAAGATGTCCACAATCCTCATAACTCTGGTAGAATTCATGGTGATTACATCCATATATGTGCCTTCTTAAAACTTCTAGCAACTATCATTACCAATTTAGGAAACTAAAAAATATTGAAAATTTTCATACTTTTGGTTTGGTAACTATCTGCCAGTTTTGCTAACATAATTTATTTTTTTTTTAAAGTGGGATTTAAATTCTAATTAAATTACATGATGCTTGATTTTTTAGAACTTGAAGAACAAATTCCATATTGTAACTCTTTTTTTTTTGAGACGGAGTCTTGCTCTGTCACCCAGGCTAGAGTGCAGTGACACGATCTTGGCTCACTGCAACCTCCGCCTCCCAGGTTCAAGCAATTCTCCTGCCTCAGCCTCCTGAGTAGCTGGGATTACAGGCATGTGCCACCACGCCCAGCTAATTCTTTTTGTATTTTTAGTAGAGACAGGGTTTCACCATATTGGCCAGGCTTCTCTAGAGCTCCCGATCTTGTGATCTGCCGGCCTCGGCCTCTCAAAGTGCTGGGATTACAGGCGTGAGCCACCGCACCTGGCCTGTATCCTTTTTCACTTGATTTTTAAAATCCTATTTTTTCCCTTCCTTTTTCTGCTTATGCATATCTTAAATTTTCAGGATACCCTCAACTGGCAAGTTGAATTCATGCTCACATATACACAAGATTTTACATTTTTTCTTCTAGTGGCCTTGCAATTCAGTTTCCTCATTACGTTATATAGTCACTATTTTTTTTTTTTTTTTTAAAACAGTCTTGCTCTGTTACCCAAGCTGGAGTGCAGTGGCATGATCTCAGCTGGGCTCACTGGAATTCTGCCTCCCGGGTTCAAGCAATTCTCCTGCCTCAGCCTTCTGAGTAGCTGGGACTGCAGGCGCACGCCACCATGCCCAGCTAATTTTTGCATTATTAGTAGCGACGGGGTTTTGCCATGTTGCCCAGGCTGGTCATGAACACGTGAGCTCAGGCAATCAGCACACCTCAGCCTTCCAAAATGCTAGGATTACAAGCGTGAGCCATCATGCCCTTCCTTTATAGTCACCATTTTGTTGTATGTACCCACAATGTCAGGATCGTGTTTGATACTTTGAATCATTAAATTCACATATATATGTCCAAATTTTACCACATATGTACTTGTGGTACCTTATCTTTGTTGTAGTAATTCTTACCTTGAAAATTATCCTCTTATATGTGTCATTTTGCAAAAGTCACATTTCACAATATATTCAACTCAAACAGGATCACTCTAATCACCCTAATCCTGTACGTATACATTTTTTCTTCTTGAAATGGTCTTTACAAAAAGATTCCAAGAGAAAATAAATTATTTCTTTTTTCAGCCATTTAAAATTCCACAAACATTAAACATAATTCAAAATTCTCTTACTGCCATATCTACTTAGATGTAATCAAATCACAGTTCTGAGAATAAGTTACATGTTAACATTTTACATTTTTTGCACAATGTATGTTGTCCAGACTATTCCTACTTAGATATTTGCTAATAGTGTAAATGCGTTATGTTGTACGTGTCTGTTCTCTTGAAGGTAGAAGTATTACTGAATCAAAAACATGGGCTTCCACAGATGGTCATAAAATGACAAATTTATAGTCAGCTATAATGAGGAAAATGAACTCTTAAGAAAGTAATTTCAGTATGCGGTCCCAAGTTCATTCTCTGGCACCTCCACCAAAAAAAAAAAAAAAAAAAGTAATTTCAAAATTACAAAGTCATTATGAAATTAGAGACACCTGAGTGCAAATCCTGTGTCTTCTGTTTACTAGCTGTGTGATATTCTCTCAATTCCCTCATCTGTAATATGGGGAAAATAGTACCCATGCTAAAGGATTTCTGTGAATTAAATTTGAAATAATTCATGCTTAGGGCCGGGACTGGCATATAGTTAAGACTACGTAAATATTTCTTATTTTTAGAATGGAATTTTATCGTACTTAGGAATTAAGCTCCCAGAAAGCAAATAAAGTGAAAAAAAAAAAAACACTTTGAATTAAAATTCTCCTTGTATTGTATACTTGAAAATTGTTGAGAGTAGATTTTTAAGTGTTTTTGCCACAAAACAATGATAAATATGTGAAGTGATGCATATGTTAATAAGCTTGATTAGCCATTCCACAATATGTAAATATGTCAAAACATCATGTTGTATACCATGAATATATACAATTTCTGTCAATTTAAAAACTAAAGTTTTTTTTAGTTTTTTAAAAAAACTAAAAGTTACCCTTGTAAATTTCATAAATCGATTATAAATTACAGTGTACATAGATTTGTATATGGTGCATAACTCCCATTAATTAATTTAATTAATCTTTATTCCGGGCCTACTCTGTTCCAAGGACTATAAGAGATGCTGAGACATGTAAGAATAAACAAGATTGATGAGATTCCTCTCCTCAGATAGCTCAGTCAGTGAGAAGACCTTAAATTACAAAATAGTGCAAAATATGCTATGATAGTGAAAGTATAGTGCTAGAGTGCTCTTACAATTTTTGTAGAAGAAGCCAGGGAAAAGTGACAGCTGAGTTATGAAAGATGAGTAGAAGTAAACCAGTAAAGAAAGTAAAACAGAGACAAGGAGAGAAGAGGCTGAAGTCCTTAAGAGCTTGTGTAGACTAGCGAACAATACATTCTTCGTTTCTTGACCCCAAGAAACCAAAGGGCAAGATCTCTGCTTATGCCTTCTTTGGGCAGACGTGCAGAGAAGAACATAAGAAGAAAAACCCAGAAGTCCCTGTCAATTTTGCAGAATTTTCCACGAAGTGCTCTGAGAGGTGGAAGACAATGTCTGGGAAAGAAAAGTCTAAATTTGATGAAACGGCCAAGGTGGATAAAGAACGCTATGATCGGAAAATGAAGGATTATGGACCAGCTAAAAGAGGCAAGAAGGAGAAGGATCCTAATGCCCCCAAAGGCCACCATCTGGGTTCTTCCTATTCTGTTCAGAATTCCGCCCCAAGATCAAATCCACAAACCTTGGCATCTCTATTGGAGATGTGGCAAAAAAGCTGGGTGAGATGTAGAATAACTTAAATGACAGTGAAAAGCAGCCTTACATCACTAAGGCGGCAAAACTGAAGGAGAAGTATGTGAGAAGGATGTTGCTGACTATAAGTCTACAGGAAAGTTTGATAGTGCAGAGTCCTGCTAAAGTTGCCTGGAAAGAAGTGGAAGAGGAAGATGAAGAAACAAGGAGGAAGAAGAGGAGGAGGAGGAATTAAAAAAACTGTTTATCTGTAAAACAACAACAACAACAACAACAACAAAAGAGAGGTTATGTAAAGGAGTTTGTCCTTAATCCTCAGGGCAGGGAAAATATCAATCGTTTTTTAGGCAGCTATAGTTAAGTCGACTAATGCTGTACAAATATTAATTTGGAATGCAGAAAGACTGGAGGCCTCTTTTTACAGAAAAATGACAGTTAATAAATGTAGAGAGAAATGATTGGCAAACCACTGCTTTGCAGCTTTAAAATAATAATTTGAGCAAGAATCATTAATGGATGGCAAAATTCATGGGTGAAAGGATGGTGGGGAACAAGACAGTCACATGAAGGTCTTCCAAGTTTTCATTCCACAGATGATTTACTAATTACAAAGAGAATCCTTACAATGCAGAGATCTGGCAAACTTGACATTATCCGCCCCCTGATGCAATGCAGCAACAAGTTGTTAGGGGATGAAGTGTGTGTCTCCAAAATCTATATGTCGAAGTCCTAATCCAATTCCTCAGAATGTGACTATATTTGGAGGCAGTGCCTTTAAAGAGGTAATGAAGAAAAAATGAGGTCATATGGGTAGACCCTAATTCAATATGATTGGTGTCCTTGTAAGAAGAGGAGATTAGGGGCTGGGCGTGGTGGCTCACGCCTGTAATCCTAACACTTTGAGAGGCCAAGGTGGGCAGATCACTTAAGGTCAGGAGTTTAAGACTAGCCTGGCCAACATGGTGAAACCCTGTCTCTAATAAAAATTCAAAACTTAGCCGGGCATGGTGACACGCACCTGTAGTCCCAGCTACTTGGGAGGCTGAGGCAGGAGAATCACTTGAACCCGGGAGGTGGAGGTTGCAGTAAGCCAAGATCACGCCACTGCACTCCAGCCTGGGCAATGCAGCAAGACTCCATCTTGAAAAAAAAGAGGCGATTAGGACACAGACTTACCCAGAGGAAAGATCATGTGAAGCCACCAGGAGAAGATCTCCATCTACAAGCCAAAGAGAAGCCCTCAGAAGATGCCAACCCAGACGACCCCTTAATCTTAGGCTTCTGGCCTCCAGAATTGTGAGATAGTAAGTTTTTGCTGTTTAAGCCACCCAGTCTGTGGAACTTTGTTAGGGCAGCTCTACCAAACTACTACAGAAGTACAGACTTTTGTCAATATTTTTGCCAAAAATATTTTGAATAATCTAGTTAGATCTCTACCTTACTTCCAATCTACAGGAAATACAGGAGATATAAGTATAAGTTAAATAACATAATAAAGAAGCAATCAGGCCAGGTGTAGTGGCCCACGCCTGTAATCCAAGCACTTTGTGAGGCTGAGACTGTCAGATCGCTTGAGCCCAGGAACTCAGGGCCGACCTGGGCAACATAGCAAGACCCTGTCTCTACAAAAAGATTACAAAAATTAGGTGGGCGTGGTGGTGTGTGCCTGTAGTCCCAGCTACTTGGGAGGCTGAGCTGGGAAGATCGCTTGAGCACAGGAGGCAGAGGTTGCAGTGAGCCAAGATTGTGCCACTGTACTCCAGCCTGCACGATGGAGCCAGAACCTGTCTCAAAAAGAAAAAAAAAGCAATGAGACAAAATCAGAATGTGGAACATTTTACGACAGCTAACCTGAACTTGTCAAACAAGGCAAAGTTTGAAAAACATAAACAAATCAATGTTGGAAGCAATGGCTATTCTAAATGAAAAGACATTAAAGAAATCTAATAACCAAACACCATGTGTAGACATTTACTGGAGTCTACATGGGAGAAGGAAGATATTTTTATAGTGTAAAAATATTCTTGGGACAATTGGAGAAATTTAAATATAGTTTGTATGTTAGGTGGTATTATGGAATTATTGTTCATATGCACAGGTGTAACGACGGTACTATGTTTATGTAGGAGAACGTCCTTATCTAGGTATTCATGCTGAAACATTTAGGGGTAGAGATGTTGCCAAAGTTACTTTCAAAAAGTTTAGGGGACTGGACGCGGTGGCTTACACCTGTAATCCCAGCACTTTGGGAGGCCAAGGTGAGTGGATTACTTGAGGTCAGGAGTTGGAGACCAGCCTGGTCAACATGGTAAAACTCCTTCTCTACTAAAAATAGAAAAAAAACCTAGCTGGGCATGGTGGCATGCGCCTGTAATCCCAACTACACGGGAAGCTGTGGCTTAAGAATTGCTTGAACCCAGGAGGGGGAGGTTGCAGTGAGCTGAGATTGGCCACTGCACTCCAGCCTGGGTGACAGAGTGAGCTTCTGACTCAACAAACAAATGAACAACAGCAACAACAAAACCACCCTCCCCCACAAAAAAACCCAAAGAGTTTAGGGAAAAAAATTTATAGATGTATATATAGAGAAAAAGGGGCAGAAAACACATTTAGCAAAATGTTAAATGGTGAATCTGAGAGATATGTGGGAGCCAATCACATTATTTTTCAACTTTTCAAAGAATTTTATTGAAAAACAACAACAACAAAAGGCCAAAGGCCACCTAAAGTTAAGAGAGAATGCCATTGTCATTTTCCAAGGGAAACATGACAGTTATCTAGACTAGGGTAGTGCTAATGGAGATGGAGAGAAGAAGATGAATTTGGAAACAAATTCTTAAAATAGAATTGACAGGATTTGCTGATAGTTTGAGATGAGGTAGGGGACATTGATTATGAGGACAGGAGAATTCTGGAATGGACAATGACGTAGATGGATGATGGTTCTCCTGACATAAGAAATAAAGGTGGAGGAGGAGGAGCTACTTTGGGGGAGATGATGAAATAAACTTTGGACAATGATAACCATCAAACAGGATTTCTAGACATACAAAGCTGTCATGATAACCACATTGTGGTGAGGACCTGCTTGGAAGGTCACTGATTTTTCCCTAGATGATGTTTTAATGTAGTTTTTTTTAAAACCCAGTCTCACGCTGTCTCACTCTGTCGCCCAGGCTGGAATGCAGTGGTGTGATCTCAGTTCACTGCAGCCTCTGCCTCTCAGGTTCAAGTGATTTTTCTGCCTCAGCCTCTGAAGTAGCTGGGGTTACAGGCGACCACCACCACTCCCGGCTAATTTTTTTTTTTTTGTATTTTTAGTAGAGATGGGGTTTCACCATATTGGCCAGGCTGGTCTCAAACTCCTGACCTCAGGTGATCCACCCGTCTCAGCCTCCCAAAGTGCTGGAATTACAGGCATGAGCCACTGTGCCTGGCCTTAATGAAGTTTTGTAAGACCAAGAATTATGCTGGGCACTTACAAATACATTGCACATATGGTCCTAATAGAGACCAATGAAATAGCTACTTGGCATGTTTTTTTTTCTCTGAGCCCTGGTTCCTCACTGTAAAACAGGGATAATACTTACATAAATACTTGTTATAATAAGTTCAGGAAAGCAGGAATTGTATTGTTTCCCAGGTGCCTACTATTCTATCTTTGTATATAGTAAGTGCTTAACAAATATATGTTGATTTAGCTACAACAATCTCTGAAATTTCCCCATATTCACCCTTCATTTTACCAGTAGACAGGCTTGTGCTATGACTAGTTACAACAAACCTAGTGATTTGTCCATGTCCTAAGATAAGAATCCAGGATAAAATAATGGAGTATATTAAGTTTATAAAAGACATCTATAATTTCATTAAATCCTGACTATAATCATGACAATGTTACTTCTTCATTTATAAACGAAGAAATTGACTCTTAGAAAGTTTACATGGCAGTGACTTAGCCCATGTTTTAGCTGGTAAGAAGTGGAACTAAGACTGGAAAACAGACATAAGCTGTTTCCAACTGCCCCGGGGTGTTGTAGAAAATGCTGGGTTTGAAAATTACAGAAGAAGAAATGAAACAACTGTGAATTATATGCAATACTAGACATTGCTTCAAGTAATGTACCATGATGCTTGACACAGGCCTCAAGTTTCACTTTTTATTTTAGGAATATTTTTATCATGTAAAAAACATTTTTGGGACAATTGGAGGAATTTAAATATAGTTTATATGTTAGGTGATATTATGGAATTATTGTTCATATGCTTAGGTGTAACAGTGGTACTATGTTTATGTAGGAGAATATCCTTACATCGCTGAGCGGAGATTGAAATTCATGAGAGGTGACGGTGCTGTATGTGCACGCCTGCATAGACACCACCTTTCACTGGTGATTAAATTAGAATAGTAAACATTTAAATTTATGTCCTAAGACAAATTTAAACCTAAGTCTTTAGAGAGGGAGAAACAGGTTAGTAACCCATCACAACTCTAACTCAACATCGGTTAATTTGTTGTCAGATTATCACAATTTTAAAGGTGTCTAAGGATAACTTGATAAATAGATCATCTTAAGGCACATGTAAAAAGGTCACAAATTTAATGCAATTTTTTTCCTTTTTTTTTTTTGAGATAGAATCTCACTTCCTCACCAAGGCTGGAGTGCAGTGGTGCTATCTTGGCTCACTGGAACCTCTGTCTCCTGGGTTCAAGAGATTCTTGTGCCTCAGCCTCCCCAGTAGCTGGGAGTATAGGTGTGTGTCACCATGCGTGGTTAATTTTTGTAATTTTAGTAGACACGGGGTTTCACCATGTTGGCTAAGCTGGTCTCAAACTCCTGAGATTGAGTGATCCACCCACCTCTGCCTCCCAAAGTGCCGGGATTACAGATGTTAGCTACCATGCACCGGGTCCAAAATATTTTATAAGTTCTACATGTTCAGAGTTTGGTTTCATTTGAAATTTCTGTAGCGCACTTGTTTTCTTCTCTTAATATATCTCTCAGACTTACTGGAAAGGCAGTTTTGAGTTAACTATACCGAAAGGAATACTTTATTTTTGTGAATTATAATGACTTGTACTGTATCAGAAGTAATACCAAAGTTGTCTCAGAATGATAGATATTGGCCAGTAACTTTTATACTTAGGCAAATTAGAATAATGTAAATAATTAGTAGAAGTGCCCCTGTTCAGAAAGCTCACTGGTGTATCTAAAATACCCACCATTAAAGTTCTGTTGCTGCTAAGCATTGCCCTGGTTTCAGATATCACTTTAAAAAAAGTAAGTAGTCCTAGCAAGGAAATTAAGTCTCAGGTAAATGCTTCATTGTATCTTTCATTAATTCATGTTTATTCCCTTATTCCTATGCAGTTTTTTGGGGTATAATATACATACAGTAAAATTTACATTTTTTAGGTGAATGGTTTGATGAGTTTTGAAAAATATATATGGTCATATAACCACCACCATCCCTGAGACATATCACCCCTGAGATATATCCCCTGAGACATATATCTATATCAAGAGGGTAATATATCATCCTCTTATCTTATTATCAGTCTTCTCCCCTCCTTCCCCAGTCCCTGCTAGCCACTGATTGGATTTATGTTTCAACAGATTGATTGAGATATGGCCTTACTATGTTGTCCAGGCTGGTGTGCAGTGACTATTGACAGGCTCCATCATAGCAGACTGTGGCCTCCAATGATCCTCCTGCCTCAGCCTCCTGAGTAGGTGGGAATAGAGGCACTCATCACCATGCCCATCAGTTTTATGTCTGATAGGCTAGTTACAATGCTGGGTGCTAGGGATACCAAGAAAATAAGACCTAGTACCTGTAGAGAAGGAGTTTGTCATTAAGTGAGGAGATGGACTTGTTAACAGAATATTACCACAGAGTAAATGCTATTACAGAGGTATGAATGACATACTTTGGTAGCACAAAAGGTGTAAGACTAACTGTGTAAATTGAGAATGCCTCATTAAGGAGATGGCTATTCAGTTGGGTCCTGAAAGGATGAGTTGAAATAGGGCAAACAAAGAAGTTGGGATAAGACTTTCCAGCTGGAACCAGTATCTGCACATAGACATTCAGTTATGAATGTTTCTGTGTCTTCTGAAAAGGAGGTGAAGATAAGTGTGAAATCGATCTGTCCAAGGTGTAAGTAATAAAAGGTTAATATTCTGGCCCTCATAAATTTGCACCCAATTTTAAGCTTCTAGACTCACCTGTATGCGTGAGCTAAAGGCATACTCTGTTATTAATGCTTCAGTGGCTATTTCTGCCTTGTGTCTTTGCAGTTTAAATTTAATTTTTAATTACATAATGAAAGGCTCGAGTTTGAATCATCAGCAAACCAGTGAGCAAAGTAATGGAATTTGAAGCATTGACAAATAGATAAGAAGCTTTTGTATTGGGGAAATTTTACTGGGTTCTCTCTAGTCTCATATTCAGTTATGACCCTCCCCACCCAACTCCATCCATACTGAACTTTTGCTCCTTCCGTGCAACATTCTCACCCTTCCTAGCCTTTAAACATATGCCGTTCTCTTGTCTTGGACGCTCTTCCTTGAAGGTAGGTTATCTCCACCCACCTTCACCCAGCTGATTGTCTTTCATGCCCTTTCTCAGCCATTCTCAGTGTTCAGAGAATACAGTATTTTCCTATTGTGTGTCCTTATCACTGTGTCATAATTGCTTGTATAATTCTCTGTCACCCCCCATAGACTCTAAGCTCTGTGACAGCCTATTGAAATGCTTTTTGAAATAGATGCTCTATAAATATTCTGGGAATGAAGGAATGAATAACTTGAGTTCAGACTTAAATTCACCCAATTTAACTGGATTAAATGAGAAATAATTTGGAAATGTATAAACGTACTTTGAACAATTTGGTATACAAACACCTTTGATATTTAGGGCTGAGTTTGGGGATTAAATTGTAAGGAAGAATAGAGATCAAAATGTAATTGGCTAAATGTAAGTCTTTTGTAAAAATTCTGGGAAATGCATATTAACAGCATAACTCCATATCCATTTTTGCAATATTTAGCCTACATAAGTTATGTTATTTAAGTGCATTTATCCATTTGATGAAGGATTTCAAAAGTGAGGGGAAAAAAATCATCATTCCAGCAATGATTTGCCATTACAGGCCTGAAGTGCCACAGGCACCAAACCACCCAAAATCTATATAGTATGAGTCATAAACCAAACAGGTCTTTACTCTGCCTGAATTCCAGTCCCTAATCACAAGTTAAATGTGAACATAATATTTTAAGATAAAAGAACTAATCCTACAAGGGACATTTATTTCACACATTTCTGTATATCTAGAGTAGCCAAACAATAACATATGTATTTAAATCATGAAATAGTTCATAATTAATATGGGTTCATATTCTAAATACAGTCTCTTTAAGGAAATAAAAAAAATTTAGAATCATTTCTAAAGCACTTTCCTCCTCAAAATTTTTTGTATTTCCAGTAAGATGGGGCAATTGGAGGCGGGGCACAGTGGTTCATGCCTATAATCCCAGCACTTTGGGAGGCCAAGGCAGGTGGATCACTTGAGGTCAGGAGTTCAAGACCAGCCTGGCCTACATGGTGAAACCCCATCTCTACTAAAAATACAAAGATTAGCTGGGTATGGTGGCGGGCGCCTGTAATCCCAGCTACTTCGGAAGCTGAGGCAGAATTGCTTGAACCCAGGAGGATTGTGTGACAGACCAAGACTCCATCTCAAAAAAAATAAATAAATAAATAAAAGAAGCAGCAGCAATTTGGCCTGTGGATAGATTGTGTTGTGGTGCGTAGTAGGCACAAATTTGTTGACAGTCTCAAATAGGCTCAAACAGGTATAAGGAAATCTAGAATCTAAACCCAGCTCAAGCTCCATGGGAGTAGGTAAATTACTTAACCTAACAGTAGACTAATAAATGATATAGATTATGTGGTATATTAGAAAGTGATCATTGCTTTTGGAAAGAAAAGGATAAGGCAAAATTGAAAAGATCAAGTGCGGGGGTATATGCTTAGGTGGGTGCTTTGCTTGACATATATGAGCCTTCAGTAAAATATTATCATTATTATTACTTTGGTTTTCTCATATGTAAATAAAAACATTAGGTTGAATGATTCTTAGAACTTGAAAAAAGTTGTGTTCTAGTGGGCTCTGTTGCAAACTCTTTAGAGTTATTCCAAGTTTTATAAAGTTATTATACTTCTATTTGTTGCTTAAACATTTTTTGTTTTCATGTTCCTTGTGATTTCTGTAAAACTGTCTGTCCTCCAATGATGTAAGAATAATCAAATAATTTTAAAAGTTAATTTTTTAACTGATATAAACTAAAAATACAATTTTTAGTGTGCTTAGGAAAAATTATGTAATAGTATTAGATAGTATCTGTTAGGCCTGTTTCCTTTAAATCTTGTCTTTTTGGTCATTGATTCATGATTATTTTAAGTTTTCAACAAATATTGACACACAGTCCTATTCTAACACATTCCTGTTTGAAATTGATGTAGTCATCGTCGTCATCTTGGAAATAGACATTTGCAGCACACCTGTTAAGACTGATTCCCAAAGACTGTTGAGCATCATAAAAGTAGTTGTTCTGTGTTGCTATAAATTGTAAGCTAGAAGACAGACTGTCAGCCCCAGATGAGTTTCTACATAAGTATTAATTTTTTTAAAAAATTAAAGAAAAAAGAAAAAAAGGAGAAACCCTCAAATATTTAAACCAACTTAATCATCTTGGGTTAATAGAGGACATGAGAAAGGGTGTATATAATGTATGTTGTTTCTATAGCAATCTTACTATTCCTTTGCCTACACAGATACCTAGATTCTAGCAAAGCAAAATGTATGATAGTCCTAAATGTTCTAATATCCTAATTATCTTCCATTGTTTATCCTCCTTTATTTATTTTAGCTGGTTTAAATTATACCTTCATGAGTTCCAGAAATTTGGTAGAAATATTTCAATAATTAAAAATATATATGTATTAGTTATCTATTGCCACACAACAAGTTACCCACCAAATCAGGCAGGTTAAAGCAACAAATGTTTATTATTTCACCTCATTTCTGAGAATCAGGAATCTGGGAGTGACTTAGCTGTGTGGTTCTGCATAAGGGTTTCTCAAGTTTTTAGCTGAGGCTGCAGTCATGTCAAGACTCAAGTAGGACTGGAGTATTGACTTCCAAACTTACTAATGTTATTTGCAAGCCACAGGTCCTCAGCAGCGAGCCTGCCTATCGTAGCTAGCATCTTCACCCAGAACAAGGGATCTGAAAAGAGGGTAATAAAAGCTGCAGTGTCTTTTATAACTGAATGTCACTACTGACATGCCATCACTTCTACTGTATTCCAGTGGTCACAGAGACTACTCCTAGTGCAGTGTGGGTAGGAACTACACATGGGTGAGAGAACTGGGAGACAGAGATCATTGGGGGCCATCATGGAGGCTGGCTACCACAATATATATTTAACTACTAGGTCTATAAAATGACCTGAATCTTAATAATAGTAATAAATGTGATTAATATGAAACGAGCTGGAATTTAAGATGAAAGCACTAAATAGGATAAATAAGTATATTAAATCATGATTCCTTATAAAATGCTAATGACGCGCCACTGCACTCCAGCCTGGGTGACAGAGCGAGACTCCATCTCAAAAAAAAAAAAAATGCTAATGACTTGTAGTAGATGCTGTGATACATGTTCTATTCATTCCCCATTTCACGACTGAAGCACTAAGTCCTTCTGACTGCTGGTAACTTACAGTTCCCATCCCAGCTGCATTCTCCCTCAAAAGATTGTAGACCTGCTGTCTACAAAGTCAAAGTGTGTAGGGAGGAGGAAGCCCGCATCGATGACTGATTACTGTGTGAATATAAATGTCCTTTTGTTTCAGTTCAGCACAATTCTGCAAGAATATTCCACAGTGGTTGATCCCCAAAGCATTTCTCAATGAACTCCCTGCACTCTCCAACTCAGAGTCAGCTTCCCAGGGAGGCCAAATTGCAACACTGAGAAAACTTCAGTGTGTATGTGTATTCATTAAAAATCAAGACTAAGCTGAGGTTCCTAGTGGGAGTTGGTTGATGGGGTTCTTTTTACTAGGTTCGTTTTGTTTTGCTTTGTGCAATCACATGTGCTCTTATATAACAATGTAACAGGGTCAGCGTGGTGGCTCACACCTGTAATCCCAGCACTTTGGGAGGCCGAGGCAGGCGGATTGCCTGAGCTCAGGAGTTCGAGACCAGCCTGGGCAACATGCGGAAACCCAGCCTCTACTAAAAATACAAAAAATTGGCTGTGCGTTGTGGTGCACGCCTGTAATCCCAGCTACTCAGGAGGCTGAGGCACGAGAATAGCTTGAACCTGGGAGGCAGAGGTTGCAGTGAGCTGAGGTTGCGCCACTGCACTACAGCCTGGGTGACAGAGCAAGACCCCATCTCAAAAAAAAAAAAAAGAAAAAGAAAAAATAGCTGGGTGTGGTGGCACACGCCTTTAAGTCCCAGCTACTCAGGAGGCTGAGGTGGGAGAACCACTTGAGCCTGGGAAGCAGAGGTTGCAGTGAGTGGAGACTGCACCACACTGCACTCCAGCTTGGGTGACAGAGCCAGACCCTATCTAAAACATATATATATATATATATATATATATATATATATATATATATACACATAAAATATATATATACACAAATATATATAAATACATGTTTTATACATGCATATAAAACAAATGGAAGTGAGAAACTTTACTCAGCTTGGATACTGTGATAAATGTTCATCATATTCAAATATAAACATGTACAATACATATGCTAATATACATATACATATATAGTGGGATGTTATGGTTGCAAGATTGTGGAGACACTTTCCTGCATCTTGCATTTCTTGTTAGAAATACTTTCTGGAAACCTTTCTATGTCAATAGCTCTAATTCTTTATTTTTAATGATTACATAATATTTCATGGTGCAAACGTACCATTATCTCTTCAGAGGTAACATTGTGTAATGAAAAGGAGCTTTAAAAATGGTTGTTCTTACTCTTCTTGATCTAGTGCACCTGGAAGCTCTCAGCCAAGGGAGCTCCACTTGCAAATTGATTGGTTGCTACTGGAAGGGACAGATTATCCCTTTGTGATAACTCTTTTTCAAGTGGGAAAAAATGCCAAATATTTGGAAATAATAGCTGAGGTTCATAGGAATCATGATTATAAGGATTTGTCAGGTTGCTTGATTTGAAGAGTACTTAAAGATATTTAATCTTTCTAAAATCACAGATCTTAATCTTGTTTTAAAGCTTAAGACTCTTCAAGACTTCCATTCCCCTTAGACGATCGAAATTCCTTAAACCAGCTTATTAGGCATTTCAAAACCTGTCTAGTTCTCTGTAGCCATATCTCCTCCTTTGCACTCAATTCTTAAACCACTCTGAACTATTGAACGTTACCTTTGAAGCTTGATTATGTAACCGATTTCTGCACTTTTTAATATGCTTATTATCCCTTTGAACTATCCTACTCATTGCCTTCCTAATTTTTATTCATTTTTCAAGTCTTGACCTTGTCATCACCTTCCTTGAAATGCCTTAGCTTGATTTCTATATCTGTTAAGGACTCTTTACTAAGTGCTGCCACAATGCCTATTATTGCAATTATTTATTCAATTATACATCCTTCCTGGACTCCTACATCCCAGAGAGAGTGTCTGTTTGCTGCATATCCCCAGTACCTGGCACATAAGAGGTGCTCAATACAAGCTGTTGAATGAATGAATGACAAAAAACAAAGGCTGCTAAGAAGAATGTAAGGCTGATTTGGGAACTAAGGAGATAACCTATCCAAACAGGTAAAGGTGCCACACATTGAATTTAATGTTTAGCAATCCACGGTGAAGAAATTTATTATTATTATTATTATTATTATACTTTAAGTTTTAGGGTACATGTGCACAGCGTGCAGATTTGTTACATATGTATACGTGTGCCATGTTGGTGTGCTGCACCCATTAACTCATCATTTAGCATTAGGTATATCTCCTAATGCTATCCCTCCCCCCTCCCCCCACCCCACAACTATCCCCGGTGTGTGATGTTCCCCTTCCTGTGTCCATGTGTTCTCATTGTTCAATTCCCACCTATGAGTGAGAACATGCAGTGTTTGGTTTTCTGTCCTTGCGATAGTTTGCTGAGAATGATGGTTTCCACCTTCATCCATGTCCCTACAAAGGACATGATCTCATCATTTTTTATGGCTGCATAGCATTCCATGGTGTATATGTGCCACATTTTCTTAATCCAAGAAATTTGTTAATCTTTGATGAAATGATTCAGCAATGTTTTATAATTAAAATACCAATAACTGCATGATTTTATAAGTATGGACCAAATAGAGGACCAAAATATCAATGTCACCTTAAAATATGACTATAGAGCAAAATTCAGTACAATTGGGTTTAAATCATTTAAATTATGGAAGTATAAGCACCATAAAATAAATAAATTATAAGACAATCCTACAATAATACAATTCCAAGAAAAAAGGCCATTCTACATTATACCAAAATATCATAGTTTTTTAAAAAATAAATTATCAATCAATTAGGTACATGACTGATTTACCATCTTCCAATTATTTGGAATAACAGATATAGGTTGTGAAATATTTTCTAGCGGGTTACTAAATTGTTAATAACTATCATGTTTTGAATTGTTAGTACATTTTAGGTCTCTAAAACATGAAATGAGTAAATTTTTAAAAAACAGCTTTGAGATATAATTCACATACCATATAATTTACACATTTAAGGTATATAATTCAGTATTTTTTAGTATATTCACAAGGTTGTGCAACTATCACTACAATCTAATTGTAGAACATTTTCTTCTCCCCTAAAAGAAACCTGGTCACTCTTCATTCTCCTCCCTCTCTCCCCTAGCCCTAGGCACCATCATCTACTTTGTGTCTTTATAGATTTGCCTGTTCTGGACATTTCATACAAATGGAATCATATAATATGTTGCCTTTCGTGTCTGGCTTCTTTTACTTCACATGCTGCTTTTTTCCCAAAGTTTTTCCATGCTACAGCATGCATCAGTACTTTACTATTTTTTATCCCCAAATAATATTTAATTGGTTATACCACATTTTATTTATTTATTCATCAGTTGTTGGACTGAATAAACTTTTTTTCTACTAAGACTTTGCTGGAGAATGAATAAACTTTTTAAAGCATGTTTGAGTAAATTACCCTAATCCTTAGCTATAAAAGAGTTTACTGTAGAAGCAGACTCATCTACAATACAAAATTAAAATAAGGCCGGGCATGGTGGCTCATGCCTGTAATTCCAGCACTTTGGGAGGCTGAGGTGGGCAGATCACCTGAGGTCAGGAGATCGAGACCAGACTGGCCAACATGGCAAAACCCCATCTCTACTAAAAATACAAAAATTAGCTGGGTATGGTGGTGGGTGCCTGTAATCCCAGCTACTCAGGAGGCTGAGACGGGAGAATCGCTTGAACCCAGGAGGTGGAGGTTGTAGTGAGCTGAGATCATGCCACTGCACACCAGCCTGGGTGACAGAGTGAGACTCTGTCTCAAAAAAGAAAAAATAAATAAAATTAAATCAGTTAATTACCAAAATACCTTTTGATTTGAATGGGTTCAAAAGAGCTTGTGTAATTAAAATTTCTGGAAGAATATTTTCTGTACAAGATCTGGGATACTGTGGCTTCTAAAATATGTCACTTCATTTCAGAGGGTTGATGTGAGGATTTAATATAATGAATGAGCTGTTTAATAGTTTAGGTTCAGATTAGGAGCTAAGGCGGTCCTATCCTTCCAGCTATTTTAGGCTGTCCCATTATTCCTACTATTAATTGCACAGAGCCCTCCATTCCTTTGATTCCCACTCCAGGTCTCACATCTTTACTCCTCCATAATCTGCCTTCTCCACTCAACACAATGGCTTTTTGGCCCTGCTAGAGAAGGTTCCAATGTGGAACCTGATTGGTGCCTCCAGAAATATTATCTCTACAATACATGGTGGGGATCAGTGCCAATGGAAAGTGCTTTTACAGTCTTTGGACACTGTTCTTTTCATTCCTGTTTTCTTTGGCAACTATTTCAAACATTTATAGCCAATCTTCAAAAGCTCTAATTACTATATGAATCACACTTGGCAGAGGACATCATTATTGGGAAAATTCTACTGATTAGGGAGGAATTTACCTATCACTTTACATTTAAATTCACGTTTTTATTTCAGGGCTGCTTTTTATTATTTATTTGTTTATTTTACTTTTTATTTTTATTTATTTATTTTTTTTGAGATGGAGTCTTGTTCTGTCACCCAAGCTGGAGTGCAATGGCACAATCTCTGCTCACTGCAACCTCCGCCCCCTGGGTTCAAGAGATTCTCCTGCTTCAGCCTCCTGAGTAGCTGAGATTACAGGCACCCACCATCACACTCGGCTAATTTTTGTGTTTTTTGTAGAGATGGGGTTCCAGCACGTTGGCCAGGCTGGTCACGAACTCCTGACCTCAAGTGATACGCCTGCTTCGGCCTCCCAAAGTGCACAAGCCACTGTGCCTGGCCTGTATTTCTTAATTTGTGCTCTTGATTTCTGTCCCTTTAAGGATCTTGTTCATATCTTGTCTATACCTTCATTGCCTTCCTATCTACTCACTCCATTAAACTCTTTTAAGAAAAGTCTACATAGATATCCTTTCTTTTACTCTTCAGGTTCATTCTTCAAACCACATAAAATCATTTAGCGATCATTTCTCCAAAAGCCGTACATAACCCACCTTCATTACTTTTCCTTTTCTCACTCTACTCACTACTCCTAGTTTGGGCACAGAGTGGCTAGTCTGTGCTTGTAACTCCTATTACTGTATTTTCCCCACTACACTGTAAGACAAAGATCTCTGGAGAAAGGAATTTTGTCTTGTTCACCTTTGAGTCCCCAGAGCCCTTATTCATTCTTGGCCCATAGTTGCTAAATGGAACTTGGGGTGGGGCAATTGCTAAGCAGGAAGTTATGATTAGTCTTCCCTAGATTAAATGGTAAAATGTTATTAATACAAATATTTCAGAAATTGTAAACTGTATGGGAAGTTGCTGGAGAATTGTCAGTGCCTTTACTGTCCATGATATGTTTCTATTTATCAGAGTCCTGGTGCTGCTTTGCCTCATATTAAAAAAGCAACAGTATAGTGTTATTAGTCATAATTTCAGTTATTTAAAAAATATTGGCTACAACTGTACTTCTTTAATTTGAATCTAGCATCTTCTGATTAGGACATACTCCAGACTTACAGAATCCTTTTACTTGATATTCTTGATATATTCTAAATATGTGCTTGGCATATAGTCATGGTATAGTATATGTCAGGATTATTATATCTGGAGTTTTTTCTTCATAAAGATCATGCGTATCCATATGTATAAATTAAATGTAATAACCACTCTTTTTGGAAAGTAGGCTTCATCATTATGCTTACATTTTGTCTTAAATGCTTTTTTGGATTGACTTTATTATCTTGTTTTATATAACACAGAAATACCCAAATATTCTTCTCAGTGGCACTATTCTTGTTAAAAACACCCATCAGACCTTCCACTTTTGAAAATTATCAGTAATAATTTAACCACGATCATTTTTAATCTTTGGACATCAATAGACAGTTTTTTTGTTTTTCTCTAATGCTGCTCTGAAAGCTCTTATAATTAACTACAGGCCCGAATACTTCATCTTCAGCAAAGAAGGACTGTCTCATGTGCTGTGGAAAAGGATGATGCCAAATGTTTTGAGGTACAGACTTTTGATGGCATCACTTAAACAACTTTCAGACTATACCAGTAGACTGAGTCAGGTATGTTCAGGTATTTCCAGAAGCCACTCAAGAAGCAGGTGGGCTCATGAGGCTACTAATCTAAGATTGGGCATTAATTGTTACACTGGAATTAATTACACTGGAATGAATGAATTACACTGAAAGGAATGAACTGATGAGAGATGATTATGATTTTTGTTTGGAGTATTGTTGATGCTTTAATGTTCTAGTTTTTGGAAATATAAGAAACCAGTTGCTCTTTTCTCTTAAGCTATCTATAACTCATAACAATTTAATAGACTCTGCTTTTTAAAACAATATAAAACATTTGTAAATGATCTTTTTTTCCATTTCAACCACTCCAAAATTCAGAAACTATTACTGAGTATTCTTATTCTAATGGCAATACAGTTATCTGGATAGGTTGAAAATGAGCCTGTCCTCCTTGTTACCAGGACATAACTAGAAGCATTGGTTATGCAACCAAGATCTTGGCCTGGAACATCATATTTGGGAATGATGCTATTTTTATTAATATCACTAGGCACTTTTAAGGAACTAAGGTTGACTTTGTGGACCCAGTGCTTACACAGCCCTCTTGGGAAACTGGTCTGGTTCATGGCTTATAGTGATTCTAGCCTTACAGATGAGCAAGAAAAGGTATTTCCTAGCAAGCCAAGAAGCCTGAAGATAATTTGGGAACCCCAAGAAGAGAAGAATTCTCCCAAATTTATAGCCTCTGCAGGTGAAATCTAGCTTCTTGGCTTAGCTTTCTAGCTTCAATAAGCTTTTAAAAGTCTAATCTAATTCTTAAATCCTTATTGAAAACATTCAGTAAAGCAAATTTAGAAAGGTCTTAATGGTAAGTTATTATTATGACTACACCTAAATAAATAATCAAGTCAAATCTAATTAGACCAGTTTTATTTTGTAATCAAGAATAATCTTATTATTTTCAGAGGCCGAGGCAGGTGGATTGCTTGAGCCCAGGAGTTCGAGACTGGCCTGGCAACATGGTGAAACCTGTCTCTATAAAAAATGTAAAAATTAGCTGGGCAAGGTGGTGCATGCCTGTAGTCTCAGCTACTCAGGAAGCTGAGATGGGAGGCTCACTTGATCCCAAGAGGCAGAGGCTGCAGTGAGCCAAGATCGTGCCTTGGTACTCTAGCCTGGGTATAAAAGCCTGTCTCAAAAAAAAAAATAAAAATAAAAATAAAAAAATAATCTATAATCTTAGCAGGCACAGTGGTGGTGCATGTCTGTAGTCCTAACTACTCAGGAGGCTGAGCTGGGAAGATCACTTAAGTCCAAGAATTTGAGGCCAGCCTGGGCAATACAGTGAGGCCCTGTCTCAAAAAAAAAAAAAAAAAAAAAAAAAGACGTGGGGGGGTCAGATGTGGTGGCTCGTGCCTGTAATCCCAGCACTTTGGGAGGCCGAATTGGGCAGATCACTTGAGGCCAGGAGTTTGAGACCAGTCTGGCCAACATGGTGAAACTCGGTCTCTACTAAAAATATAAAAATTAGTGGGGCATGGTGGCGTGTGCCTGTACTCCCAGCTACTGGGGAGGCTGAAGCATGAGAATTGCTTGAATCTGGGAGGCGGAGGTTGTAGTGAGCCAAGATTGTGCCACAGCACTCCAGCCTGGGTGACAGCGAGACTCTGTCCCCCCCCCAAAAAAAAAAAAATCTTCTTTTTGGGAATATTTTTGATCAAAAGACGGGTGACTATAGAGAGAAATTTTGTGTTTCAATGGAAAACTATGTGTCATTTACAGCACATCCTTCCTGGTTATTAGATTCCAGCCCAGTTCATGATCTTTGAAGTCTTTTTCATGTCTCTTTGTAACTGATAGATAACTGATAGACATGCAAACTCTGTCTTGTCTGTCAGAGATTTAAGTGACTTCCAACCCTCACCCTGTGGAAAAAAACAGTTCTGGTACCTACCCACAAATTGGACTGAATTTGGTTACCTTGCTCAGTTAATCCTTACCAAATTTTTAATTCTTCTGGTTTCCTTCAATATCTGGCCACAGTCCTCCAAACTAATGTTTCTAATTTTTCTTCCTTTTGCCTGACTCGGAGTCACGGAGAACTAAACCTGACTGCCCAATCTCTGGGACTTTAGGCTGCCTTGCAGCTGACCCTTTCCACAGAATCTGAAGAAGTCCCTCAAGTTAAACAGTGATCTGATATAAACTTGGAAGAACCCACCACTGCAGCAACCCATGAGTGAGCTGGATTTCTCCCTGGACAAGCCACTGTCTGGACCACTGAGGAATTCCAGTGAATTCCAGGAATTCCTGGGTCAAGCATACCCTTAGATGAGATGCAACCAAGACTGTGGACAACATCAATAGCACTGACAAGCTATCTTAAGAGCATGAAATGCAACAAGCAATGCTATATACCCAAAAGATTTTCGACAACCTCTTAGAATCCACTGAACTAGTACCCTCAGAGTTCAACTCCTAGCTCTTTACTATAATACAACTTTTTATACTAATATTTCTCTTTTTCGTTTTAGGCATCTGTCTCTTGCAATGCCCAAGCCTTTAGGGTCTCCAGGATCCTAAAACAATCAACATTTTTTACCACCTCTTAATAGATGGTTTAACTGATTTCTAGGAACAATACCAACAATAATTCTTGAGAGACTACTTCTTAGACCCTTCGTCAACATTTGGGAAGTTTATAATCAGCTCCAAGTTGTTCAGCAATAAGTGATATTCATTTATCTTGAACAAAAGGACAATTGACAATGTTCAATTTTACCTGAACCCTGTGTACCTGGAAAGCCAGATAGTCAGGATCCCTCCTCCGACTCTTTTGTGCTCCAAGAAATAGCTAACCACAAACAACTACCCTGCTGTCTGTTGTGTGCTCTTAGATAAGACCCATTTTGGCAAGGGGTGGTGGCCGGTGGATCACTTGAGGTCAGGAGTTCGAGACCAGCCTGGCCAACATGGTGAAACCCTGTCTCCACTGAAAATACACAAATTAGGCAGGCAAGGTGGTACGTGCCTGTAATCCCAGCTACTCGGGA
Organism: Homo sapiens; assembly: GCF_000001405.40. Classification (NCBI taxonomy): domain Eukaryota; kingdom Metazoa; phylum Chordata; class Mammalia; order Primates; family Hominidae; genus Homo; species Homo sapiens. The sequence goes on along the minus strand of NC_000004.12, from coordinate 94,177,258 downwards.
GGCTGAGGCACGAGAATCACTTGAACCTGGGAGGCAGAGGTTGCAGTGAGCCGAGATCACAACCCTGCACTCCAGCCTGGGCAATAGAGTGAGACTGTCTCAAACAAACAAACAAACAAAAAACAGAGCAAGCAAGCAAACAAAAAAACCCATCTCCATCCTTCCTCAATGACTTCCCTGTTTATCCACCTCTTTAAAACCCTACCTCCACTTTTCCTTGAGATGTTCCTCATCAATGAATAATCTCCCAATACAGCCCAAATATAATAATCTCTTTAATTGTCAGATGCCCTTTGTCTTTCATGATAGGGTTGATTGTACGCGTTTGCGATCAAAATTGTGGTAGACAGAGTCTTGCTCTGTGGCCAGGCTGGAGGGCAGTGGCACAATCTCAGTTTACTGCAACCTTTGCTTCCCAGGTTCAAGCGATTCTCTTGCCTCAGCCTCTGGAGTAGTTAGGACTACAGGCACGCACCACTATGCCTGGCTAATTTTTTGTGTTTTTTGTAGAGACAGAGTTTCTCCATGTTGGCCAGGCTGGTCTTGAATTCCTGAGCTCAAGTGATCTGCCCGCCTCAGCTTCCCAAGGTGCTGGGATACAGGTGTGAGCCACTGCACCCCACTGCGGCTTTAAAGAATAGGAAAATTATAGCTTTGCTTCACCAGAAAGACAGGCCACTAGCTTAGAAAATGTTAATTCACCTGTATTAAATTCACATTTTTAAACACTTTTTGTGTTATAGGATCTGTACCAAACAAGGAGGAGTGGCAGTAAGAACACAATATTGTGTTTCTAAAATTAAAGTAGAACCTGAGCATCTAAAATGCTGCATATATTCCCTGAGATTAACAAACAAACAATAACAACAAAAAACCCAAGCACAAACTGGGTGCCAGTTTGTCCCAACTAATTCTGTGCTATGTTGGATAATTGCCTGCTATAAGGTATTATATTAGACACTATAATTGAAGTTGAATTAATCAATTTTGAGATGTTCAAATTAAATTCCACTAAAAGTCCACTTTGGAGTGTTTTGAAGAACCACGACCAGAGGTAAACAAGTATAGCTAGAACCTCTACATGCACTTGATCACCCCAAGAGTTGCCACACAGACCTTCTTGCCTCATCATTGTAATAAATCAATAAAATAATTCATGCTGCCTGCTTTTATGTGGATTTCTGATCACGTGACCATGAACAAAAAAAACTTGTATGATTTTGAACTAGATAGTAGACAGCAGATGTGAATCAGAGCCAGATGCAGGTGCTGAGTCTGTGGTTCTAAGCACTGGCACTATTTAATGTCTGATTCCAGCAAGACAGACAACCCAATCCAAACTCCCGTAGATGTCCTCTAAGCATTAAGTAAGAAATTGAGAAGCCGTGATAGTTTTACCAAGCTGTAGAAAACCCAGAAACAGGGTGAGCCTGGTGGTATGCATGTGTCCCAGACAAGGGACATGAAATGCTGAAATCTCGAAGGCACCAAATGTTATCACCAGCTGATAGTCACTGCTGCCATTGTCTTCGAAAACAAGATTAAGGAATGATTTGATAAGTGGGAGGCAGCCTGCAGGTTGTAGAGCCAGTGAGGAGACAACCAGTAAGCATTTCAGCTCCACAGAAACTAAACTAGATCTTTGGATTTGAATGAAACAATAAGATTATTTGAGAGACATCTAAAAGGTAAGCACAAATTTTTAATGTGCCCATTTTTGAACAAGGGCTGGGGTCAAAATTTATGACAAAATCATTTCTATTGCTTGAACAAAGTAAAAGGAAATGTATAGCACAGTATGAGAAACACTAAACCATAATGTCAAAAGATGTAAATGGGTCAGTACAACTTCAGTGTGCTAAGTGGTGTTTAAAGAGTAGGAAAAGGGGCAGTGTTAACAGATTGAGGCCAGAGAAGTAATCAGACAAGAATGAAGAAATCAGATAGGACTCAAAGACTGAGAAAGTGCAATGTTAGCTTGTTTGTTCTTATAGTAAGAGAGTAGACTTAGCCTTTTGTGCTTACCTTCTGAATTTTGTGTATTGTGTAGGAATGCTTCTGACCAATTCTTGCAGGGAAGACCTAAATCTAAATTATACTTTTCAGTTCATGGAAATGGATGAAACACTTAGAAAAGAACAAGTATATCAAGTGGTTTTTAAAATTAAAATATTTTCTCAAGAGCCAGCAAAATTCATATTGAGATGGCTTTCTTATTTGCATTTAATTATTTCCTATAAAATCTTATAGACTATAGGAGATTTTTTTAAATTATAAAGAGATTTTCTTAATTAACTTGAATGTCAATGATTCCTGTCTTATATAATTCCTTTAGAAGGCATTTCAAAATTGTATTAATAGGCTAAAAATAATTTCAGACTTAATTTCCATGGATTAGAAGTAAAGATTTTTGTTGTATGGTATTGTCTAAGCTTATAAAACAATTAATATACTATACTAATTGTGACTTTTTTTTTTTTTTGAGACAGAGTCTAGCTCTGTCACCCAGGCTGGAGGGCAATGGTGTGATCTTGGCTCACTGCAACCTCCGCCTCCTGGGTTCAAGCGATTCTCCTGCCTCTCAGCTTCCCAAGTAGCTGGGACTATAGGTACATGCCACCACACCCAGCTAATTTTGTATTTTTTAGTAGAGACAAGGTTTCACCATGTTGGCCAGGCTGGTCTTGAACTCCTGACCTCAGGTGATCCACCGGCCTCAGCCTCCAAAAGTGCTGGGATTACAGGCATGAGCCACCGTGCCCAGCCAATTGTGACCATTTTTAAAACCATTGCCCCAAACAGCATAATTAGTCTATTTGTCCTTTGCTTAATAACAATAACTAGTTTGAAAGACTGAAATGTGAAAATATTTATCTTAAAAATCCACCTACGGGGCATTTGGTGTAACAGAACCTTTTTTTCCCACATCTACCCTTTAAATTCAATACATCTATTAGTATAGTAAATATTGATAAAGTGAGGAATTAAAATATACTTTAGAGATATTTCAAGTTAATTAGAAAATTAAAATCTACTTGTCTTTTGTAGTTTTTTAGTCTATTCTATTGTACCTTATTAAGTTCTGTTTAAATTCTACACAGTATGGGCCATGCCTGTATTACTCAGGAGTGCATCTTTAGCATCTAACACAGGATGTGGCACTTGGGCACCTGAAAAATATTTGGTGAATGACTGAATATTTCCAAAAGAGAAAAGAGTAAAAGGATTACATTTTGAATATGTCTGTGTCTTAGATTATTTGCGCTGCTCAAACAAAATACCCCAGACGGTAATTTATATACAATAGAAATTTATTTCTTAGCGTTCTGGAAGCTGGGGAGCATGAGATCAAGGTGCTGGCAGGTTTGGTGCCTAGTGAGGGCTGCTCTCTGCTTCCATGATGGCAACTTGTTGCTCCATTCTCACATGGAGAAGGGGTTTAAGAAAAAAAAAAGGGTGGAAGGGATGAATAGCTCCCTCACAGCTCTTTTATAAGTCACTGATCATTTATGAGAGCTCTGCCCTCTTGACTTATTCACCTCCTAAAGACCTCACCTCTTAACACTATCACAGTGTTAATTAAGTTCCAATACAAAACTCTGGGGGGACACATTCAGATCATAGCACTCTGAAACGTAGGAATTTTGCCTTTTTCCCTCCCTCCCTCCCAACCTTTCCTCCCTCTCTCCCTTCCTTCTTTCCTTCTTTTATCCTTCCCCTCCCTCCTTCCTCCCTGCTTCCTTCTTTTTTTTTTCTTTTTAAGGAATATAAGGTGATCAGGAATAAAATTAAAATAATTTTGTGAATGGAATTTGTGTCCACCTAATTGTAAATTTTGATTAAATTTGTACATCATCTGACAAAAATCAGAAACATTTTAGGTATTCCACTCAATTTTTTTTTTTTTTTTTTTTTTTTTGAGACAGAGTCTTGCTCTGTGGCCCAGGCTGGAGTGCAGTGGTGCAATCTCGGCTCACTGCAACCTCTGCCTCCCGGGTTCAAGCAATTCTCCTGCCTCAGCCTCCCAAGTAGCTGGGACTACAGGTGCATGTCACCACACCCAGCTAATTTTTTTTTTTTTTTTTTGTATTTTTAGTAGCGATGGAGTTTCACCATGTTGTCCAGGCTGGTCTCAATCTCCTGACCTCATGATCCACCTGCCTTGGCCTCCGAAAGTGCTGGGATTACAGGCGTGAGCCACTGTGCCCAGCCTCCACTCAATGTTAATAGAAGTAGAAACATTAAGAAATGCCAGTCATTCCAAACAGAGGAAATTAGTAGACACATTAACAAAACCAATACACAGTATTGTCTCTCTTTTTTCTATCTCTTACATATTCTTACCATCTATTTAGAAGATACTCAATTGAAGATTTTTTTTTCCATTTTGTGTTGCTAAAAGAGGAATACCTGAGGCTGGGTAATTTACAAGGAAAAGAGGTTTATTTAGCTCATGGTTCTACAGGTTGTACAAGAAGCATGGTGCTGTCATCTGCTAGGCTTCTGGTGAGAGCTTTTGTGCTAAGTCAAAACGTTGACAGAGAAGGTCAAAGGCGAAGAGGGCATGTGTGAAGAGAAAGCTCAACTGGAGTTTTCCAATGTCTGAGGGAAGGATACAACAAATCAAGGAAGGCTTGCAAATCCAACAAGTCTATTCAAGCATTTGACTATTACTTACATATCTGATAAATTTAAACTTGAGGGTTTAATATTGAATTATTTTAAAATTTGAAATAATGTTCATGAACAAATAATTTCACAATTTTTGAATTAAAGTTACAAGTCTAATATCAGTCAAACTTATTTATACGTTTCAAATTAAATTCGTGAGTCCAACAGCATTTAAATTTATTTAGATGTATTTATTTAAAAATGTCATAATAAATCACAAATTAAATCATTAAATTTATTGGATTAGCACAGAAGCAATATTGCCTGCCCACTCATTCTCATCTCTGATGTAACTGGTTAGAACTTAGGAACTTCATACAAATACAGTTTCAAAAAGGATATTGACACTACTTATAGGATTTTTCCCTCAAGCCCCTGATTAAAATTCATTTTTACTGTAGTGTGACTTTTTTTTTTTTTTTTTGAGACAGATTTTCGCTGTTATTGCCCAGGCTAGAGTGCAATGGTGCAATTTCGGCTCACTGCAACCTCCACCTTCCAGGTTCAAGCAATTCTCCTTCCTCAGCCTCCCAAGTAGCTGGGATTACAGGTGCCCGCCACCACTCCCAGCTAATTTTTTGTATTTTTAGTAGAGATGGGGTTTCACCATGTTAGCCAGGCTGGCCGTGAACTCCTGACCTACCTAATTTGACATGAAACCTATTGTATATCTTTTTTATGACTTTCTATGTTCATTTATTGACAGAGATTACTCAATATATTAGATGTAATTCTTAGTATTACCACTAGGGTGCCCTGCTGGGACTTCCGGAAGCAAAAATTTGGAAGAATTTGCTCAACTTCAGCTTTCTGAAGTTGCATGAGCGAGTAGGAATTGCACAATTTGGCATCACGTTTACAACAGCATCTTTTCTCATTCTTTTGGTGTTCTTCCTTCTTGGAAAATAAAGGTTTGGTACTCTTTTGGCTAAATATAGATTTGTATCTTGCCTAAAGATAACTCTTACAACAGTGTTGATTGCCCAACCAGTACTCTTTATTTTCTCCTCCTAATGACCAGTGGATCTAAATGCCATTTAAACAAGCTAGAGATCTGATTACCCAAAGCTGGGAGTCATCATATTCAATCTACCATTGGAAGAGCAGATGAGTTTTTTCAGGCTAAAGAAAGTTTTATTTTTAAGGGGTCTTCATCTCTTTATTTCATTCCAATAGAAGGAGACAGCATTTAAGTGATTACATTCTACTGAATAGTTTGGGATGAGAGAGATTAATGTTGATCTTTGTGTTAGTCTGTTCTCAAATTGCTATAAAATAAAAGAATTTAAAAATTGCTATAAAATAATATGTGAGACTGTGTAATTTACAAAGAAAAGAGGTTTAATTTGCTCACAGTTCTGCAGGCTGTATAGGAGGCATAGCAGCTTCTGCTTCTGGGGAGGCCTCAGGAATCTTATAACCACGGTGGAAGGTGAAGGGGAAACAGGCATCTTCACATGGCTGGAGTAGGAGGAAGGTGGGGTGGTTTAACACTTTAACCAAAAAGTGTTAAAAAAAAGCCACACACTTTTAAACAACTAGATCTCATGAGAACTTGCTCACTATCCCTACATAGTGTATCCGGAATTGTTGGGTTCTTGGTCTCACTGACTTCAAGAATGAAGCCGCGGACCCTTGCAGTCAGTGCTACAGTTCTTAAAGGCAGCATGTCCGGAGTTTGTTCCTTCTGATGTTCAGATGTGTTTGGAGTTTCTTCCTTCTGGTGGGTTCATGGTCTCCCTGGCGTCAGGAGTGAAGCTGCAGACCTTCGCGGTGAGTGTTACAGCTCATAAAGGCAGCATGGACCCAAACAGTCAGCAGCAGCAATATTTATTGCAAAGAGCAAAACAACAAAGCTTCCACGGTGCAGGAGAGGACCCAGGGGGTTTGCCACTGCTGGCTTGGGCAGCCTGCTTTTATTCCCTTATCTGGCCCCACCCACATCCTGCTGATTGGTCCATTTTACAGAGAGCTGATTGGTCTGTTTTACAGAGAGCTGATTGGTCCATTTTGACAGGGTGCTGATTGGTGCATTTACAATCCCTGAGCTAGACACAAAAGTTCTCCAAGTCTCCCCTAGATTAGCTAGACACAGAGCACTGATTGGTGCATTCACAAGCCCTGGGCTAGACATAGGGTGCTGATTGGCGCATTTACAAATCCTGAGCTAGACACAGAGTGCTGATTGGTGCATTTACAAACCTTGAGCCAGACACAGAGTGCTGATTGCTAGACAAAGTTAGCTAGACATGAAGTTTCTCCAAGTCCCCACTAGACTCAGGAGCCCAGCTGGCTTCACCTAGTGGATCCCCTACTGGGGCCGCAGGTGGAGCTGCCTGCCAGTAGCAGCGGTGTGCCAGCAGTCCTCAGCCCTTGGGCGGTCGATGGGACCGGGCGCCATTGAGCAGGGGGCGGCGCTCGTCTGGGAGGCTGGGGCTGCGCAGGAGCCCAGGGCGGGGGTGGGGAGGCTCAGGCATGGCGGGCTGAAGGTCCCGAGCTCTGCCCCATGGGGAGGCAGCTAAGGGCCGTGAGAAATCAAGCGCAGCGCAGGTGGGCCGGCACTGCTGGGGGACCCGGTGCACCCTCCACAGCTGCTGGCCCGGGTGCTAAGCCCCTCACTGCCCGGGGCTGGCGGGGCCGGCCGGCGGCTCCGAGTGCGGGGCCCACCAAGCCCACGCCCACCCAGAACTCCAGCTGGCCCGCGAGCGCCTCGCGCAGCCCTGGTTCCCGCTCGCGCCTCTCCCTCCACACCTCCCTGCACGCAAGCTGAGGGAGCTGGCTCCGGCCTCCGCCATCCCAGGAAGGGGCTCCCACAGTGCAGCGGCGGGCTGAAGGGCTCCTCAACCACCGCCAGAGTGGGTGCCCAGGCAGAGGAGGCGCCGGGAGTGAGCGAGGGCTGCAAGGGCTGCCAGCAGGCTGTCACCTCTCAATAGTACCAAGGGGAAAAATTTGCCCCCATGATCCAATCACCTCCCACTGGGCTCCATCTCCAACTTTGGGGACTACAATTCCACATGAGATTTGGGTGAAGACACAGATCCAAACCATATCACTGGTATTGTTCTGAAGATCAAGTGGAATAATTATTGTGTGAATACGTTGTAAATTGTGAAGTAGTATGACATTTGTAAGGTGTTATCATTTAACATTTATTGAGCATTTACCATGGGCTGGGCATTGTGTTTAATGAGTGTTTAAATAGCTTATAACATTAAATTCTGTGGTAGCCAAATCTAGTTGCTTAGTAGATCCCCCTGGATATCCACATGCACATAGAATCATGAATCATATACAATTTATGAATCACAAGATATGGCATAAGATCTGGAGATTCACATTATCCCACTCTCCTAAGGGAATTTCAGTTTACAGTCAGGTTTTAGAACCACTGATTTAGTCTTCAAACTAACTCACTGAGGAAATAACTAATTATCATCTCCGTTTCCTTTCTTTGTTGAAGAGCCTTAATGAGCAATAAAAAAAGGTTTTTTTTCATTCTCTGAAAATTCTATGTCATTTGGTATGTCAGAGTAACACTTTTTTTTTTAATTTTTTTTTTTGAGACGGAGTCTCGCTCTGTCGCCCAGGCTGGAGTGCAGTGGCGCCATCTCGGCTCACTGCAAGCTCCACCCTCCGGGTTCACGCCATTTTCCTGCCTCAGCCTCCAGAGTAGCTGGGACTACAGGTGCCCGCCACCACCCCCGGCTAATTTTTTGTATTTTTTTTAGTAGAGACGGGGTTTCACCGTGGTCTCAATCTCCTGACCTTGTGATCGGCCCGCCTCGGCCTCCCAAAGTGCTGGGATTACAGGCGTGAGCCACTGCGCCTGGCCTAACACTTTTTTTAAAACTGGAAAATGGAGTAGAACGCCTTGTTCTCAAAGAGCTTACAATTTTGTGAAATGCCAATGTAAGGAATTATTTATATAATATTAAAGTGTGATGAAGACTATGAAAGAGGCAAGTTTCAGCTAAAGCAGCAGTAGGGAGAGGAAACAGTCATCTCTGCCTGGGGAGAGTGAAGGTGTGGGAAAGTTTCACAGAAGATGAGAGTGACAGAAGCATGTACAGAGGGAAGGATGTATGAGCCAGCACAGCATACTGAAAGAATGGAAAGAATTCAGTATGGCTGTTGGGGAGGGCATTCAGGAAAGCATGGGCTTTGGAATCTGATAAACACAGTTTTAGATTCTGGATCCGCTACTTACTAGCTAAGTTACCTTGAGCAATTTCATTTAGCTTCCTTGAATCTTAGATTTCTCAGCTAGGATAACAAAGCCTTTCTACCCTTCAGAGTATTTGTCAAGGTTAATGGAAACTCTTATTATAAATTAACACGTATTAATTTATTTTCATTAGAATATTCTACTACTATTACTATTATTGCAAGTCTTTTGGAAAGCATTTGGGTATTATTACGTTAGTTAGCTTTGGGGATGCCATTAAAATAAAAGAAGGGTGTGAATGCATTTGCCTTCTACCAATAATACTTTGTCAGCAAGACAAGGATGAATCCGAGGACATTGGAGGCAAAGAGATCACTTCCTGGACTAATTCTCATTCTAGATGATGCATAATAAGAATATTAGTACTGGCTGGGCGTGGTGGCTCACGCCTGTAATCCCAGCACTTTGGGAGGCCGAGGCAGGTGGGTCACTTGAGGTCAGGGGTGCGAGACCAGCCTGACCAACATGGTGAAACGCCCTCTCTACTAAAAAATACAAAATTAGTCCGGCATGGTGGCGCATGCCTGTAATCCCAGCTACTTGGGAGGCTGAGGCAGGAGAATCGCTTGAACCCAAGAGGCAGAGGTTGCAGTGAGCTGAGATAGTGCGATTGCACTCCAGTCTGGGCAACAAGAGTGAAACTCTGTCTCAAAAAAAAAAAAAAAAGAATATTAGTGGGGATGGGGAGAAAAAGATGGATTCAGAGATATTTAGGAGATAGTTTAACATATCATATACAATTATGGTTAAAGACAAAACTAAGCATGTGGCAAAATTAACAGTCTATTTATTCATAAACTTGTAGCAAGAAAGCCCTTGGCAATGTTTTATTTCAGCAGGTCTTCAATGGTATTGGACAAGTATGAGTTTATAGTGTGTGAAGAAAATACTAAGCCTCTGATTGGCAAGCATTTATTAAGGTAGGAATTTTAGAAGCAAGAGAGAATTTTATTGAGTGGTCATTGAGTTCATCTGGCAATAGCTGGTAGGCCATAAAGGGGCAAGCAGTTGGGATCATTTCAAAACAGGAAGAATTGTTCAATGTTAGAGGTGGAAAGTTTTCCTTGGTGACTGTCAGGCCTCTGAGCCCAAGCCAAGCCATCGCATCCCCTGTGACTTGCACATAGACGCCCAGATGGCCTGAAGTAACTGAAGAATCACAAAAGAAGTGAAAATGCCCTGCCCCACCTTAACTGATGACATTCCACCACAAAAGAAGTGTAAATGGCCGGTCCTTGCCTTAACTGATGACATTACCTTGTGAAAGTCGTTTTCCTGGCTCATCCTGGCTCAAAAATCTCCCCCACTGAGCACCTTGCGACCCCCACTCCTGCCCGCCAGAGAACAAACCCCCTTTGACTGTAATTTTCCTTTACCTACCCAAATCTTATAAAATGGCCCCACCCCTATCTCCCTTCGCTGACTCTCTTTTCGGACTCAGCCCGCCTGCACCCAGGTGATTAAAAACTTTATTGCTCACACAAAGCCTGTTTGGTGGTCTCTTCACACGGACGCGCATGAAAGTGACCATTTCAGGGAAAAGGTGGGGAACAAGTGGGGAACAAGTGGGGTTGATGGGGTACTCTTTTGAGGTCAAATTATCATCACAGTTCTTATTGGGAGTGGCTGCCATGGTAGGCAGTTTTTCTCAACTATTTAATATGAAGATCAGATAAAAGTTTGTTTATTCATTTTGCCCTGGTGGAAATATTCTAAATAATTTTAGTGGATGAAAGAACCTGGTAAGTATTATTGGGCATCATGGTATCTACACTGTATGTGCTAGCTCAGGGCATATTTCTTTTAGGGAAGATTTTAAGATAGCCACCATTTTCATTTGCATACTGATGTGCATGGGCTTATCTATTGCTGCAGAGTTAAATTCTACAAATTACAAATAAGACCAATATCAGTCGTAAAAAGTTCATCATATTTGCTCTGGAGTTTTACACTGAAGTTTACGAGCAGAAATATTTTCATATTCATGTTAGTAAACATACCTGGTGCACAAAGCTTCTGAATAGAAAAGACCAGGATAATTTAAGAATATGCTCTGAGGCCGGGTGTGGCCAGGTGCGGCTCATGACTGTAATCCCAGCACTTTGGAAGGCAGAGGCAGGCGGATCACGAGGTCGGGGGATTGAGACCATCCTGGCTAACACGGTGAAACCCCATCTGTACTAAAAATACAGAAAAATTAGCCGGGCGTGGTGGCGGGGGCCTGTAGTCACAGCTACTGGGGAGGCTGAGGCGGGAGAATGGCGTGAACCCGGGAGGCGGAGCTTGCAGTGAGCCAAGATCGCGCCACTGCACTCCAGCCTGGGCGACAGAGCGAGACTCTGTCTCAAAAAAAAAAAAAAAGAATATGCTTTGAAAGCAAACAAGAACCTCCTTAATCTTACATGTGATTTAATTTGCTTTAATGTGCTTTGTCTAGGTAAAGCAAATTTTTCCATGAAAGAAAGCTTGGACAGAAAATACGCTTGGTAAATCAGTCTTCTAAAAGCTGCTGGAGGTAAGGAAAAAAATTAGTAATGTAATGCTGTTGCTAAACTGCCCATCTAATTAATTCTGGGTAATATATTAACAATAATTTTTTGATTTTTTTGGCAGAAAATTTGCCTTTTTTCACTACTCTTATCTCAATTTACTTCAAGAAGATTCCTTTAGTTGGCTAGGCAAGAAAATGTTCCTTGCCTCTCTTACATAACTTAGTGTCTCCACTTAAATAAAATGCCTTAAGGAAAAAGCAATTGCAAAGGAGGTAGGAAGAAAGGCAAGAACAAGGCTAAAAGAACTTGGTTTTAACAGGCATATACATGAGAACCTTTATAGACTAAGAACTTCTGGAGGGTGGGGTGGGTCATCCTGGGATTAATGATGAAAGGAATCTGTCACCTTTGAGCATGAGTACTTTTTACCTATGGCTCCGCAACAAAGAGGCTATTGTACTTCAAAGCAGAAGCTCCAAACAATGACAAAGAAACCAGGCAAAGGGGGCCAGAGGGGTTGTTGCTTACCGAACATTTCGGTAGCATTTTCAAAATAATTGGCTTAACTACACTATCAAACTAAGTTATAATTTCAAGGGCACCACAATTAACAGGGATTTATGTTAAAGTTCTGTTAAGTAGTTCTTTGTTCTTTCTTTCTTTCTTGTAAACAGATCTCTAAGGGACGTACCCAGGGCCTGCAATATTATGGGTCAATACTTCATGAAACAGAAGGTACTCTTGATGCAAGGATGGTAAGGGATGTTTGGAATCAGAAACATATAGTCACTCTGAGTATGATAGGAGAGATGAAGATATGATATGAAGAACTAAATAAAAATAAATTCTAAGAATATTAAGTTCACACTTTATATACTGCTCCAGTTAAAGGCAATTTAGTGAGTTGTTAAAAGCCAGGCATCTGGAGCCAGGCTGCCTGGGTTTATCGCTCAGCTTTGCCACTTGGGTAAACAAACAAAACCACCTGTAATCTTACTACTTAAAAAAATACAAAGTATTTACAGTAAAGTATGAAAGCAAACCCATACTCCATTAACCATTCTCCATGTAATATGTATCCTTCTCAACTTTTCCCCAAAAGTTATACACGTCAGTATATAATGGACAGATGCATAATGCCAATAATACTGGTTTGGAATTAAAAACATCATTCAGTGATCTAACATGAGCCATGTAGTACATACATATTCATCTTGTATGTACTAATCATCTTGTGTTACTGGCTAGGGGTCCCAATCCAGACTCCAAGAGAGGGTTCTTGGATCTCATGCAGGAAAGAATTCAGGAAGAGTCCCTAAAGTGAAAGCAAGGACATTGGGAAAGTCCTATATCCCTAAAGGAATAAAGAATGGCTACTCCATCGGCAGAGAAGCCCTGAAGGCTGCTGGTTGTCTATTTTTATGGTTATTTCTTTATCATATGGTAAACGAGGGGTGGGTTATTCAAGCTTCCCCTTTTTAGACCATATAGGGTAACTTCTTGATGTTGCCATGGCATTTGTAAAGTGTCACTTGACTTTGGTGGGAGTGTAGCAGTGAGGATGAACAGAGTCACTCTCATCGCAACCTTGGTTTTGGTGGGTTTTAGCCAGCTTATTTACTGCAATCTGTTTAATCAGCAGTGTCTTTTTGACCCGTATCTTTTGCCGACCTCCTATCTCATCCTGTGACTTAGAATGCCTTAACCATCTGGGAATGCAGCCCAGGAGGTCTCAGCCTCATTTTACCAAGCCCCTATTCAAGATGGAGTTGCTCTAGTTCAAACGCCTCTGACACTTGTATGTACTAAGATGGATATAGTATTTTTTTGTCTTATTAACTATTGGTCTATTTAATAAACATTTGTGTGTCTATTATTTTGCTATTATGATAGTAAAGTGAATGTCCTTGCACATAAATATTAATGTTATTATTTCTGTAGGTTAAATTTCAACTGGGATGATAAATCAAAAGGTATGCACATTTTAAATTCTAATAGATACTTCCACATTACTTTTTAAAAGATTGTGCAAGGCCGGGCATAGTGGCTCACGCCTATAATCCTAGCACTTCAGGAGGCTGAGGCATGCAGATTGCTTGCGTTCATGAGTTTGAGACCAGCCTGGGCAACATGGTGAAACCCTGTCTCTAAAAAGTATACAAAAATTAGCAGGTTGTGGTGTTACATGACTGTTTTCCCAGCTACTTGAGAGGCTGAGGCGGGAGCATTGCTTGAACCCAGGAGGTCGAGTTTGCAGTGAGCCGAGATTGCCCCACTGCACTCCAGCCTGGGTGACAAAGTAAGACACTGTCTCAAAAAAAAAAAAAGGTTGTACTAATTTGTGCTGTCAGTAATATGTCAGAGAATGTCTTCTTCAATCCATATGAATTCTTTTTTTTTTTTTTTTTTTTTGAGATGGAGTTTCGCTCTTGTTGCCCAGGCTGGAGGGCAATGGCTCGATCTCGGCTCACCACAACCTCCGCCTCCTAGGTTCAAGCAGTTCTCCTGCCTCAGCCTCCCGAGTAGCTGAGATTACAGGCATGCACCACTACGCCCGGCTAATTTTGTATTTTTAGTAGAGATGGGGTTTCCCCATGTTGAGGCTGGTCTCAAACTCCTGACCTCAGGTGATCCACCAGCCTCAGCCTCCCAAAGTGCTGGGATTACAGGTGTGAGCCACCGCGCCCGGCCCCCATATGAATTCTTTTTCGCTTTTTATTGTTACGACAAATTTTAAATACAGCTAAAATAGGAAATAGTCTAATGAGCTCCCATAAACCCAACATCCCATTTCAATAATCATCAACTTTATTTTTTTCCTTCTTGTTGAATTATTTTAAAGCAGATATTAGACATGACATTTTCCCATGCAAAGTAGATATTTTATATCTTCAATTATTCTAATTCTGCTTTCTTCTAACAATATATAAACATGATGATGTTTGCTCTTCTCCCATTCTTATCTCTAAATGTGAGAAAATAAAAAACAGAACACTAAAAGCTTCCTGTAAGACTTCAGGGAAGACATGAAAGGTTGAACACATTTTACTTTTACTCCCAGAATTATTTTGAAGTATTAGTAATCACTGGCTTTCAACACATACTAGTTTCTGATGTGGCTCTTTATGCTGCTGTTCTCGTTAATGCAGAAACTGTTTATTGAATGAGAAATAAGCTCCCACTCTAGGATGAGATGCATCATTGAGGAGCAGCCCCCTGGTTTTGGTGACAGAACTCCTACTGAAGGACAGTGCCCTGAGGATGCTGTGGTGAGGTATGCATCCTGCTAGCTTGTTGATACTGCTCCATGCTCATAAAACCATCTGGGGTCCACGAGTAACAAAACCATGATCCATAATAACAAACAAACAAAATGTTTGTTAGCATGACAGCCATCACAGGTCATCCCATCCCGAGGGAAGTGATCCAGAGATTACTTGTTTTTCCATCAAGTGGGAGATAGTAGAGGGCACCAGAAATTTGGAAGAAAGAAAGATGTTACCAGACCCCAGCACCTACCCAAAGTTAATATTATCCCTTCAGTGGTTCAACAGAAAGATGTTGACGGAAAAGCGTCCCGATCCAGACTGCCCGTTTTTTTTTTTTTAAAAATAGAGATGGGGTCTCACTATGTTGACCAGGCTGGTCTCGAATTCCTGAGCTCAAGTGATTCTCTCATTTCTCACGAGGCTGTGGAGAAATAGGAATGCTTTTACACTGTTGGTGGGAGTGTAAATTAGTTCAACCATTGTGGAAGACAGTGTGGTGATTCCTCAAGGAAGTAGAATCAGAAATACCATTTGACCCAATGATCCCATTACTGGGTATTTACCCAAAGGATTATAAATCATTCTACTATAAAGACACATGCGCATGTATGCTTATTGCAGCACTGTTCATAATAGCAAAGACTTGGAACCAACCCAAATGCACATCAATGTTAGACTGGATAAAGAAAATGTGGCACATACACACCATGGAATACTTTGCAGCCATAAAAAAGGATGAGTTCATGTCCTTTACAGGGACATGCATGAAGCTGGAAACCATCATTCTCAGCAAAGTAACACGGGAACAGAAAACCAAACACCATATGTTCTCACTCATAAGTGGGAGTTGAACAATGAGAACACATGGACACAGGGAGGAGAACAACACACAATGGGACCTGTCCGGGGGTCGGGGGCAAGGGAAGGGAGAGCATTAGGACAAAAACCTAATGCATGTGGGGCTTAAAACCTAGATGATGGGTTAATAGGTACAGCAAACCACCATGGCACATGTATACCTATGTAACAAACCTACATGTTCTGCACATGTATCCTGGAACTTAAAGTAAAATGAAAAAAAAAAAAAAAAGAATCTGGGGATTAAACATTCTGAATTTAATTGGCCTAATCCAATTTTCACACAATAGCAGTAGAGATCTTTTTGAAATGTAAATCAGATTTTGTTATTTACCAGTTTGAAACCAGTCACAGGCTTACCATTGTACTAAAATAAAATATAAAATTTAGATATCCTCAAGGAGGCCTATAAGCCTGGTCTATCTTTTCACTTTTTTTTTTTTTTTTTTTTTTTTTTTGAGACAAGAGTCTCGTTCCGTCACCCAGGCTGGACTGCAATGGTGCTATCTCAACTCACTGTAGCTTCCACCTCCCAGTTTCAAGTGATTCTCCTGCCTCAGCCTCCTGAGTAGCTGGGATTACAGGTGCCCGCCAGCATGCCCGGCTAATTTTTTTGTATTTTTAGTAGTTACGGGGTTTCACCATGTTGATCAGGCTGGTCTCGAACTCCTGACCTTAAGTGATTCACCCCCCACTCAGCCTCACAAAGTGTTGGGATTACAGATGTGAGTCACCAAGCACCTGGCCTATCTTTTCACTTTCATGCATGCCTTTCTCCATTTTGCTCACTGTCCTAGAGTCACATTAGGCTACTTTCAGGCCCTCCCAAGCTTTAGTGTCTCCTCACTTTGTTGGTTTAGTCAAGACTTCTCCTCACCCTTCACAATAATTATTCTTTATACTTCAGGCTTCAGTTTAAATGTCACTTACCAAGAGGCCTTCAGAGACATCTCATTTTAAATTAGATTCCCTAGTTTTACTTTCTCTTTGTAACCTGAACCTTTCCTTCATAGCACTTATCCTTTAGTGATTATAATTATATCATTATAAATAGGTTTTAAATTGTAATGTTTCTCTGTCCCTACCCCCAACTTCCCAGAAGCTTTCAAAGGATAGATATCCATGCTTGTTCTCTCACCCCTCAAAATCCAGCACAACGCAGTGCCTTGCCTTTAGTATGCACATGGTACTTAAAACAAAAACAAAAACCCCAAAAACCCGAATATATAAATAAAGTAACATTATATCCATGCTTGTTCTTTCACCCCTCAAAATCCAGCACAACGCAGTGCCTTGCCTCTAGTATGCACATGGTACTTATACTTAAAAACAAAACAAAACAAACCCCCCCCCCCAAAAAAAACCTGGGTATATAAATAAAGTAACATTTAAACTAAGGCCAGAAGGGTGATGACTAGGACTTAGCTAGGCAAAGGTTGTGTGTAGGAGGGAAGCATTGGAAAGACTTTTCTGCAAGGAACTTTTGGAAGCTTTTAAAGGAGGGAAAGGCCATGAGCGTCACAATTGTGAGATTAGAAATTTGCTTTGCTCTGCTTTGTGAAATACAGGAAACTTTTTTTTTTTGTAAAGGAATTGTGTTTTTCTGATATATTACTGTGTTTAGTTATTAAGCCAGGATCATTAGAGGTGTAGAAAAATGTGCTAGATAAAAATCTCAGTGGAATTAGTATTGAGGTGATCCTGTTATATGCAGGTGGTGGATAAGGTGACTCACTTTTCAGTCTGTGATGTTCTGGCTCCGAGAAGTTCTAGACAATGTAGAGAGTAGAAATCAGGATGACTAGGCTGCTGATATAATCTGTTACTTTTGTTGAATAAAAGAAAACCTGTCACTTTAAAATGTGTTTTGTTTTGAATTTAAAAATTTTTTAATGACTTTCTGTTAGTAAAGTTAGCAAATAAAGGATAATAACCTGAAAGTAATCATTGACTAATCACAATTTTAAAGAAAAATATTTGGGCAAGAAAATGTGAAAAAAGCCTCACAAACTAATTGTATTGGAGGGTACCTTTTGCTAAAATATTTTACCTTTCAGCTACCTCCAAATCCAAAAGGTCTATTTTTAGGCAATTAAGTCATCATAAAGGAGAACACATATTTGAAGGCAGGTGGGCCTGAATTTAAATGCCAGGTCCATCACTTACTGTGAAATCATTAAGATTTTTTCTTAGTACAGGTATATATACCTGTACTTAGATATTTCCTTAGTACAGGTATATATACACAAGCATATTTTTAATGAAATAAGGAGGAAATACTCTCGACAGTCAGTCCTCATGTCTGTAACTGGTTACATGGCCATAGTTGGGATTGATAACTACCTTCTTCTACTACCCATTCTGTATTCCCTTTCCCTTCAGCAAGCGTCTCTGCTGGTCATGGTTTTTTACCTGATGGAGTGAGCCAAACTTTCATTCCTGAAGGGTCTGGGCCGTTTGTAGTCCTGCCTGGATGGAGTTGTTGTAGTTTTCTATTGACCTTAGTTACAGGGCAGGGTAATAGCAAGAGATGCCCTAAGTAATCGCCTGTATTCCAGACATACTCTGTATTCCTTATCTGCACTGTGGAGTAGTAGACTGATTTCATCTTGATAGTCTGGGTCAATCACCTCAATTAACACTATACCTCCCTGCTTAACCTGTATACTTAGAGGTAGGAGGAGCGTGGCCAGGGGGCAATCTTAACTTCCCAGTTCCATAGAGTCATTGTTGTGTCCCCTGGTGGCAGCATTCCTCCCTCTGGAAATAAGACTTCTAGGCCAGCAGAACATAATGTGGCAGGAACAGGAAGCAAAAATTTTGCTAGCCAGGTCACTAGGGGTAATTGCGAGTGGTGCCACTTCCACTTCCACCCCTTGATTCCTGGACGCATGAATACTGGCTCTGAAAGAAACAGTACTGTGATGGTTAATATTATTTGTCAACTTGATTGGATGAAGGGGTGCCCAGATGGCTGGTAAAGTATTGTTCTTGGGTGTGTCTGTGTGGATGTTGCCAGAGGAGATTGACATTTGAGTCAGTGGGCTGGGAGAGGAAGACCTGTCCTCAGTGTGGGTGGACACCATGCAATCAGCTGCCAGCACAGCAAAGACAAAGCAGGAGGAAGAAGGTGGGATAACTTTACCTGCTGGATGCTTCTTCCTGCTCCTCCTCCCTTGGACATCAGACTCCAGGTTCTTTCTTTCTTTCTTTTTTTTTTTTTTTTGCAGAAGAAGTTTTCTTAGTACAGAACAAAATGAAAAGTCTCCCATGTCTACTTCTTTCTACACAGACACGGCAACCATCCGATTTCTCAATCTTTTCCCCACATTTCCCGCCTTTCTATTCCACAAAGCCGCCATTGTCATCCTGGCCCGTTCTCAATGAGCTGTTGGGCACACCTCCCAGACGGGGTGGTGGCCGGGCAGAGGGGCTCCTCACTTCCCAGTAGGGGTGGCCGGGCAGAGGCGCCCCTCACCTCCCGGGCGGGGCGGCTGGCTGGGCGGGGGGCTGACCCCCCCACCTCCCTCCCGGACGGGGTGGCTGCCGGGCGGAGACGCTCCTCACTTCCCAGACGGGGCGGCTGCCAGGCGGAGAGGCTCCTCACTTCTCAGACGGGGCGGCTGCCGGGCGGAGAGGCTCCTCACTTCTCAGACGGGGCGGCTGCCGGGCGGAGGGGCTCCTCACTTCTCAGACGGGGCGGCTGCCGGGCAGAGGGTCTCCTCACTTCTCAGACGGGGCAGCCGGGCAGAGATGCTCCTCACTTCCCAGACGGGGTCGCGGCTGGGCAGAGGTGCTCCTCACATCCCAGACGGGGCGGCGGGGCAGAGGCGCTCCCCACATCTCAGACGATGGGCGGCCGGGCAGAGACGCTCCTCACTTCCTAGATGTGATGGCGGCCAGGAAGAGGTGCTACTCACTTCCTAGGTGGGATGGCGGCCGGGTGGAGACGCTCCTCACTTTCCAGACTGGGCAGCCAGGCAGAGGGGCTCCTCACATCCCAGACGATGGGCGGCCAGGCAGAGACGCTCCTCACTTCCCAGACGGGGTGGCAGCCGGGCAGAGGCTGCAATCTCAGCACTTTGGGAGGCCAAGGCAGGCGGCTGGGAGGTGGAGGTTGTAGCGAGCCGAGATCATGCCACTGCACTCCAGCCTGGGCACCATTGAGCACTGAGTGAACGAGACTCCGTATGCAATCCCGGCACCTCGGGAGGCCGAGGCTGGCGGATCACTTGCGGTTAGGGGCTGGAGACTGGCCTGGCCAACACAGCGAAACCCCGTCTCCACCAAAACCAGTCAGGTGTGGCGGCACGAGCCTGCAATTGCAGGCACTCGGCAGGCTGAGTCAGGAGAATCAGGCAGGGAGGTTGCAGTGAGCCGAGATGGCAGCAGTACAGTCCAGCTTCGGCTCAGCATGAGAGGGAGACCGTGGAAAGAGAGGGAGAGGGAGACCGTGCGGAGAGGGGGAGGGGGAGGGGCCAGACTCCAGGTTCTTTGGCCTTTGAACTCTTGGACTTACACCAGTGGTTTGCCAGGGGGTCTTGGGCCTTCAGCCACAGACGAAAGGCTGCACTGTCAGCTTCCCTGGTTTTGAGGCTTTTGGACTCAGACTGAGCCACTACTGGCTTCTTTCTTCCCCAGCATGCAGGTGGCCTGTCGTGGGACTTTGCCTTGTGATTGTGTGAACCAATTCTCCGTAATAAACTCCCTTTCATATATACACAGCCTTTGGGAGAACTTTGCCCCAGCCCTGCAAAGTATTGTCACCAAGTTGGTATTGTAACTGAAACGCCAAAAGGCCATTCCACCGTTCTATATCAAGCCAGCTGCTTCAGGATAATGGGGAACATAGTAAGACCAGTGAATTCCATGAGCATGAGTCCACTGCCATATTTCTTTGGCTGTGAAGTGCCTTGGTCAGAGGCTATGCTGTGTGGAATACCATGGAGGTGGATAAGGCATTCAATGAGCCCATGAATTTTAGTCTTGGCAGAAGCATTGGGTGCAGGAAAGGCAAATCCATATCTGGAGTATGTGTCTATTCCAGTAAGGACAAACTGCTGCCCCTTCCATGACGGAAGAGGTCCAATGTAATCAAACTGCCACCAGGTAGCTGGTTCATCACTCCGAGGAATGGTGCCGCATCAACGGCTCAGTGCTGGTCCCTGCTGCTTGCAGATTGGGCACTCAATGATGGCCATAGCCAGGTCAGCCTTGGTGAGTGGAAGTCCATGTTTCTCACTCATGCATAACCTCCATCCATGCCTCCATGGCCACTTTGTTCATGAGCCCATTGGGCAATGATAGGGATGGCTGGGGAAAGAGGCTGAGTGGTGTTCACAGAGCAGGTCATCCTATCCTCCTGATTGTTAAAATCCTCCTTTGCTGAGGTCACCCTTGGGTGAGCATTGACATGGGACACAAATGTCTTCAAAGTTTTTGACCATTCAGAGAGGTTGATTTACATACCTCTTCCCCAAATTTCTTTGTCATCAATTTCCAATCATGTTCCTTCCAGGTTCCTGATCATTCAGCCAAACCATTGGCTACAGCACATGAATTCATATAAATGCATGTCTGGCCATTTCTCCTTCCAAGAAAAGTGCACAGCCAGGTGTACTGCTCAAAGTTCTGTCCACTGGGAAGAGTTCCCTTCATCACTGTCTTTTAGGGACATCTCAGAAAGGGGCTGTAGTGCTGCAGCTGTCCACTTTCGGGTGGTGCCTGCATATCATGCCAAACCATCTGTAAACCAGGCCCTAGTTTTCTCTTCCTCTGTCAACTGGCCATAGGGAATTCCCCATAAGGCCATCAGCACAGGCTGGCGGAGAGAAGGCAGGGTGGCAGGAGTGGGGACCATGGGCATTTGAGCCACTTCTTCATGTAACTTACTTATGCCTTCAGGATCTGCTTGAGCCCAATCACGTGTATACCACTTCCATTTGATGACGGAATGCTGCTGTGATAGACAGTTAAGGTCGCATGGTGACTTGATGACCCATAGTCAAATGTTCAGTTTCCACTAAAGCCCAGTAACAGGCCAAGAGCTGTCTCTCAAAAGGAGAGTAGTTATCTGCAGAAGATGACAGGGCCTTGCTCCAACATCCTAGAGGCCTCCACTGTGATTTACCTATGGAGGCCTGCCAAACACTGCAAACAGCATCCTTATCTGCCACTGACACCTCAAGCACCATTGGATCTGCTGAGTCATATGGCCCAAGTGGCAGAGCAGCTTGCACAGTAGCCTGGACCTGTTGCAGAGGCTTCTCCTGTTTTGGACCCCACTCAAAACTAGCAGCCTTTCAGGTCACTTGATAAATGGAATGGAGTAACACACACAAATGAGGAATGTGTTGCCTCCAAAATCCTAATAGGCCCACTAGGCATTGTGCCTCTTTCTTGGTTGTAGGAAGGGCCAGATACAACAACTTATCCTTCACCTTGGAAGGACTATCTCAACATGCCTCACATCACTGGAACTCTGGAAATTTCACAGAGGCAAAAGGCCCCTGAATTTTAGATTTATTTCTCATCCCCTGACATGCAAATGTCTCCCCAGTTGCTACTTTTTTTTTTTTTTTTTGAGATGGAGTCTTGCTCTGTCACCCAGGCTGGAGTGCAGTGGTGTGTTCTCGACTCACTGCAAGCTCTGCCTCCCAGGTTCATGCCATTCTCCTGCCTCAGCCTCCTGAGTAGCTGGGACTACAGGCACCCACCACCATGCCTGGCTAATTTTTTGTGTATTTTTTTTAGTAGAGACGGGGTTTCACTGTGTTAGCCAGGATAGTCTTGATCTCCTGACCTCGTGATCCGCCCGCCTCGGCCTCCCAAAGTGCTGGGATTACAGGCGTGAGCCACCGCCCCTGGCCAGGAATGGAGAAAAAGGCATTTGCCAAATCAATAGCTACATACCAGGTACCAGGAGATGTGTTAATTTGCTCAAGCAATGAAACCACATCTGGTACAGCAGTTGCAATTGTAGTCACCACTTGGTTAAGCTTACAATAATCCACTACCATTTTCCAAGATCCATCTGTCTTCTGAACAGGCCAAATAGGAGAGTTGACTGGGGATGTGGTAGGGATCATCACCCCTGCACCTTTCAGGTCCTTGATGGTGGCACTAGTCTCTGCAATCCTTTCAGGGGTGCAATATTGTTTTTTTATTTACTATTTTTCTAGGTAGAGGCAGCTATAATGGTTTCCCTTTGGCCTTTCTCACCATAATAGCCCTCACTCCACAGGTCAGGGAACCAATGTGGGAATTCTGCCAGCTGGTAAGGATGTCTATTTATTTATGAATTCTGGCACTGGGTAAATGACCACAGGACAGGTCCTGGACCCACTGTAAGTCAGATCTGAGCCAAAATGCCATTAATTACCTGACCTCCATAAGCCCCTACTGAAACTGGAAGGCCAAGGATCCCCTGGAATCAATGTCAGTTCAGAGCCAGTGTCTAGTAATTCCCAAAGGTCTGATTATTCCCCTTTTCCCAGTGCACAGTTACCCTGGTGAAAGGCCAGAGGTCTCTTTGGGAAAGGATGGAAGAAAGATTAACAGTATAAATTTTTAGTAGTATAGTGGGGTCCTTCCTCAAAGGGACCTGGCCTCCTCGTCATTCAAGGGGTTCTGGGTGTGTAAACTGGCTCAAGTGCGGAAACTGATTGAAGGCTATGATTATCTGCTTTTATAACTGAAATTAGACTTTTCTCTACTTGACCTGGAAGTTTTCTTTTTATAGATCAGGTAAAAACGTAGTAGGCTTCCTATCAATTTCACTTCTAGGAATGCCGTGATTAATTAGCCAATACCAGAGCTCTACATGGGTCAGAATATTCTGATTGTGGCTTTGCCTGTGCTGTGCATTATGGTAACTACTCCCACGTTGCCTTGATAATTGAGTGCTACCACTTGGCTCCTACCACTTGGAATCCGATTATTCCCATTGTGTTTAAGTTTTCCAGTTGAGTGACTGTGGTTTCTACTGTAAGATCTAGCACACAGAGAAGAGCAATCACAGAACTCTTTAAAGATGCTGGTGCTCCCCTCACAAATCTATTTCACAGGGTATTGGTGAAGGGTATGCCCTCTGAACCCTCCCGTTTGGGGTGAGTAGGTCTAACGTGAAAAAATCCACTCTAGCATTCCAGTCTCCCAAAGCCTTTGTATCTCTTCCTCTACATTAAACCAAGGGAGATCAGGCATTTACAGCTCACTCACAGTGGGCCATCTTTTGATCCATGTTTCAACTAACTAAGAAATAAATTATTAGAACCTTTTAAAACTCCCTTAGCTGGCTGGGCTTAGTGGCTCAAGCCTGTAATCCCAGCACTTTGGAGGCTGAGGTGAGTGGATCATTTGAGGTCAGGAGTTTGAGACCAGCCTGGCCAACATGGTGAAACCCCATCTCTACTAAAAAATTAAAAAAAAAATAGCTTGGTGTTGTGGCGGGCACCTGTAACCCCAGCTACTTAGGGGGCTAAAGCAGGAGAATTGCCTGATCCTGGGAGGCAGAGGTTGCAATCAGCCGAGATCACACCACTGCACTTTAGCCTGGGCATCAGACTGAGACACCATCTCAAAAACAAAAAAAAAAAGCACAACTCCCTGAGCTGCAACATTAAATGCAGAATCTCTGCCTAGTGGGTCCATATCAAAAAATTTAGCCTGATCCAACTTTATGTTCCTACCACCATTATTTCACACCCTTAATATCCATTCTCATACCTATTCTCCAGGCTTCTGCTTATATAAATTAGAAAACTCAAGTAGTTCTTTTGGAGTATAGTGCACCCCCTCATGGGTCACACTTTGTACCTCACGTTTAGGGGTCTGCTGGGACTTGAGTCTAGTTACAGGTCTAGAAGCAAAGAGAGGTAGTAGGGGTGGGTCCTGAGGAGAATCAGCATTGTCTTGCCTGGCAGCTGCCTCAGGGGAGGCCATCACTGTTGCTCAGCCAGTGCAGGGTTAATCTCAGACAAAGGTGGAGAGGCTGATAGCAGCTTGGGTGAGGGAGGGGATGTTGCCCCCACAGGGGAGTGGGTTGTGAGGGAGGTGAAGGCCATTTCCTCTGGAAAATAAACTCATGGGAATTCAGGAACTTAGTGTCCCCAGCTTCATCAGGGTCCTTCCACACATCCCCATCTGAAGTTGTAGAGTTCCATTATTTCCTAGTCAATGGTCTCACTTTATCAGTAGACACCTGGTGAGGCTGAGTGTGTGCCTTTCATTGTATGTCAGCCACTCACATGATAAGAGCTTGGTCTTATTTTCAGCAATTTCAGCCCTTTGTCTGCAGAAGACAAGACAAACAAACCTGAAAAAAACCCAGGGCAATCTTAGAAGATTGAGGTTAAGTATGCACTTCTGGAGCTGAGATATATAATCTCTGAGCTCATCTTTTTATTTCATCACTTTGTCCAGCAAACTTAGGAGCAGCCAACCAACTTCACTATGTTCCTTGGTTCTCTGTAAACATTCAAAGGTATCATGTATAGAGTCACTAAACTCCTTGCCTCTCAGTAGTGGTGAATCAGGAGTATCAAATGCATTTATTTTGCATAACTCTCTAAACAATGCATGCCAAGGACTACCAGTGCTCTATGCACTCTTAGAAGTAGAGTCGTTTTTTTCCATTTGTTTGTGTCCTCTCTTATTTTCTTGAGCAGTGGTTTATAGTTCTTCTTGAAGAGGTCCTTCACATCCCTTGCAAGTTGGATTCCTAGGTATTTTATTCTCGTTGTAGCAGTTGCAAATGGGGATTCACTCATGATTTGGCTCTCTGCTTATCTGTTGTTGGTGTATAGGAATGCTTGTGATTTTTGCACATTGATTTTGTATCCTGAGAGTTTGCTGAAGTTGCTGATCAGCTTAAGGAGTTTTTGGGCTGAGACAATGGGGTCTTCTAAATATACAATTGTGTCATCTGCAAAGAGAGACAATTTGACTTCTTCTCTTCTATTTGAATACCCTTCATTTCTTTCTCTTGCCTGATTGCCCTGGCCAGAACCTCCAATACTATGTTGAATAGGAGTGGTGAGAGAGGGCATCTTTGTCTTGTGCCGGTTTTCAAAGGGAATGCTTCCAGCTTTTGCCCATTCAGTATGATATTGGCTATGGGTTTGTCATAAACAACTCTTATTATTTTGAGATATGTTCCATCAATACCTAGCTTATTGAGAGTTTTTAACATGAAGGGATGTTGAATTTTATTGAAGGCCTTTTCTGCATCTATTGAGATAATCATTTGTTTTTTGTCATTGTTTCTGTTTATGTGATGGATTATGTTTATTGATTTGCGAATGTTGAACCAGCCTTGCATCCCAGGGATGAAGCCAACTTGATCGTGGTGGATAAGCTTTTTGATGTGCTGCTGGATTAGGTTTGCCAATATTTTATTGAGGATTTTTGCATCTGTGTTCATCAGGGATATTGACCTGAAATTTTCTTTTCTTTATTGTGTCTCTGCCATGTTTTGGTATCAGGATGATGCTGGCCTCATAAAAAATTTCATGCTCATGGATAGGAAGAATCAATATCTTGAAAATGGACAGAATTCCCAAAGTAATATATAGATTCAATGCAATTCCCATCAAGCTACCAGTGACTTTCTTCGCAGAATTAGAAAAAATTACTTTAAATTTCATATGGAACGAAAAAAGAGCCGGTATAGCCAAGACAATCCTAAGCAAAAAGAACAAAGCTGGAGGCATCATGCTACCTGACTTCAAACTATATTACAAGGGTACATAACCAAAACAGAATGGTAATGGTACCAAAACAGATATATAGACCAATGGAACAGAACAGAGACCTCAGAAATAACACTACACATCTACAACCATCTGATCTTCAACAAACCTGACAAAAACAAGCATTGGGGAAAGGATTCCCTATTTAATAAATGGTGCTGGTAAAACTGGTTAACCATATGCAGAAAACGGAAAATGGACCCCTTCCTTACACCTTATACAAATTTTATACCTTATATAAAATTATACAAAATTACACCTTATACAAAATTACACCTTATACGAAAATTAACTCAAAGTGGATTAAAGACTTAGAAGTAAAACTCAAAACCAAAAAAAACCTAGAAGAAAACCTGTGCAATACCATTCAGGACATAGGCATGGGTAACGATTTCATGACAAAAACGCCAAAAACAATTGCAACAGAAGCTAAAATTGACAAATGGGATCTCATTAAACTAAAGAACTTCTGCACAGCAAAAGAAACTATCATCAGAGTGAACAGGCAGCCTACAGAATGAGAGAACATTTTTGCAATCTACCCATCTGATGAAGGTCTAATTTCCAGAATCTACAAGGAACCTAAACAAATTTATGAGAAAAAAACAACCCCATCAAAAACCGAGAGAAGAATATGAATAGATACTTCTCAAAAGAAGACATTTATGCAACCAACAAACATATGAAGAAAAGCTCATCAACTGTGGTCATTAGAGACATGCAAATCAAAACCACAATAAGAAACCATGTCATGCCAGTTAGAATGGTGATTATTACAAAGTCAGGAAACAACCAATGCCGGCAAGACTGTGGAGAAATAGGAACGCTTTTACGCTGTTGGTGGGAGTGTAAATTAGTTAACCATTGTGGAATAGAGTGTGGTAATTCCTCAAGGATCTAGAACCAGAAATACCATTTGACCCGGCAATCCCATTACTGGATGCATACCCGAAGAATTATGAATCATTGTAGTATAAAGACACATGCACACGTATGTTTATTGCAGCACTATTTACAATAGCAAAGACTTGAAACCAACCTAAATGCCCACCAATGATAGACTGGATAAAGAAAACGTGGCACATATACACCATGGAATACTATGCAGCCATAAAAAGAATGTGTTCATGCCCTTTGCATGAATGTGGATGAAATTGGAAGCCATTATTCTCAGCAAAGTAACACAGGATCAGAAAACCAAGCACTGCATGTTCTTACTCCTAAGTGGGAGTTGAAAAATGAGAACACGTGGACACAGGGAGGGGAACATCACACACAGGGGCCTGTCAGGGGATGGGGGGCAAGGGGAGGGAGAGCATTAGGACAAAAACCTAATGCATGTGGGGCTTAAAACCTAGATGATGGGTTGATAGGTATAGCAAACCACCATGGCACATGCGTACTTATGTAACAAACCTTCATGTTCTGCACATGTATCCCAGAACTTAAAGTAAAATGAGAAGAAAAAACAAAGTAAAGTCCTTAGCATTTTTAGGTCTAATCAGATTAGAGAGCTAACTCCAGAAATGACAAAACCAATTAAGGAAATTCATCCTTAAAATTCTGTTCCTCTAGAACCACCCCTGGTACCAACATCTCTTTTAGTCAGAGTTCTCCAGAGGGACAGAACAAATGGGATATATGTATATATAAGAAAGAGTTTATTAGCGAGAATTGGCTCACATGATCACAAGGTGAAGTCCCATGATAGGCCATCTGCAAGCCAAGGAAAGAGAGAAGCTGGTAGTGGCTCAATCCAAGTTCACAAGCCTCAAATCCAGAGAAACCGACAGTGCTTCAGCCTGTGCCTGAAGACCTGATAACCCCTGGAAAGCTGCTGGTGCATGTCCCAGAGTACGGAGGCTGAAGAACCTGGAGTTTAATGTGCAAAGACAGGAGGAACAAAAGCAATAATTCGGCATAAGAAGAAGAAAGAGAACCAGAAGACTCAGCAAGCAAACTTATCCCACCATCATCCACCTGCTCTATTCTTGCCACTCTGGCAGTGGCTAGTGTGCCCACCCACATTGAGGGTGGGTCTTCTTCTCCCAGCCCACTGACACAAATGTCAGTCTCCTCTAGCAATACCCTCACAGATACATCCAGAAACAATACTTTACTACCTATTTAGGCAGCCCTTGGTCCAATCAAGTTGACACCTAATATTTCCTATCATGTTGGCTACTTATATATTTTCTTTGGCGAAATGTCTAAGTATTTTGCCTATTTTTAGATTGAGTAATTTGTCTTTTTGCCTTTGGATTTCAAGAGTGCTTTTTAAAAAATTATTGATTAGAAATCTTTTACACGATATATTATTCATGGAGTCCATTCCAAGATAGCCTAATAGGAACAGCTCCGGTCTGCAGCTCCCAGCATGATCAATGCAGAAGACAGGTGATTTCTGCATTTCCAACTGAGGTACCTGGTTCATCTCACTGGGCCTGGTTGGACAGTGGGTGCAGCCCATGGAGGGTGAGCTGAAGCAGGGTGGGGCATCACCTCACCTGGGAAGTACAAGGGGTCAGGGGATTTCCCTTTCCTAGCCAAAGGAAGCCGTGACAGACTGTACCTGGAAAAAACGGGACACTTCTGCCCAAATACTTCACTTTTCCCAAGGTCTTAGCAACCAGCAGACAAGGAAATCCTCTCCCGTGCCAGGCTCAGTGGGTCCCACGCCCACAGAGCCTTGCTCACTGCTAGCGCAGCAGTCTGAGATCGAACTGCTAGGTGGCAGCCTGGCTGGGGGAGGGGCGTCCACTGTTGCTGAGGCTTGAGTAGGTAAACAAAGTGGCCAGGAAGCTTGAACTGGGCGGAGCCCACTGCAGCTCAGCAAGGCCTACTGCCTCTATAGACTCCACCTCTGGGGGCAGGGCACAGCAGAACAAAAGGCAGCAGACAACTTCTGCAGACTTAAACGTCCCTGTCTGACAGCTCTGAAGAGAGCAGTGGTTCTCCCAGCATGACGTTTGAGCCCTGAGAACGGACAGACTGCCTCCTCAAGTGGGTGCCTGACCCCTATGTAGGCTAACTGGGAGATACCTCCCAGTAAGGGCCGACAGACACCTCATATAGGCGGGTGCCCCTCTGGGACAAAGCTTCCAAAGGAAGAATCAGGCAGCAATATTTGCTGTTCTGCAATATTTGCTATTCTGCAGCCTCTGCTGGTGATACCCAGGCAAACAAGGTCTGGAGTGGACCTCCAGCAAACTCCAACAGACCTGCAGCTGAGGGACCTGACTGTTAGAAGGAAAACTAACAAACAGAAAGAAATAGCATCAACATCAACAAAAAGGACATCTACACCAAAACCCTATCTGTAGGTCACCAACATCAAAGACCAAAGATAGATAAAAACACAAAGATGGGGAGAAAACAGAGCAGAAAAGCTGAAAATTCTAAAAACCAGAGTGCCTCTTCTTCAAAGGATTGCAGTTCCTTGCCAGCAACTGAACAAAGCTGGACAGAGAATGACTTTGATGAGTTGACAGAAGTAGGTTTCAGAAGGTCAGTAATAACAAACTTCTCCGAGCTAAAAATGTATGTTCGAACCCATTGCAAGGAAGCTAAAAACCTTGAAAAAAGGTTAGATGAATGGCTAACTAGAATAAACAGTGTAGAGAAGACCTTAAATGACCTGATAGAGCTGAAAACTATGGCATGAGAACTTCGTGACGCATGCACAAGCTTCAATAGCGGATTCGATCAAGTAGAAGAAAGGGTTTCAGTGATTGAAGATCAAATTAATGAAATAAAGCAAGAAGAGAAGGTTAGAGAAAAAAGATTAAAAAAAAAAAACAACAAAAAACAAACCAAGCCCCCAAGAAATATGGGACTATGTGAAAAGACCAAATCTACATTTGATTGGTATACCTGAAAGTGATGGGGAGAATGGAACCAAGTTGGAAAACACTCTTCCGGATATTATCCAGGAGAACTTCCCCAACCTAGCAAGGCAGGCCAATACTCAAAATCAGGAAATACAGAGAACACCACAAAGGTCCTCCTTGAGAAGAGTAACACAACCCCAAGACACATAACTGTCAGATTCACCAAGTTTGAAATAAAGGAAAAAATGTTAAGGGCAGCTAGAGAGAAAGGTCAGGTTACCCACAAGGGGAAGCCCATCAGACTAACAGCACATCTCTCTGCAGAAACCCTACAAGCCAGAAGAGAGTGGGGGCTAATATTCAACATTCTTAAAGAAAAGAATTTTCAACCCAGAATTTCATATCCAGTCAAACTAAGCTTCATAAGTGAAGGAGAAATAAAATCCTTTACAGACAAGCAAATGCTGAGAGATTTTATCACCATCAGGCCTGCCTTATAAGAGCTCCTGAAGGAAGCACTAAACATGGAAAGAAACAACTGGTACCAGCCACAGCAAAAACATGCCAAAGTTAAAGACCACTGATGCTAGGAAAAACCTGCATCAATTAACTGTCAAAATAACCAGCTAACATCATAATGACAAGATCAAATTCACACATAACAATATTAACCTTAAATGTAAATGGGCTAAATGCTCCAATTAAAAGACACAGACTGGCAAATTGGATAAAGAGTCAAGACCCATCACTGTGCTGTATTCAGGTGACCCATCTCATGTGCAGAGACACACATAGGCTCAAAATAAAGGGATGGGGGAAGATCTACCAAGCAAATGAAAAGCCAAAAAAGAAAAAAAAAAAAAAAGCAGGGGTTGCCATTCTAGTCTCTGATAAAACAGACTTTAAACCAAAAAAAAGTCAAAAGAGACAAAGAAGGCCATTATATAATGGTAAAGGAATCAATTCAACAAGAAGAGCTAACTATCCTAAATATATATGTACCCAATACAGGAGCACCCAATTCATAAAACAAGTCCTTAGAGACCTACAAAGAGACTTAGATTCCCACACAATAATAATGGGAGACTTTAACACTCCACTGTCAATATTAGAAAGATCAACGACACAGAAGGTTAACAACGATACTCAGGAATTGAACTCAGCTCTGCACCAAGTGGACCTAATAGACATCTACAGAACTCTCCACCCCAAATCAACAGAATATACATTCTTCTTAGCACCACATCATACTTATTCCAAAATTGACCACATAGTTAGAAGTAAAGCACTCTTCAGCAAATGTAAAAGAACAGAAATCACAACAAACTGTCTCTCAGACCACAGTGCAATCAAATTAGAACTCAGGATTAAGAAACTCACTCAAAACCACACAACTACATGGAAACTGAACAACCTGCTCCTGAATGACTACTGGGTAAATAATGAAATGAGAGCAGAAATAAAGATGTTCTTTGAAACCAATGAGAACAAAGACACAATGTACCAGAATCTCTGGGACACATTTAAAGCAGTGTGTAGAGGGAAATTTATAGCACTAAATGCCCACAAGAGAAAGCAGGAAAGATCTAAAATTGACAACCTAACATCACAATTAAAAGAACTAGAGATGCAAGAGCAAACACATTCAAAAGCCAGCAGAAGGCAAGAAACAACTAAGATCAGAGCAGAACTGAAGGAGATAGAGACACAAAAAACCCTTCAAAAAATCACTGAATCCAGGAGCTGGTGTTTTGAAAAGATCAACAAAATTGATAGACTGCTAGCAAGACTAATAATGAAGAAAAGAGAGAAGAATCAAATAGACACAATAAAAAATGATAAAGGGGATATAACCACAGATCCCACAGAAATACAAACTACCATCAGTGGATACTATAAACACCTCTCCACAAATAAACTAGAAAATCTAGAAGAAATGGATAAATTGCTGGACACATACACCCTCCCAAGACTATACCAGGAACAAGTTGAATCTCTGAATACACCAATAACAGGCCCTGAAATTGAGGCAATAGTTAATAGCCCACCAACCAAAAAAATTCCAGTATCAGACGAATTCACAGCTGAATTCTACCAGAGGTACAAAGAGGAGCTGGGTACTATTGCTTCTGAAATTATTCCAATCAATAGAAAAAGAGGGACTCCTCACTAACTGATTTTATGAGGCCAGCATCATCCTGATACCAAAGCCTGGCAGAGACACAACAAAAAAAAGAGAATTTTAGACCAATATCCCTGATGAATATCGATGCGAAAATCCTCAATAAAATACTGGCAAACTGAATACAGCAGTACATCAAAAAGATTATCCACCACGATCAAGTTGGCTTCATCCCTGGGATGCAAGGCTGGTTCAACATTTGCAAATCAATGAATGTAATCCATCACATAAACAGAACCAACGACAAAAACCACATGATTATCTCAATAGATGCAGAAAAGGCCTTCGACGAAAGTCAACAGCACTTCATGCTGAAAACTCTTAATAAACTAGGTATTCATGGAACGCATCTCAAAATATTAAGAGCTGTTTATGACAAACCCACAGCCAATATCATACTGAATGGGCAAAAACTGGAAGCATTCCCTTTGAAAACCCGCACAAGAGAAGGATGCCCTCCGTCACCACTCCTATTCAACATAGTGTTGGAAGTTCTGACCAGGGCAATCAGGCAAGAGAAAGAAATAAAGGGTATTCAATTAGGAAAAGAGGAAGTCAAATTGTCCCTGTTTGCAGATGACGTGATTGTATATTTAGAAAACCCCATTGTCTCAGCCCAAAAACTCCTTAAGCTGATAAGCAATTTCAGCAAAGTCTCAGGACTTGTATGTTTGGTGGAATTTGGCTGTGAATCTATCTGCTCCTGTTTTTTCTTTTTTTTTGGGGCGGGGGTGCGGGTAGAATTTTTAGTACTGAGTCAATCTCCCTACACATTATTGGTCTGTTCAGGCTTTCTATTTCTTCCTAGTTCAACCTTGGGAGGTTGTATGTTTCCAGGCATTTATCCATTTCCTCTAGGTTTTCTAGTTTGTGAGCACAGAGTTGTTCATAGCAGTCTCTGATGATCTTTTAAATTTCTGTGTCAGTTGTAATATCTCCTTTTTCATTTCTGATTGTATTTATTTGAACCTTCTCTTTTCTTGGTTAGTCTAGCTAACAATCTATCAATTTGTTTTATATTTTCAAAGAACCATTTTTTCATTTTACTGTTCTTTTGTATTTTTTTTTTTTTTTTTGTCTCCATTTTGTTTAGTTTTGCTCTGATCTTTGTTATGTCTTTTCTTCTGCTAGCTTTGGGTTTGGTTTGTTCTTGTTTTTCTAGTTGCTTGAAGTGTGTCACTAGGTTGTTAATTTGTGATCTATTTTCTAATGCAGGCATTGAAGGCTATCTATAAACTTTCCTTTTAGCACTGCTTTGGCTGTACCCCAGATTTTTCTGGCATATTGTGTCTCCATTTTCATTTGTTTCAAAAATTTTTTAAATTTGTCTTAATTTTGTCATTGACCCAAAGATTGTACAGGAGCAGGTAATCTAGTTGCCATGTGTATATATAGTTGTGAGAGTTCCTCTTGCAATTGGTTTCTAGTTTTTTTTCACTATTATCTGAGAAGATACTTGATGTGATTTTGATTTTTAAAAATTTATTGAAGCTTTTTTGTGGCCTAACATATATAGTCTTCTTGGAGAATGTTTAGTGTACTGATGAGAAGAATTTATGTTCTGCAGTTGTTAGATAGAATGCTCTGTAAATGTCTGTTGTGTCCATTTGGTCTAAAGTACAATAGTCCAGTAATATTTGTTTTATGAATCTGGGTGCTCCAGTGTTGGCTAAATATATACTTAGGATTGTTATGTCTTCTTGTTGAATTGATCCCTTTATCATTATATAATGACCTTCTTTATCTTTTTTTTTTTTTTACTGTTTCTGATTTAAAATCTGTTTTATCTAATATAAGTATAGCTACTCCTGCTTACTTTTGGTTTCCATTTGTGTGGAATATCTTTTCCCATCCCATTACCTTCAGTCTATTAAGTGTCTTTATGAGTAAGGTGAGTTTCTTACAAGCCATCTATAGTTGATTCATGTTTTTATATCCATTCTGCCAAACTGAATGTTTTAAATAGAGCGGTTAATCCATTTAAATGCAAGGTTAATATTGGTATGTGAAGTTTTGTCCCTGTCATAATGTTAATTGTTATCTAGTTGCTTTGCAGATTCTTTATTTACTTTTCCTCTGTTTGTTTTGTCTTTGTGGTCTGGTGTTCTGTCATGTTGCCATTTGATTTCTTTCTTTTCTTCATTTGTGTAATTGCTCTATAAGACATATGAGTTTTATACTTTCATGTGTTTTTATGATGGTGATTATTGACCTTTTGTTTCCATGTTTAGAACATTTTGAACCTTTCTTGTAGGACTGGTGTAGTGGTGACAAATTCCCTCAGTATTTGCTTGTTTGGAAAAGACTATTTCTCCGTCTCTTAATGAAGCTTATTCTAGCAGGATATAAAATTTCTGCTTGACAGTTTTTTTCTTTAAGTATTTTGAAAATAGAATCTCAATCTTTTCTGGCTTGTAGGGTTTCTGCTGGGAAATCTGCTATTAGTCTGATAGGGTTTCCTTTATAGGTGATTACATGCTTTTCTTTTGCTGATATGAAAAATTTTTCCTTCACGTTGAACTTAGACAGTCTGATGACTAAATGTCATGGTGAAGTCCTTCTTGCAATGTATTTTCCTGGAGTTTTCTGAGGCTTTTACAGCTCCATGTCTAGATCTCTTGCTGGACTAGGGAAGTTTTCCACAATTATATCCTCAAATAGATTTTCCAAACTTTTGCCTTTTTCTTCTCTCTCAGGAATACCTATGATTTGTAGGTTCAGATGTTTTACATAGTCTCATTGTTCCTGGAAGCCTTCATTTTTAAAAATCCTCTTTTGCTTTATTTTTGTCTGACTGAATTAATTTGAAAGATCTGTTTTCAAGTTCTGAAATTCTTTCTTCTGCTTGGTCTAGTCTACTGTTGAAGGTTTTTGTGTTTTGTTTTGAGATGGAGTCTTGCTCTGTCACCCACGCTGGAGTGCAGTGACACGATCTTGGCTTGCTGCAACTCCTTTCTCCTTTCAAGTGGTTCTCCTGCCTCAACCTCCCAAGTAGCTGGGACTACAGGCATGTGCCACCGTGCTTATTTTTGTATTTTTAGTAGAGATGGGGTTTCGCCGTGTTGGCCAGGCTGGTCTTGAACACCTGGCCTCAGCCTCCCAAAGAGTTGGGATTACTGGCGTGAGCCACTGCACCTGGCCTATTGTTGAAGGTTTAAACTATATTTTGTTATTCCTTCTATGAATTTTTCATTTCCAGAAGTTCTTTTTTTTTTAATCTATCACTTCGGTAAATTTCTCATTCATATCCTGAATTGATTTTCTGATTTTTTTTTGTATTGGTTTTCAGATTTCTCTTGGATCTCACTGAGCATCTTTAAAATAAATATTTTGAAGTCTTTATTTTGTATATCCAAAATTTCATTTGGAAAAATAAAAAATGAAAAAGTATAAAACAAAACAAAAAATTTTCATTTTGGTTAGAATATACTGTTGGAGAGTTACTGTGATACTTAGTGGGTGCTGTAACATCCTGTTTTTTCATACTTCCAGAATTGTTATGCTGGCTCCTTCTCATCTGAAGAAATTCATTTCTTGTTATTTTTGAATTTACTGTCGTTTAGACATGACTTGTTTTTATTCCCCTTGAGTATGTGACTGCAATGTACATTGAACAGGGTTGTTCGGCTTTGCTTCTGGGTGCTTTCAGTGGCAAAAATGCTGTATAAATTCCTTCTTTATAGATAGCCTCAGTGTGGTGAGGTTATCAAATGTTGGTTGTAGTAGTTGTGTACTGGGCATGTGAGCAGGCTTATGACCTCCTGAAGAACTGGAGTTGCAGAGGTCTTGAGAAGCTTATCTCATTCACAAGCACTGTGTACTTGTGTCAGCATATTTTGTATTGGATTGTGTAGTTCAACCTCCAGGTCAGTTACTGATACTTGTAGGTAACAGCTAGCTGCAGCAGTAGCAGTAGGAATTATGCTTTGTTAACGAGGAGATCTTTGTTTACTGGGAGAAGCTCTCTGATGCTTCTGGCAAGGGACTGGTCTGTGAAAGCACAGTGGCCTGGGCTCCATGCTCATCCTCAGGGAGGTGACGGTAAAGCTGGGTAGAGCTGGACCAGGCAGGCCTGCCCTCTGGTCCTCCAATGGTGGGTGCAAGCACCAGCCCTGACAAAGGTGGCAGAGGAGTCATTGGACCCCTGGTGAAACACACTGAGCTCTCTGCAGGGCAGATAGGGGGTGTCCCAGTACCATGGCCTCAGCATACATTAATGTGATTTATTTCCCTGTCATGTTTCCATCCAGATGCTCTGGATATTCAGTTTGGTCAGACACAGCTGTTTATTACTAAGCTGCAATGTAGCCCAGAACTGTAGGAGATGCCTACCTTGTGGCTCAACACTAAGCCTCTGTGCTGTCTGGAAATGGCTGCAGTGCAGTCTTCCCCCACAGTCCCAAACACACAGCTCCTTGGCCCTCCTGTTCTCCTTCACAGTTCTGTGCAGAGAGAGGAAGGGGTTCTGCCTTTCTTGCTAATCTGGGCCCAGAGGTCACATTGCCCATGGGGATGCAGTCTCCCCTCACAGGCCCAGGCAGGCTGCCCCCTCTGCTTGCTTGTGCTAACTTCTTGTTGGCAGCGACAGTCGCGTCAGCAGTTGTGAGCAGAGAGAGAGGAGAAATCTCCTTCTCTATGTCAGGCTCAAGTACTGAGGCTGCTCAGCTGGTGAAATGGGATTTCATTCCTCACTTGCAGAGCCCAGCATAGAGTGTGTCTGTTGGAAGGAGGGCTGCCAATCACAGCCCCAAGCAGGGAGCTTTTGGGTACTGGGAAACATACACTTTGGTTTCCTTTGTCCCAAGAGCTGTCCCGTTGGTGTGGTGTACTTTCCCTTCCATTAGGAGCAGCGCTCCACGGAGGGTTAGATGACTGGGAACCCTGAAGCTCCCTTGGGTCCAGACACTACTGTGCCATTACCACCCTCCTAGCGAGTGCTAGCGAACGTCTATGGGAGCTTCCAGGACATGGAAACACAAGGGCTGAGGTTCTTTGGGCAGAATTCAGTCCCCCAACAGCTGCGCCCCTACAATGGTGCCTCGCTGCAGACACTCGAGTCTGGGGAAAAGGCAAGTGCCCCTGCAAAAGATCACTGTCTAGTGTAATGCCCTCAAGAAGTCCCCAAATCACCGCCCTGACTAATGTCTGGGATCATGAGTGCAGAGAGCTCTCCTACTGTTTACATACCAGCAGTCTGCCATGGAGGTGAGGGGAGCCCAAACCCTCCCACTTACCCTTTCCACCCAATGCCAGGTCCCTCAGGGATTCCAGACAACGTCTGATGGCCCGACTTGGCCCCTTCCTTCCTTCTTTTTTTGTGCCTCAGTTTATTTTTCCCCATGAGCTCTCCATTGGGTTCTAGTACTCTCTCCTTGATATTCTATTCGAGTTACGATAATCTGTTTGTAATTTTGGTTCTTATTTCGGAGGAGAACTGGCAAATAATATTTCTAGTCAGTCATCTTGAACCTGTCTCCAGTTTTTTTTTTCTTACAGATCATGCTCTTGATGTAGCTTAAAAAGTTTGAACAGCCCAAAGCCATGCAAATTTTCTTAAAATATTTTATTCCAAGAATTTTTAGTTTATGTTTAATTAGTCTTGTGTTGAGAGCTAAGATAAGTTTTGAGTTAATTTTTGTGTTATTGTGTGAGTTAACAGTCTAAATTCACTGTTTTGTATGTACATTTCAATTGTTAAAAAGATTATCCTTTCCCTGTTGAATTGTCTTGGCACCTTTGTCTTAGTTTTAACCAATAGACCAAAAATATTTATGGTTGGACTCTTAACTTAGTTTAATTGACCTAAATGTCTCTCTGCATGCCAACTACACTGCCTGGATTACAGTAGCTTTATAGAGAGTTTTGGAATGGGGTAGTATGAGCTTTGCTTTGTTTTCAAGATTATTTTGCTATACTGAATCCTTTGCATTTTTGCATACATTTTGGGATCAGCTTGTCAGCATCTGTAAAATAGCTTGCTGGAATTTTGATAGGGATTGTGTTGAATATTTGGATCAATTTGAGGAGAATAGCCATGTTGATAATCTTGTCTTCCAATTGACAAACATGGCATATCTCTCCATTTATGTAGATATTTAATTTTTCTCAGCAATGTTTTAACATTTTGTGTGTACAAGTCTTGCATATCTTTTGTTAAATGTATTCTTTTTTTGTTTGTTTTTGAGACAGAGCCTCACTCTGTCACCCAGGCTGTAGTGCAGTAGCACAATCTCAGCTCACTGCCACAATCTCAGCTCACTGCAACCTCTGCCTCTTGGGTTCAAGCAATTCTCCTGCCTCAGCCTCCTGAGTTGCTGGGATTCCAGGTGGGCACCACCACGCCCGGCTAATTTTTGTATTTTTAGTAGGGACAGGGTTTCACCATGTTGGTCAGGCTGGCCTCGAACTCCTGGCCTCCCGCTTTGGCCTCCCAAAGTGCTGGGATTACAGGCATGAGCCACCATGCCTGGCCAAATGTATTCTTAAGTATTTTTTTTTATGTCACTGTGAATGGAATTTTTTTAAAAAATTTATTTTTGGGTTTATAACTAATATTTAGAAGTACAATTAATTTTTGTATATTGAAATTTTGTCCTGCAACTTTGCTGAACTTACTGGTTTTGTTAAATAAAGATTTAACCCAATCTTTATGTATTTTATTTATTCATTCATTCATTTATTTATTTTTTTCTTGCCAGATTACCCTGGCTAGAATTTCCAGTACAATGATAAATAGGAGTGATGAGAGCAGACATCTTTGCCTTATTCCCTATAGTACAGTAGGGGGAAAGCTTTAGGTTTTTTGTGGATTTCTTCTATCGAGCAAGGAAGTTTCTTTTTATTTCTTATTTGTTGATAGTTTTCTTCTAAAATCACGGATGGATCTTGGATTTTGCCAAGTGATGTTCATGCATTTATTAAGAGGATTGTGTGAGTGCATTTTTAATTCTAATTAGTAAGGTGTCATACGAATTAATATTTGGATGTTAAACCAATCTTGCATTTGGGTTTAAATACCAATTGGTCATGGTACATTCTCTTTTTTTATATGTTCTTGGATTTGATTTACTAATATTTTGTTGAAGATTTTGTATGTATAGTCATGAAGAATATTGGTCTGTAGTGTTCTTGTGATATTTTTGTCTGGCTTTGCTATCAG
The DNA here is from genome assembly GCF_000001405.40 of Homo sapiens. NCBI lineage: Eukaryota > Metazoa > Chordata > Mammalia > Primates > Hominidae > Homo > Homo sapiens. The sequence goes on along the minus strand of NC_000004.12, from coordinate 94,137,821 downwards.
AGTATTATTGACTTCATACAATATGTTGGAAAGCTTCTCCTCTATCTTGAGAGAGTTTATGAGGGATTGATATGCTTTCTTCTTTAAATGTCTGGTAGAATTCACCGGTGAGGTTATCTATGCTTGAGCTTTATTTTTGTGGGAAGGTTTTAAACTACAAATTCAATTTCTTTTTTACTGTGGGTATATTCATATTTTCTATTGAGTCAATTTTAGTGATATTTTTCTTTTTTCAAAAATTTTTTTTCCTCTATTTCTTTTCTTTTCTTTCCTTTTTCTTTTTCTTTTTCTTATTTTTATTTTGAGACAGCGTGTTACTCTGTCTCCTAGTCTGGAGTACAGTGGTGGAATCTCAGCTCACTGCAACCTCCACCTCCCAGGCTCAAGCAATTCTCATGCCTCAGCCTCCCGAGTAGCTGGGATTACAGGCATGCACCACCACACCCAGCTAATTTTTGTATTTTTAGTGGAGACAGGGTTTCACCATGTTGCCCAGCCTGGTCTTGAACTCCTGGCCTCAAATGACCTGCCCACCTTGAATTCCCAAAGTGCTGGGATTACAGGTGTTAGCCACTGCACCTGGTCTAAGTTAATTTATTGCCATAAAATCATTCACAGTATTTCTCTATCATCATTAGTGATGTCTCCTCTTTCCTTTCTGATTTGGTCATTTGTATCTTCCTTTTTCTCGGTCACTTTTTCTTCTCTTCGAATATGAAGATAGTACCTCACAGATTGAACTGTTTGACCTCCTTTTTTATTTTCTAGAAGAATTTTGTTAAGAATTAATGTCGTATTTTAAACGTTTGGTAGAATTTATCAGTGAGGCCTCTTGGACCTGGGCTTTTCATTGTGTAAAGATTTTTAATTACTAGTTCAATTTCCTCACTTGTTAGGTTTATTTAGCTTTTCTACATATTTTAGTTATTCCTGATTTAAGCTGTGATAAATTAAATTATGATCTCATAAATTGTGATATATAATGCTTGCTTTCCTTCCTTCCTTCCTTTGTTTCCTTCTTTCCCTTTCCTTCCTCCCTTCCTCCCTCCCTCCTCCCTCCCCCCCTTCCCTTCCTCCCTCCTTCCTTTCTTCTTTTCTTTCTTTCTTTCTCTCTTTCTCTCTTTCCTTTCTCTCTTTCTTTCCTTTTTTTTCTTTTGATTTCTTTCTTTCTTTCTTCTCGCTCTGTTGCTCAGGCTAGAGTGCAGTCCTGTGATCATGGCTCACTGCAGCCTCACCTTCCCAGGCTCAAACAATCTTCCCACCTCAGCCTCCTGAGTTGCTGGGACTACAGGTATGAGCCACCATGCCTGGCTAATTTTTTAATTTTTTGTGGAGTTGGAGTCTCACTATGTTGCCAGGGCTGGTTTCAAACTCCTGGGCTCTAGTGATCCTCCCACCTCAGCCTCTCAAATTGCTGGGATTACAGGCAAGAGCCACCATGCCTGCCCAGGTTTTCATTTTTATTCAGCTCAAAATATTTTCTAATTTCTCTTGTGATTTCTTATTTGATTCATAGGTTATTCAGATGTACATTTTAAAATTTCTAAATATCTGCAGATTTCCCATATTTTCTCCTGTTTATGACTTATTTAATTCCCTTATGATCAGATAATATATTTTGTATGATATCAATTTTTTCTATTCTTATTTTTATTTTTACAGATGATGTCTTGCTGAATTGCCCAGGCTGGAGTGCAATGGCTGTTCATACGTACGATCATCATAGTGCACTACAGCCTGGAACTTCTGGTCTCAAATGATCCTCCCACATCAGTCTCTTGAGTAGCTGGGACTACAGGTGTGTGCCACTGTGCCTGGCTGATATCAATTCTTTTAAATTAACTGAGACTTGCTTTGTGAACTAACATATGGTCTGTCCTGGGAAATGTTCCATGTGCACTTGAGCATCATTCTGTTGTTGTTGGCTGGAGTTTGCTGTAAATGTCAGGTCAAGATTGTTGGCAGTATTATCCTGATCTTCTATATCCGTGTTGATTTTTCTATCTAGTTGCTCTATCCATTTTTGAATGGGATTTTGAGTCCTCCATTATTACTTTTGAAGTGTCTCTTTCTCCCTTTAATTCTTTAAATTCATATACTTTGGGGCTCAGTTGTTAGATGTGTATGTTTATAATTGTTATATCTTTCTGATGTATTTATGCTTTTATCATTATAAAATGCTACTCTTTGTCTTTAGTAATACCTTTTGTCTTAAATTCTGTTCTGTGTGGTATTAGCATACCCACTCCACTTCTCTTGTGGCTATTAATTGTATAGCATGTATAGCATTTTTTTCATCCTTTTACTTTTTTTTTTTTTTTGAGATGGAGTTTGACTCTGTTGTCCAGGCTGGAGTGCAGCGGCACAATCTCCACTCACTGCAACCTCCACCTCCTGGGTTAAATCAGTTCTCCTGCCTCAGCCTCCCGAGTAGCTGGGATTACCAGTATGCGCCACCACACCCAACTAATTTTTTTTTTTTTGGTATTTTTAATAGAGATAGGGTTTCACCAGGTTGGCCAGACTGGTCTCAAATTCTTGGCCTCAGGTGATCCACCCGCCTAGACCACCCAAAGTGCTGGAATTACAGGCATGAGCCACTGTGCCAGGTCCATCCTTTTAACCTGTTTGTGTCTTTAAATCTAAAATGTGTCTCTTATAGGCAGCATACAGTTGGATCTCTCTCTCTCTCTGTCATTTTGTACCATTGGAATGTTGGTTAACTTTTGTTTGTAAAGTGCAGAAATTATTAATTTCGAATTGTGAAGATTAAATTGGATTGTTAGAAGGCTTGTTAAAACAGTGATTGCTGGGCTTCACCTCCAGCATTTCAGATTGAGTAAGTCTGAGAATTTTCATTTCTAACAAGTACCCTGCTGATTATGTAAGTGCACTAGTAGCCACACTTTGAGAATCATGGAAATAAGATGATACATTAAAATATCTAATGCAGTTCTAGGTACCTCAAAATTGTTGATTCTATTCTGTTGCTTCTATTCTATTACTCAAAAGTCATTCATTCTTTGAAAAACATACTCTGTTGTCATAGTTTTGGTGTTGGCTCTAACGTTTATATTGATATTTTTGAGGTTTATTAAAAACAAATAAGCCTATGTATAAAGAAATTAGAAACACACCAATTGCAAAAGATACAATTTGTAAAAGATCAATTTTTATCCTTTCTGGTATAAGACATTCATGTAACTTGAGCTCTATATAAGATCATATAACTAAAATTAATGTTCTTATAGTAGATAAATCTAAATCAATTAATCATAAAATAGGAAAACGTTTTAATTGAAGGGAAAATAATGATAGCAAATACAACAAAGATTGGTGCTAAATTGTGTCAATGGTGTTAATATGCAGATTTGATACTTTTACTTTGAAAATACGTTGAAATTCTTATTATTTAATGTTTGATATAATTAATTCACATTCAAAGGATGATACATTTGTATAAACTTGAACTTTTATCACCCAGAGCTGGGGAATTTCCAGACTTTTACATGCAAGCTGTTTTTAAAGAAAAAGATAAATCTCCCTTTAATCCAATGTCTTTGAAAGATTATAAGGGGTTCACTACTTAAAAAAACCAGTTTAAAAAATAAATAAATGAAGATCTTGGATTAAATACATTATTTTCTTGTTAAAAGTTGGTGCAGAGCCTTTTCATATTTTTTGTTTCATTTTAAATATTAACATATAGAAACAGTGATTCTGCAAGAGGGCATTTTTTTGCTGGTTGGTTTCTCAAATGTGAAAATGAATCTAAAACATAATATCAGTGTCTACAATGTATGTTAGTGATATTTGTTATTTTAAAGTAGAATTTATCCAAAATTGGGTTATAATAATTAGTTCTACTGTATACACTTAATAAGCAGTCATGTGTTGCTGAATGACAGGGTTACATCCTGAGAATTGTGTAGTTAGGTGATTTTGTCATGTGGACATCAATCATAAGGTGTACTTACACGAACTTAGATGGCATAGTCCATTACACACCTAGGCTATATGGCATAGTCTATTGCTCCTAGGCTACAAATCTGTATAGTATGTCACTGAACTGAATACTATAGGCAATTATAACACAATGGTAAGTATTTGTGTATCTAAACACAGAAAGGGTACAGTAAAAATATGATATAAAAGTTTAAAGATGGTAGAACTGTATAGGGCACTTACCATAAATGGAGCTTACTAGACTGGAAGTTGCTGGGTGTGTTAGGCCATTATTGCATTGCCATAAAGAAATACCTGAGGCAGGGCGCAGTGGCTCATGGCTGTAATCTCAGCACTTTGGGAGGCCGAGGCAGGTGGATCACCTGACGTCGGGAATTCGAGACCAGCTTGGTCAACATGGTGAAACCCTGTCTCTACTAAAAATACAAAAAATTGGCTGGGCGCTGTGGCTCACGCCTGTAATCCCAGCACTTTGGGAGGCCGAGGCAGGCGGATCACGAGGTCAGGAGATTGAGACCATCCTGGCTAACACGGTGAAACCCCGTCTCTACTAAAAATACAAAAAAATTAGCTGGGTGTGGTGGAGGGCACCTGTAGTCCCAGCTACTCGGGAGGCTGAGGTAGGAGAATGGCGTGAACCTGGGAGGCAGAGCTTGCAGTGAGCCGAGATCGCACCACTGCACTCCAGCCTGGGCGACAGAACAAGACTCCATCCCCCCCCCCCCAACAAAAATAAATCAAAAAAGCAAAGAGTTAACTGGACATGGTGGCATGTGTCTGTAATCCCAGCTACTTGGGAGGCTGAGGCAGGAGAATTGCCGGAACCTGGAAGGCTGAGGTTGCAGTGAGCTGAGATCAAGCCACTGCACTCCAGCCTGGGCGACAGAGGGAAACTCCATCTCAAACAAAACAAAACAAAACAAAACAAAACAAACCCAAAATCTGAGACTGGGTAATTTATAAAGAAAAGAGGTTTAATTGGCTCTCAGTTCTGCAGGCTATACAGGAAGCATGGTGCCGGGCATCTGCTTGGCCTTGGGTGAGGCCTCAGGAAGCTTACAATCATGGTGGAAGGCAAAGAGGGAGGCAGTGTATTATATGGCAAGAGTGGGAGCAAGAGACAGTGGTGGGGGGTGGGGGGAAAATGTGCCCCACACTTTTTATGTTTTTTACATTTTATTTATTTATTTATTTTGAGACAGGGTCTTGCTTGGTTGCCCAGGCTGGAGTGCAGTGGGATGATCTTGGCTCACTGAAGTCATGAACTTCCAGGCTCAAATAATCCTCCCACCTCAGCCTCCTGAGTAGCTGGGACTACAGGTGTGCAGCACCAAGACCGGCTATTTTGTTTTATTTTTGTAGAGACAAGGTATTGCCATGTTGCCCAGGCTGGTATCAAACTCCTGAGCTCAAGCCATCTGCGCAACTCAGCCTCCCAAAGTGTTGCAATTACAGGCGTCAGCGACAGCTCCTTGCAGCCACACACTTTTCAACAACCAGATCTCATGAAAACTCTCTCACTATTGTGAGGACAGCACCACATCATGAGAGATCTGCCTCCAAGATCCAATGACTTCCCACCAGGCCTCACCTCCAACATTGGGGATTACAATTCAACATGAGATTTAGAGGGGAAACATCCAGACTATATCACTGGGTGAGTCAGTGAGTGATTGGTGTGTGAATGTAAGGGCCCAGGACATCACTGTACATTAGCATAGACTTTAGAAACACTGTACACCTAAGCTACACTAAATTTGTAAAAATAGTAACTGTGCTACAACTTTATGACAGCTAGACGTCACTAGGTGATAGGAATTTTTCGGCTCCGTTATAATCTTATGAGACCACTGTCGTATATGCGGTTCATCATTGACTGAAATGTCATTCTGTAGCCCGTGACTGCATTTCCGTATCAGATTCTTATTACTATTCCTGTATTACTAATATTATTTTCAAGAGACTCAGAGGTGAAGCACACAGATTTATGAGTTAGGACTACTGGCTAAAACCTTACTCTACCATTTCCTAATTGTGTGGCTTTGGGCAGTTAACCTCTCTCTGTGCCTCATTTTCCTATATGTAAAATAAGGATAAAATAGAACCCACATTGTAAGGTTGTTGTAAGGATTAAATGAACTAATTTAGGTATGTATACCACTTAAAACTGCATCTATATTTTTTTGTAAGCACTCTCTAAGTCCCAGCTATTATTGCTGCTGCAAAAACAGCAGTACAGTAGTTCCCCCTCTGTGCGGTTTTGCTTTCTGCTGTTTGTTACCTGTGATCAACTGTAGTCTGAAAATATTAAATGAAAAATTGTAGAAATAATAAATTCTGTGGTCTTCCATTGCACACTGTTCTGAATAGTGTGATAAAATCTTTTGCTATCCTGCTGTCTCCCTCCCAGGACGTGAATCATCCCTTTCCCCAGCATATCCACACTGCGGCTGCGACCGGCTGCCTGCCTGTTATTTGCTTTAGCCCTCTCAGCAGATTGATTGACACAGCATCACAGTTGTTGTATTCAAGCAACTCTTATTTTGCTTAATAATGGCCCTGCAGTGCAGGAGAAGTGATGCTGGAATATTATTAGAATTGTTTTTTATTTTATTGTATTTTATTATTAGTTATTGTTAATCTCTTACTATGTCTAATTTAGAAATTAAACTTTTTCATAGGTATGTATGTATAGGAAAAACATGGTCTATATAGGATTCAGTACTATCTATGGTTTCAGGCATCCACCCGGAGTCTTGGAACATATCCTCCACGAAGAAGGGGGTACTACTCTACTAATACTGCTACCATGTTTGTGTAGTGCTTTAGACATTACATAAGGCTCTCATACCTGAGACCTAAAGAAATCCTGTGGTGTAGGCGTCCCAATGTGGGACACCTTTCCTAATTCACCATCAGGGTAACAGCTGAAACTCCTATAACAAAAGACAGGTTAACAAGGGAAAAGCATAACACATTTACGTTATCAAAGTTTTATGTGACACAGGAGCCTTCAGAAATGAAGACCCAAAGACCCAGGGAAAACTGTTTATTTCTATGGTTAGGTTTGATGAAAAATAAACAGCAGTGTAGAAATATGATTGGATAAAAGAGTATGATCTAATGGTAATAGATTGAGCAGGGGAAACCCAGGAAGGCCTGTCTATTCAGATTCTTCTTGGCCTCTCTGTGCAGGATTCCTTTCCCTAAAGTATGGGGCGGGCAGGTCAAGGCTGCAGTGAGCTGTGATGGCGCCATTGCACTGTAGAGTGAGACCCTAGACCTTTTTTTTTTAAAAAAAAAAAAAGTATGGGGCAGGACCTCCCTGGAATGAGGGTCTTATGACCTACTTTCACAGAAGGTAGGTCAGAGAATTTCTTTTCTTTTCTTTTCTTTATGGCCAGCTCTCACACAGAAAGGTAGGGGAAGGTCAGGGTGACCATCTTGCTTCTGAGGCCCTCCCAATCTCTTTCAGCTCAAAGTTGTTGGGGTAGTATTTTCTGAGCCCCAGCTAATACTAAATACTAAAATAATTTGCAGCTATGTGTATAAAATGCATTTGTGTTACGTTACAGCATTTTGCCATGGCTGCTTGCATAGGAGAGTGCTGAAATGGCCAAAGTAGAGCAATCCCTCCCATTCCCAATGTCACAGAGCAACTCCATTCACTCCTCCCCGCCCTCCCTTCCTTTTTCCTTCTTTCCTTCTCTTTTCATCCTTCAACATCTTGTATACTTGGGGGATCTCATCGTGAACTAAGGGTATGCAGGCCTTGAACTCATGAGCATAGTCTAGCTATATGACAACCATGTGCTGTGTGCTCACTTTTCTTTTCTTTTTTTTCTTTCTTTCTTTCTTTTTTTTTTTTTTTTTGAGACATTGTCTCACTCTGTCACCCAGGCTGGAGTGCAGTAGTGCCATCTGGGCTCACTGTAACCTCTGCCTCCCGGGTTCAAGGGATTCTCCTGCCTCAGCCTCCCTAGTAGCTGAGACTACAGGCATGCATCACCATGCACGGCTAATTTTTGTTATTTTTTGGTAGAGACGGGATTTCACCATGTTGGCTGGGCTGGTCTCAAACTCCTGACCTCAAGTAATCTGCCTGCCTCGGCCTCCCAAAGTGCTGGGATTACAGGCATGAGCCACTGCACCTGGCCCTGTGTACTCATTTTCATTATCACTCCATCAGCTACAGAAACATTGACTTTCTGGTGCAGAGGATGTTTCTTGGATGCTGAAGAAAACACAAGCTCTGGCAGTTCATCACTTTTTTCCTTCTACCTACAAAAACCCTACTTAACCTAAGTATTTTGTAGTCTTTTTTTCCTGCTTTTTTTTTTTAACTTTTTCTTTTTCACGCTGAAAGAAATGAAAAAAAAATTCTAAAATTAATTCCCAAGAAATTGCCTAATTTTATTTTTAATGTGTTTATTTATAATGCCATTAAGTTTTCATAATAATAGGCATTTTAGTAAATTTCACCTAGTTTCATAATCACATAATCATTCTTCTTTTGTTGTTTAGGTTGTTTCTAATTTCTTACTTTATAATGCTGTGAGCAATATTTTGATGTTTACAGCATTCTCTCTAATTTTCTTTCTGTTGGGACAAATTTCCAAGACAACAGTTCTTAAGAAAAAGTGTATGAATATTTTCATAGCTTGAGACCGTCACCTTTTTTCAAAGTATACCTTTGCTAACATTATAGTCATTATAACTAAATTTTGCTCATTTTAATTGTCCTAAAGTCTTGTTTCTAGGAATTCTTTTGCTCTATGAAGATGACCTTTCCAAGATCCTAATGTGCAGGCTTACCACTATAAACTTTTTGACTATTTTTATTGTCTTTTCTAAGGTAAATTGAATATTCAGAAAGTTTGAAATCATTAAACCTTATTTCTGCTTTTTTTTTGGTAAGGAGTTGTGAAAATTAGCTAGAATGTTTGCTAAATTTAATTTTTTTTTTTTTTTTTTTTGAGATGAAGTCTTGCTCTGTCACCCAGGCTGGAGTGCAGTGGAGCAATCTCGGCTTAATGCAACCTCTGTCTCCTGGGTTCAAGCGATTCTCCTGCCTCAGCCTCCCAAGTAGCTGGGATTACAGGTGCCTGCCACCACACCTGGCTAATTTTTGTATTTTTAGTAGAGACAGTGTTTCACCATGTTGGTCAAGCTAGTCTCGAACTCCTGACCTCAGGCAATCTGCCCGCCTTGGCCTCCCAAAGTGCTGGGATTACAGGCATGAGCCACCACTCCTGGCTGCTAAATTTAAAGAGATAAAATAACTATTCATTTAGTTTACTGTATGTCCCTAAGGTCAGGAATAACGTGTTTTTTAGAAATGGTAGATTAACAGCAAATTTTGTTAAACACAAATATTACCTTAAACATTCACTGAGTCTTTCCATTAAATTTTCTCATTTATTCATTTATTTCAGAAAGATGTGGAAGATTATGTGCAAAGGGATATCATTATAAGGGAACACAGAGCTTTCCCTTTAAGAAATACTATTGTGCACTTAAGAAGCCACTGCAAAACTTTTAGAGTGAGGTGTCTTTTAGGAAGCAGAAGAGATATTTCCAAATTTACAAAAGTCTCATGGAACAACGTATAGATGATTATTTATCTACCTCAGAAATGAACAAGAGGGTTTCCAAGTAAATAAGTGTCTTATTTCAAATTTTCTCAAGTCATTAAGACATTAACTTTGGGAGTATATAATTTTCTTCATGGATTTACAGATTATTTAAGGGTCTTTCCTCCACATTTTGAACAATAGATGGAAAGATACTAAGTTATGTGTGAACTGTATCACACATGTATCACAGGAACATGACCATTTTAGTTCCTCAGTTTAACCTACAACTAGTCTCTATTACTTTGACCACTGGATTATTACGTAAGAATTTTAATTTACAGTGTTACTTGATGTCCACTAGGGGGGACCAAACCACGAACAGAATATATGCTTCTATTATTTCTCCAGGTGGTGAAAAACCCAAGCCATTTCAGATGGCCCACTTGAAATCACAAATTAGTCTTCAGTGTTTCCTATTTCTAAAAGGCTAACTCTATCAGGATATACAAGCAAATGTATGAAAATATTGGGGAGTCAATATTAGACATATAATATTTTAGAGTAAAGCTAAAGCTTGCCAAGAGTCTTTGATAACTTGAAAATTTATCAATTCTTAGAAAAACAATAAACTATTTTGAAATTGCTCAACTTTTAATAAATACCACATTTATACATTTTTTAAAAACCTTGACTTATTTGACAAGAAGATGAAGGTGAATTTTGAAATATGACTCTATAATGTAGTATGTGAATGTATTTGGGGTCATGATAAATATACAGAAGATTTTATTGGAACAATGTTGTTTATTGGGACAACTTTATCAGTGAATAACTTAAAATTAATAAAGCCTACAACATTTTTGTAATTCTGTAATTTAAAATGCCATGGTTTGAAAATATTGTTTTCCAAAATAAAGTTCATGTGTATCTTAGGACTCTGTGAATTTTAAGTTCACTATCTCTGTTATTACTTGAAATCTCTGATTTGTAAGATTTTCATGATATGAAGCAGTATATTTTGCATAGTTCACAAAATGTTCTAACAAATGTGAAAGCATTTTCATATTTTGTGAAAATATTACAAGAAAAATAAAAATATTTTATGTCATGTAAGTATAATTTAAGAAACTTAGGTTGCAATAATTTTCAAAATAAAAAGTAAGCACACAGAAAAGTATCACTGTGTAGAACTATAGGTCCTAAACAATTTATTTTTATATGAGCAGCTTGAATTTTACTGCCAAATTCATTTAAAAAAATCAGACAATGTGGAAAATAAAAACATGACTTGTTTAAAACAACAAAAACAATCACGACAAAACCATTAAACCACAAAGATCTATCATGTATCAGATCTATTTCTCTGCAAAATACAGAAAAATATTGCAGAAACTAAATGTCCACTAGATGCCACACTTCCTTTGCTGAGTTAAGCAGTACTTTGACTCCTGACAAGCTTTATGCAGATGCTACTGTATTTGGTAACGGTAACAGGACCCCAACTCAATTGTCTTTTCCCTTACATTCTTTCGCTCCTACTATGATATACCTAATCATCCAAAATTTGCTTAGTAGTGGTACGTTATAAAGTTCTGCTGAGATTCTTAGGCACAAGTACAGAGAATTATATTTGCTGACTTTAAAGATCAAGTCAGAGTTAACATCCCTCATTTTGGAGCACTGTGTGTGTGTGTGTGTTGTGATGACAGCTAAAGACTTTTTTCTTCCGACCATTTGATTTTTAAATTTACATGTTATTTTTTTCATTTTGTATACATATTCTCTATTTCCTCCCTCAAGAAAAACATAGAAAGGCCAATTTTTTAAAAAATATAATAAGGAGAAGTAACTTAACTTTTTGGAAAACTACGTTGAATGAAACTGACTAAATTGTCTTTAGAGACACTGACATTTATTTTGTTTTCAGAGATCATTAAAATGGAAAAAAATAACAGTCTTTCCGTTTTCTTTGACATTTTTCGTAGGTTGAATTCAATAATAAAATGAATAGAAATCAGTAAATAGGAGAAGTACAAGGCATTATCCCACAAGCTCCCACTCCATGTTATGAAACAAGGCTAACAGGACTACTAAGTATTGAGAATATTTACACTGAACTTGAACCACAAGTATTTGATGTAGCTGTGAATTGTCATTTATGACATCTCCATGGAAATTGAACCTGAGATTAGCATTTGATGATATAAAATAAATAATGTATCTTAATCATGTGATAGTGTGAGGCCAGTCTTCTGTCTTCCTCCAGATTACCAGTCACCTAAGCAATTTTTCCCTAGAGCAATTATAACTTTATGGCACTGTGTTTTCCCTACTTCCAAAATCTTTTGAGGATTTCATCACTATATCTAATCACTAAGAAATCTGCAGTGAATTTAAAAAACTGCACCTAATCTGACTTCAGTTGTTGAAGTAGCTAGTGAATTTTACCGCTTAGTGTGTATTTTTTTCTAAATTAATGTGTTTTGAAAATTAATTTTCAGATCAGTCCCTTTCTTTGTAACCCGTATGGAAGACTCTCTCTCTTCTTCACCCCTGTTTCTCTCTGTAACTGACATAAACTAAACTAAACTATTGGCCAATCAATTCTAGAGAGGAGGAAAATACCAAACAGATCTTCAATCTAAAACAACAACGACAACAGCAAACAAAAAGCAAACAAATCAATGCAATTGCTTTGATTGGAAAATCTAGATAATCTGTATATATACAATAGGAGGTTATCAAAATAAATTACCGTTTTTTCATTCCTAGTAATTTTTTCCCACAAACATAGCATCTGTTGTTAAATACTTCATTAAGTGGGAAACTTAAACAATTTGTGGTCATTTTCCCAAGGAAACTTGAAGAAATAAATTAATCCAAACATGGCTCTGTTTAAAGGGCTCAAGTAAACAAAGCGAGATAATTCTGACACCTCCTAAAAGCTGATCTAAGAACAGATTTTGTCTGTAAATTCTAGTGTCTCTATGAGTATCTTTAATAGTATACACTATTAACTATTTAATAGTATACATTAAAAAGCCCAAAGGGCTATTTAGAAATGAAGAAATCTTGGGGACTTGGAGTCCCCAAAAAACACTTTTTCTCCTCATCTGAAAGATGAAAGTATGGTAGAGATACTATAATTTGTCCTGTAACTTATTTCCATTGAATTCTAAGAGTTAAGTGGATTCTGCCTTAATGATACACTTTAACTTTAACCCTCTCATTTTCTAGGAAATGTATCTGTATCAGAAATCATCCAGAAAAAAAATTGCTGGCAGTCAATGTAACTGAGCAGCAAGAATATGGTTTGCATCATCTAGGCATTGAGGAGAATAATAAATGAAGTCCTCAGAATTCTTTTTAAAAGTTAGAGGTAAGATACACGGCTGCACGTTGATGAAAGTTAGAATGTGTTTAGATCTGGATCCTGCTAAAAAATTAGGTCAAGGGTGCAGGGCAGCAGCCTGGTGTATGTCTTGGGGTGGGGGGGATGCTCTCCTTAAGCAATCAGTAATATCTTAAAAATTTAAAACCCTGGCCGGGCGCGGTGGCTCACGCCTGTAATCCCAGCACTTTGGGAGGCCGAGGTGGATGGATCATGAGGTCAGGAGTTTAAGATCAGCTGGGCGTGGTGGTGGGTGCCTGTAATCCCAGCTACTCGGGAGGCTGAGGCAGAGAATTGCTTGAACCCGGGAGGTGGAGGTTGCAGTGAGCCGAGATGGCGCCACTGCACTCCAGCCTGGGCTACAGAGCAAAACTCCGTCTCAAAAAAAAAAAAAAAAAAATTGAAAACCCTAATAGTAGAACACTTCACTGTTCAACTCTTCTAACAATACAGAAGTATTAATAGGATATTTCAGTAAGGTCTCAAGTTGGAGTACAGTAAGTTAGTGTTGATACTTTTTCTATAGGTATGTGTATATTATAGAAGAGTGATTTGAATAATTATATTTTTTATAATAATAATATTCATTACCTCCTTACTATGTATACACATTCCCTCCAGGTCTTTGAGTACAAAAGGAGGACTTAGAAAGTCATAAAGTTCTTTATATCTTTCTCGAAGACAAGAAGGGCCTAGATCTTGGGCACTCAAATTGCCTTTTTGGTTTCCCTGGGTCAGTAAATATCATTATCTGTATTTGCTCTTCTGTGCCTATTGTCCCTCGCCACTACCCTGCCCAACAGTCAGCAGACTCAACCAACTATCTATAAAAATGGTGAGAAAATAGAAGTTAAATCTTTAGCAGTTTACCTCTTAGGTTTAAGATTTGGCCGGTCCTCAAAATTACCCTAAAGGAAATATTACTCTTCCTTCCAAGATCATCACTAAACTGATGGCAAACAAGTTTGAGCTTAGTTGTTTCCCAGAACATATTTGTCCCAAACAATGTCTTGTTGTGAGTTGGCATTCTCACCGGGTTCTCCAAGAAGTGTATAGGTGAACCCAAATTTTGTATGAAATGTTCCACTTTCCTTATGGGATCACCATTAATTCCTTCAAGTCCTTTCTGTCTCTCTCCATCCCAGGTCTAATGCTTAAATTCTTCTGAGACCTTATATGAGGTGAACAGTTCACATATAATAAAAGGATGGAGTCTAATGCCAAATGAATATGGTTATATAAGTGCAAGGTAGAAATAGTCTGAAAAAGATATAAGCTCTGTGGATTTAAAACTGGCCTAATGCATGTAGAGAGATATGAATGTAGCAAGGAAAGGATCATACCTCCAAAATTTTGGCCAAGTCACATCTATAAGGCATCAGACCCAATATATTCCAAAAGAGTACAAAATTGATTAAGAGCTCAAAGTGAAGAGAATTTATTAGTGAATATTAAATGCTAAAATTAATATTTAAAGTCATCGATTATTGTTGATTTTATCACTGATTTTTTTTTGCGAAAGAAATTTTGCAATGTGAAAACAAGGCCCTGCTAGACAATAAAGTCTTATAGTGCTATTAAAATAAAATGGTGGGATATTGGTACAAGGACAGGTATACACATTTATGGAATTGAATAGGTAGCCTATAAAATGGGAAGAATACATGATCATTACTTTGTCTCTTTCTCTTATCACTAGTTATTCCATTTATCTTTAATTTATTATTTTTCTATCCCTCTTTTATCTATCTAATCTATATATTTGTCATGTTTCTTCTTTTTTATTTGAGATGAGCACAGAGAAAACATATATATAAAATCAAGAACTAAAGCCAGCACTATAAAAATATGAATAAGAATTTAAGAATAGGGAGGAATTTTCCTCCACTGTATACGGACAAAAAAGGTCCATTTAGATTGGCTTTGAGCTTCAAGGCAGCCAAAGGGAAAAGAGATAAAGTCCATTATATATTTCTAGTGTAAAAGAGAAAAAAAATCTTATTTTTTCAGGAAAAGCAAGACATCTCCTAGTAAGCTTTACAAGAAATTTCTCACATAGAACTCCATAAAGGGACAACAGAATATAGTGGCACCATCTCAGCTCACTGCAACCCTTGCCTCCCGGGTTCAAGCAATTTCCTGCATCAGCCTCCCGAGTAGCTGGGACTACAGGCACGTGCCACCACACTTGGCTAATTTTTTTGTATTTTTAGTAGAGATGGGGTTTAACCATGTTAGCCAGGATGGTCTCGATCTCCTGACCTCGTGATCTGCCTGCTTCGGCCTCCCAAAGTGCTGAGATTACAGGCATAAGCCACTGCGCCTGTCCCAAGAAACAGTTTTTTAAAAGACTATATCTTAGATTAGGCCAGGCATGGTGGCTCATGCCTGTAATCCCAGCACTTTGGGAGGCCAAGGTAGGTGGATCACCTGAGGTCAGGAGTTCGAGACCAGCCTGACCAACATGGTGAGACCTCATCTCTATTAAAAATACAAAAATTAGCCAGATGTGGTGGCACGTGCCTGTATCCCAGCTACTTGGGAGGCTGAGGCAGGAGAATTGCTTGAACCAGGGAGGTTGCAGTTAGCAGAGACTGTGCCATTGCACTCCAGCCTGGGCGACAAGAGTGAAACTCCATCTCAAGGGGGAAAAAAAAGACTGTATCTTTTTTAGACTGTATCTTAGATCATTTTTCACTAAAAGCTAATGACAAAACAGAAGAATAGAAATTCTTATACAAGAGAATTATAAACTAGTGTTTGCCATATGTGGTAGGCAGGATTCTAAGATGTCCTTCAAGATTCCCATCCTCTGGTGCACACGTTCTGAATAATCCCTTCTGCTTGCATGAGGCTGGGACTTGTGGATATAATGGGACGTCACTCCTTGATTATGTTTCATTACCTGGCAAAAGGGATTTTGCAGATGTAATCAAGGTCCCTAGTCAGTTGATTGAGGGTAGGCCTGACCTAATCAAGTTAAGTGCTTAAATAAGGTGGAGAGATTTTTCTCCTGGCCTTACAGGAGCATGCTGTCATGTTGTGGAGAGGGCCATGTGACACGCAACTGTGGGATGCCTCTGAAAGCTGAGAAGGAGCAGGGCGTGGTGGCTGATGCCTGTAATCCCAGCACTTTGGGAGGCCGAGGCGGGTGGATCACGAGGTCAGGAGTTCAAGACCAGCCTGGCCAAGATGGTGAAACACCATCTCTACTAGAAATACAAAAATTAGCCAGGTGTGGTGGTAGGCACCTGTAATCCCAGCTATTTGGGAGGCTAAGGCAGGAGAATCACTTGAACCTCAGAGACGGAGGTTGCAGTGAGCCAAGATCGTGCCGCTGCACTCCAGCCTGAGTGACAACTGAGAAGGGCCACCACTTGGCAGCCTCCAAGAAAGGAGGACCTCAGGCTTACAACTGCAAGGAACTGAATTCTGCTAGTAACCAGTGAGCTTAGTAAAGGAGCCTGAAACTTAGGTAAGATTGCAGTCCCATTAATGCCTTGACTTCAGCCTTGTAGGACACTGAACAGAGAACCAGCAGTGCCATGCTGGACTTCTAAACTACGGATTCAGGTAAGAAAAATGGGTGTTTTAAGCTGTTAAATTTGTAGTAATACATAACACAGCAAGAGATAACAAATATACTGTGCTTGGAAAACCTACACAGACCAATAAATCTCCTCAAAATATTTGTCCCAACTTTCTACATTGACAAGTAAGGAAATAATCCACAGTAACAACTATTATAGAAGTTGAAAACTGGTGCCCGTGGCCTGAATTCAGCACTAGATGTATACTGTTTAGCTTGCACTGTTAAAAACATGTTTAAAAAATTCAGTTTTCAGTATCTTAAAATTGAGAAATTATTCCTGGCACAAAAAATGTCTACGTCTGGTTTCTCTTCTTTTTTTTTTTTTTTGAGACGGAGTTTCGCTCTTGTTGCCCAGGCTGGAGTGCGTTGGCGGGATCTCGTCTCATTGCAACCTCTGCCTCCCAGGTTCAAGCGATTTTCCTGCCTCAGCCTCCCAAGTAGCTGGGATTACAGGTGCGCACCACCACGCCCAGCTGATTTTGTATTTTTAGTAGAGATGGGGTTTCTCCAAGTTGGTCAGGTGGTCTCCAACTCCCAACCACAAGTGATCCACCTGCTTCGGCCTCCCAAAGTGCTGGGATTACAGGTGTGAGTCACTGCGCCTGGCTCTGGCTTCTCTTTAAAAACAAAAAGGAACAGTGAGCCTTGATTCTATTTGGAAATAATTACCTAGACCAAGAACTTAGTTTCTTCCTTTAAATGAAACTTCTGCTTCCATTTTGCTATATCCCCTCAGGCTGTTTTTAAAAATTGCACCAAGATACTTCTCTCATTTCACCCATTTGCATTATCTGCCTGACTGCTGTATAACAAGTGAGAAAAATTATAAGTACTATATAAAAAATATGTTATATATGCAATATACATAAATTTTTGTATGTGTAGATATATGGTACTTGTATACTTATACATTAGTTATAAATATAATCCAATCCATTTCACTTTATGAAAAACTACCTTTTTAGCATTTTTTTCCTTTCATTTTGCAAAGAACTTTCTAATTGGGGAAGCAATTATTGTTGGGTTGCCCTCAGTTATGAGCCTGGGGTCCCTGAGCCTTTTGGGGCCCCTTTAGATCACACTGTAAACTACATAAAAAATGCTATTCAGTGTAGATATCCTGGTTTTGAATGTATTTTCATACTTAATCTTAACAGAAGTTAAAAGAAGAAAGATGATGTTAAGATCATAATTGCAAACTTAACCCTTGTCCACTTCCCACATAAGGGGTCCAAACAAACTCATCCAATGGAATAACCAGTTTTGGGACAAGTTAAACTAGCTACATTGTTTACTTATTATTTAGAGCAGTATAGCCACAGACAGATTATGTTATGGACTGAATGTTTGTGTTTCTCTTAAACTTGTATGTTGAAATATGTGGAAATCACCCACAATGTGATGGAATTAGGAGGTGGGGCCTTTGGAAGGTGAGTACATCACGAGGATGGAGGCCTTATGAATGGGATTAGTGCTGTCACAAGAAGAAACAGGAGAGCTTCCCCCCTCTCTCTGTTCCCCACTGTGTGAGAATACAACAAAAAGAAGGCCATTTGCAAATCAGAAAAGGGACCCCCGCCAGAATCTGACCATACTGGCACCATGATCTTGGACTTTCCAGCCTCCAGAACGGTGATAAATTAATTTCTGTTGTCTGAACTAGCCAATCTGTGGTATTCTATTATAGCAGCTGGAACTGGCTGAAGTAAACTATAATTGCTGTTATTTGAATTCCGTTACTCACATGGGTTTTTTGACATAGAGCTTGTAGATGAACATAGAAATTCTGATTTTAGGGCAGGAAATGATCTTGTAGTAGATTATAAAAATGGCTACAATTTCTTTCCATCCATTTATATACTCTCCCCCCCCTTTTATTTTATACTCTCCCCCCCCCTACTTTTTTTAGAGTGTAACGTTGCATTTCCTCCCACTAAGAGTGGAATCTATTTCTTCATGACTTGAATCTGGGCCATGTGACTTGCTTTGAACTGTAGGAGAGTAGCAAATGTAATAGAGATAGGGACTTGGCTTTTGGGGGCTTGCCTCTCTTGCTGGTCTTGTGAATCCTATATCTACTACAATATCAATAAGCCTGGCAAGCCTGGCAGGATGATCAGGTTCATGGCTCACTTACCATGTTGCTTCAGTAGACAATCAACTGGTCTCCCTACATGAGAGTAAAACTTTGAATACCAGCTGATCAGAGACACATGTAGGGTGTCCAACTCATCTTCATTTGGCAGGAAAACTGAGATGGTCGATTACCCCAGATACATGATTGAGCCCACCCAAGGCTAGCACAAGAGCCATTGTCTGAGTTCAACCCAGTTTTCTTACCCCCAAATCATGAGTGAATACATACATAAGTTTTTTTTTTTCTAGCATAGTTTGTTATGATGTAGAAGCTAACTGATACAGACTTGTAGAGACCTATCCAGTTCATTTACCTTGTTTTGGAGATCAGAGAGATGTTGAAATTCAGAGATAAAATGATACCCAAGGTCACTTATCAGGTAAGTATGAAGTTTGTCAAGTAAATCAAAGCCAATGTTAACAAATGCCAGGAGAAATCTTCCAAGGGAAAATATTTGGATAGTAGTATATAAAAAATCCACAGGTGATGACTATCCAATTATGTACATATGGAGAAGCTGTATAATACAGCATACAAAAGCAAGGGTTTTGAAGTTAGGAAGATGTGAATTCAAATTCTACTTGATCATTTCAGATCTTAGATAATTTACCCAGCCTGCCTAATCACTAGTTTCCTCAGTGTGAAATGGGCCTATTTATATATACACCAATAGGCTTTATAATGTGTGAATTAATTTAATATAATTTAATACAATTTAATACAATATAAAGTATTATATATAATGCCTGGCACATAGGAAAAACTTCATAAATGGTAGCGATTGTTTTTATAAAAATGCATGTTACAGAGTCATTAAAACACTTGTTTATGCTGTTTTAGTATTTGGTTTTGGACAATCCTAGTAGTGGCCTTGGACTGTCATTTGCATCGCTAGTCCCAGATAGAATATAGACTAAGAAGCAGAGAGCCTAATTTTAGTTATTTTATGCCTCATTTTTTTTTCCAATTTCTGTAACTATCATAAACATTTACAGCTGCAATATTAGGAAGCTATCTGTGGTTAATTCTATTTTTAATAATCTCTTTTCTGTTTATAGCCAATTTGAAAAGAAAAATTTCCTACAAATAGACCCTAGTTAAAATTTACTCAATCATTTTTGTTTGCAAGTATTAGTTATTATATGGGTTTCAGATAATTATAAAGGAATATTACTAAGACATTAAAGAACAAAATATTCACATTAGCAAAACTAGCCTTAAAACTGTTTGAAGAGTAAAAGGTAACTCAGAAGCCAGAAGATACTAAAATATTCTGATTGGACCTATTGCTGCAATGAATGGCAAGCTGGTACAGTTAAGCGGAAATCCATTCAGGTAACCAAAAAAAAAAAAAAAAAAAAAAAGACACCAGCTGTAAACTCCCAGCTGCAGTTGGAAGAAAAAAACATTACAGAAAAAACATCTTAAACTTCTCCGTACTGTAGTTTTTGTGAATGACCATTGTAATGTCTCTGGTATGGGAGCACATTAAGAAGAAAAGGCAAGATCAACACCGTGACCACACCACAAGCCTCAGGAAAGGCATTGTCAGTTTATTGTTGAAGGCACATTGTTTAACATTTCACCGAGGAAAATATCATTTGGTATTTCAGGGGCAAAGTTGCATCTCCAAAGCTTTCTCTGTTTACAGTTGTCTTCTCATAAATTCCATTGTAAACAACCTACTCTCCATAAGGTGATTTCTCTATAGGCATCTAATTTAAATAATAATTACAGTCTCTGAATTTGACATTAGCATATTTTTATACTGTGGAATAAGATTGTATTAAAAAATTCTAGATGTGAGGTCAATCTCAGGAAATAAAATTTTACTGGATGATACTGTGATTATGTTTTAGAGTACAAATTAAGGTCTTCATTATATAATTAATATCTTAAAAAATTGTTACCAAGCAGATTAAAAAAAATAAAGGAGCTCACATACATTTTTATTTAGGCAACCATAAAATAATATTGCTTTAAGCCTATGTATGCAGAGTGAATTATTTGGTATTTTAAAGGTGCTTAAGTGTGTACTTGTACAGAGGAAGCTCTCTATCTATAGGACAGGTTTAAGGCACAATAGCAGCATTACTAGCTTCTCCAAGTATTCCCACCAGGGAGCCTTCATCTATCCCTAGTGAGACCAGAATGAGTTGGTAGTTCAAATTCCATAGCCCATTCAGTCTCCTGAGACTTCAAATGAGGGAGCCAATTATGATGGTGGGTGCTGGGTCGTAGACTTGTGTCCATGATTAATCAGACTGGGTCTGCCTCCAGTTCACATTATAAACTCCAGCGAGTGACACTCAGGTGGTGTAGCTTTCACTCAGGCCCACATGGACTGGGTTTAAACTGATGAACTGACATTCTGCAAGAGAAGGCTCCTTATTAGTCCCTTGAATTTATCAAAAGCCATCAATTACTTCCTTGGTGGACTACCTTATGCAGCAGCTAGCATTCACTTTTATATTACCTTTTAAAGAGCAGGGCCTGATGTTTATAAAAAATAATATGAAATTTGGCATGACACCTAAGAAATTTAACATAGACGGCTAAATAATAGCATGTTTTCTTCTGTAAGAGATAATACTATTTGATTAGATACGATGAATAAGTAAAAACTCTCTGAAGTTTTAATTTTTAACTGTTTCACTTTAAAAAACTTATTTATTTGGTTTATCCAGGTGAAATGTTAATGTTTAGAAATGACTGCACATTTAGAAATACATATCCAAGCAAAGGAAAATTGTAAATTTAGGGACATAAGAGAAATTACATTTCAATAAAGGATAATGTATATGATAAACACTATTATTATAATGCTTCTTCGTGTTGCTGAACAATTTTGTGAATTAGGTTTTACCCAGAGATACTGGGTACCATAGAAGAGCATAATTAAATATCGAGTCAATAACTTTCCTTTTAGAAGGACTAGAATAAGAAGAGGATCTCATTCTAAACTCCTCCAATAGTTTGTATGAAAACTTCTTAACTTTAAATTGATTTTTAATGGGAGAAAGGAAATACTTGAGCTCACAGTCTAAATTATACAAATAACTATTTATAATTTTTAACATATTATTCTTTAAAAGCCTAATCAGTGATCAAAAGGTTGCGATGGTTTGTTTTACTTCTGCTCCTAGAGGATGTATATGCATTTTATGTACTGATGACTCTTTTAATCTTGTAAGAACCAGATCCAGCAATGAATCACATTCTTTGAGTGAATAATTCAGTCCTTGACGCCAACCTCTGAGGGGGAATATTGTGGTCATGCTGTCTGAACAGTGTGGTAGCTATGGCTACCTATATAATTCTTCCCAATGAAAAAAAAGTGACAATGACATTAAATTTAATCAGGTTCCCCTTTTCTGTGGTTCCCACTGGGATGAGCCACTAGTGTCTTGCCTTAAATATTCAAAGGCCTTCCTGAGTAGTTTGCATGTGTTCATATACTGGGACAATGTCCTGCTAATACAGAACAATAGATCTGTCATGTATTTCTCCTGCAAGTAGATGTGAGTCTAAAGTTACTGAGTATAAGGTTTAAGGGCTGTTTTCCCCTCAGTGACTGTCTTTACTTAAGTCTGAACAAATGGGAGTAAGGAAACGTACATAGACACTAAAGTGTAGTGAACTTGATTATTTGAATTGGAAACTCAAGTGGGATAAAGAATTCTGATTGCTAAATAATCATAAAGCTGCCCAGCATTTTCAGTCACAGTTCATCTGATATGGAAGACACAGTACAGATAATCACATGGCTGAAAACATTTGCAAAACATACTCGACAAATATTTAGGGACAGTAACCTATATCCATGCCCTTGTACTTCTGCAGAATATTCAGGTGGATATAACTTTTTAAAAAATCATAGTTGAGAAATTATAAGATATATTTTGTGTCCATTGAACATACCTGGGAGGATGGTAAGCTAACTTTTAGCCTTCAGAGGATGAAAAACACAAAAGGATGGTCATTATAATAATCTGTAAATGTCTGTAACAGATCTGTGTTATTCATTTAAAATCTCTCTGCTCATGACTTTGATATTTGGAGAAACTGAAGAAAGGGAAATACAAATTAATTCCTTTTGTCGCTCTGTTTTTTTTTTTTTTTTTTCCAGAAAGGCAAAACCAAACAAGCAAATAAACAAAAAACTAGCAAACAAAACTCATTATTTCTAGGAAAGAAGTGCATTTTGAAAGTAATTAAGGATTGTACGTGATGTTTTCTACTATCTAAACAGAGTAAGCCTGTCTTGGGTTACATTTAATTCCCTAATATCTGATATTAAAAACTGACACTGAAAATCTTTGAATAGCATTAATTATTTGTGTGATATATTATAAACCTAAGAACAATATTTAAATGGTATATAATAGACATAATAT
Organism: Homo sapiens; assembly: GCF_000001405.40. Taxonomy (NCBI): domain Eukaryota; kingdom Metazoa; phylum Chordata; class Mammalia; order Primates; family Hominidae; genus Homo; species Homo sapiens. The sequence goes on along the minus strand of NC_000004.12, from coordinate 94,114,762 downwards.
AATAAATGGTAAACTTCACAATTCTTTCAGACTTTTGAAGATGCTTGCATAATACTACCTGCTAATTTTCTTCTATCATGCATAAATAAAATAGAAGTGAAACGTCAGACATTCTTTATTTTTCTTCTACTTTATTGCCTCTCTTATTGGGTCTGAACTTCTATTGAAATCTTAGTGTTCTTTGTGTAGTAGATATGCATGTTTAACTCCTACTAACATCAATTTCATTGCATGAAAATTGTTAGTTCATTACACAATTGAAGATTGATCCCTTTATAGGTTTATGTTTTAATTTACTAGGTAGGTGTTTAAAGATGGACAACTTAAAATTGTTTCTAATGTCAAGATCTTAGTCTAAGAAATGAGCTTATCACAAACCTGTAAGAGATTTCTTCTTTAATGGCATATTATTGACCTCCGAGTCATGGAGGAGTTCAAGGTCAACCAGTGAGACACTCACAGTGGTCAACTATTTTTGACTGACTGACACTTGTTTTTTAGCCTTTGAAAATGTGATTTCATGTTTATCAAACTTTGACATAAAGCATTGTGTGCAATATAAAAATAACGACCTTATGCTATGGCTTTCTAATATAAATTTGACAGGCAATATATTGCCATCCTCTTCAGGACCGATCAGTGTCAAGGGGCCAGGAGGTCAGGAATGAACAGTCTTACTGAATAGGTTTCAGTCAGAGAAGACAGGTTCCACAGGAAAAATGCCTTTCCAAATGGTCCTATTTGTAGACCTAAGACATAGCAACTCAACTCTCTCTGCTCTTCCTATTGTCTGGCAACAGGGAGATAGAACAAATCAGTAACCTATGTACATATACCAAAGATGACATGAGATCATTGTTAAGTGTACAGTGGAAAGGAGTTTTGGGAGGGTTTTATGTAAATGCCAGGACTGAACCTAGGAAAAAAGTGTGGTAGGTAAAGTTTATCTTTATGACTTTTTATGCCTCAGGACTTAATTTTTTCCTTCCATATGTTTTCCCTTCTTGAATATTTCTTGCCTTTTAGAAGTAAAATGTTAGCTGATAAATGGTTAGTGTCTGACCTATTCCAAAATATCTTAAAGGGTGTTTACATCTATGATTTCAGCCATCATAACCTGCATAGTACATAACTGGCTGTTCACTCTCTTATTTCTGTCTTTCCTACTTAGTTCTTGTTTGCACTACAGAAACCAAAGTTAGAAGAAACCATATAAGTTTTGAAAATCACATTCTTGCCAATGGATTTGTTTGTATGCAATCCTTAAATCTGAAAGAATTGATAAATAAAATATTGGAATGCTACTTCCAAAATGTATTGTTCTTTGCATTAGGCTTGGTGATTCTTTTGTGCTTATTGTATTTCAAAGAAATCACTTTAAAAATATTTCCTTTTAAAAAAGCAACATTTTGTAAAAGAACCCCTTAAATAATACATTTTCTTTGGAGGCAAAATAACCAAAATCATAAAACTATTTTAATGTCTATAATCTCATTGTGTAGACATTTCCACTAAGGACATTTGGACTATAACCATTATTTTTGTATTATAAGTATTAATGTGATTAATGCCTTATATTGGAATCTCATGTGGTTGCTTTTGCCGCTGAACCTTTTGAAAGTAAGTTGCAGATATCATGATATTTCATTCTTAACTATTTTGGCCTGTGTCTCCTAAAAGCAAAGAAACTCTTCTACAAAATCTTAATACTATTTTTAAAAGAATTCAACAGTAACATAATAATAGTTTATAGATATATAGTCCATATTCAAATTCCTTCAGTTGTCCCCCAAATGCCCTTTATGTAGCTCTTTCTTCCCTCTCTTTCTTCCCTCCCCCTCCCTCTTTTCCATCCTTTCTTTCCTCCTTTCCTTCTCCCTTTTTCCTCTCCCCTCCCTTTCTCCGTCCTTTCCTTCCTTCTTCCTTCCTTCCTTCCCCTCCTTCCCTCCCTCCCTTCCTCCCTTCCTTCTTTCCTTCCTTCCTTCCTATCCAAGGTCCAATCAAGGATAGTGCATTGTATATAGTTAGATTAAAGGACACTACTTGGTCTCCTCTAGTCTAGAATATTCCTGCTCCCACTATTTATTGTTTTATCATGATCTTTGTGTTTATGAAGAGTCCAGTCAATTGTCTTATGTAAAGTTACACAATCTGGATTTTTTCTGATTATCTCATAATTAAATTCAGGTTAATTATTTTTGATAATAATACTACATAAATGATTTGGAGAGATTCACATTGAATTTATTCTTTTTGAGTTATATATAACAGGCACATATTCACCTATTTTGAATTACTTATTCAGAGTTAAAATATACTTTGCCAATTAGAAATATTTTAATTTATATTTCATGATTATTGATAAAGTCAAATATAATTAATTTTTTATTAGGTTTTTTTTTTTTTTTTTTTTTTTTTTGAGACAGAGTCTTGCTCTGTCACCCAGGCTGGAGTGCAGTGGTGTGATCTTGGCTCACTGCAACCTCTGCTTCCCGAGTTCAAGCAATTCTCCTGTCTCAGCCTCTCGAGTAGCTGGGATCACAGGCATGTGCCACCACACCTGGCTAATTTTTGTATTTTTAGTAGAGACAGGGTTTCACCATGTTGGCCAGGCTTGTCTCGAACTCCTGAGCTCAGGTGATCCGCCCACTTCGGCCTCCCAAAGTGCTGGGATTACAGGCATGAGCCACCGTGCCCAGCCTATTAGTATATTTAAATAGATTTGTTGGTTATTTATTTTGCCCATCAAATAAGTTAGTTTAATAATGTACTTACACCAATGACACTGTGGAAACTGAAGGGGTCAGTTTTCCCTCTCTTTGGTGCAGTCAAGGGATAGCCATGTGATTTAAACCTGACCGATTACAGACTTTCTCTCAGGACTTTTGAAAATTGAGTGAAAGATACAAAGGATTGCAGAAGTTTATTCATTACATCTGTGGCAATATGCTGGTCACATTCTCCTTGCTTAAGGGTTCTTGTGGCTTTACTCTTAGGAATCCTTGCCCCTCATTTTAAGAAAACTAATTCTCCAGCTGTCTGTCACTTCTGTGACCCTTATGATATGCTTTCAATATGTTATCTTCTGCTAAAGTTAATCACAGTTGCTTTCTAAGGCATGTAGCAAAGAAACCTCATTGTGATTTCTATAAAATTATAACTTTATGCTAGATCAAGAGCTAGTCTCTGAAAACATTTCTACTGGAGAAAATGGAAAAAGTTAAAGCTTTAAGTTCATATGATGATCTGAGGATGTAATGCTCAACTTTAAGGTTTTAGTTGATTTTAAATGAAGAAAGTTAAAGCAAGAAAGAGATATCAAATTTTAGCCTATCACATTAGCAAGGATGAAAAAGATGAAACTTACATGGAGAGAAGGGCAATCTCTCTTATGAACTGTTGGTGGGATATAAACTGATAATAGTAATTTATACTGCAGTTTGGTAGTATAAATCAACATTTAAAATGAGCATATCCTTTGATTTAGTAATCCTACTTCAAGCACTGACTTCTGAAAAGATAATTACACTTGTTAGAAAAGGTGTACGTACAAGGATGTTCACTGAAGCAGTTTAAAGAGCACAACATTGGCGAACACCCAATATCCATCAATAAAAAATTGTGTAAATAGTGCATACATACAATAGTGCATTTTGTAGTTGTTAAAAGAAATAGCAATATCTATTTGTTGACGGAAAAAACATTAATAATAAATTATTTAACAATAATAAAATATTTTACAAATAATAAATTATTTTACAAATAAAACTTTTGTTTCAGAATACTTTTAGATTTATAAAAAAATTGTGCTAAAATTCTTATGGAATTTCAGGGACTCTGAATAATAAAAAGATTCTTGGAATGAAAAAGAACAAAATTAGATGTCTCACACTTCCTGATTTGAAAACTTATTACAAAGCTATAGTAATCAAAACAGTGTGGTACTGGCAAAAAGACAAGGCATATAGACCAATGGAATAGAATACAGAGCCCAGAAATACACCCTTGCATGTATGGTCAAATGATTTTTAACCCAGATACCAAGACCATTCAAGCAGGAAAGGACAGTCTCCTCAACAAATGATCCCTGGCTCCTTTTATTGACAAATAGTAGTAGAAACCAAATTCTGGGTACTGGATATGTTTGTTGCAACTGGGGTGTCATTGTTTCTAGACCCTCTTCAGTGAACAGAACTGGAAAATGTGTGTATGTATACTAATCTGTGTATACATACATATCTGTAATTATTTATCCTGTTAACTTAAAACAAGTTCATACTGATGTCTTCAAATCTAACCTAGTACCACATAGTTCATTCTTGCCTTTGCCTCTTGCATTTTTATTTCCTTCTTTTCTAATAAGCAGAAGCTTGGCTTCTACTGTCAGCTACTTTTTACTTATTTGTTCAACCAGTATACATGTAGAGCAGTTTCAGAATTATTAACCTGTATTCCCATGAGAAATGACTTTACCATCTAGGTGTAATGTTTATGTACAGTTCTTTTGACTTTAGTTTTACAGTATCCAGTCAATGTAGTCAACAATATATAAAATTGTTTATAAAGTTTCAAGAAAATACTTTTATTTTTAAAGTTATATGAATATTTTATGGCTACATTATTTATTTCTTTATTTATTTGAGACAGAGTCTCACCCAATCATCCAGGCTGGAGTGAAGTGGTGTGATCTCAGCTCACTGCAGCCTCTGCCTCCTGGGCTCAAGTGATTCTCAAGCCTCAGCTTCTCAAGTAGCTGGGACTACAGACGTGCGCCAGCACGCTCAGCTATTTTTTTTTTTTTTTTGTATTTTTAGTAGAGACAGGGTTTCACCATGTTGGCCAGGCTGGTCTCAAAATCCTGACTCTCAGTAATCTGCCCACCTTGGTCTCCCAAACTGCTGGGATTACAGGTGTGAGCCACCGCACCCAGCTCAACTACATTATTATTGTTAAAGTTTGAAACAATGTAGATGATAGCATGAAACACAGTTAAAAATTTGGTTTAGATCCTTCTAATCCACTTACAAATATATATATGTGTGTGTATGTGTGTGTGTGTATGCATGTGTGTGCATGTTTGTGTATAATCCGTATATATGAATAGGTATATATATACACACACATGCACACACAGATATATGCAAGTAGTGTATATATATTTGTCTTATTTATATGCGTTTTTCAGTGGCTTGCCTTTTTTGAAAATAATTCATTGCTATGATTGCTGTGCCTGCATGTTGGTCTACATTTAAGGGTGCTATTTTTTGGTATAATTGTACCATTGTGTATTTACTTGTTTCCTTACACAGTAAGTGACTGTATTCATTTTCTAGGGTTGTTGTAACAAAATACCATACACTGAGTCACTTCAAACAAAGAAATTTGTCACATACTCTGGAGGCTAGAAGCCTGAAATCCTGGTGCCCAATGGATCATGCACTCTCTGACAGGTCTAGGGGAGAATTCTTCCTGTCTCTTCTAGCTTCTGGTGTTTGCCAGTAATCCTTTGTTTTCCTTGGGTTGTAGATGTATCACTCTAGTCACATGACCATCTTCTCAGTGTGTATCTTCACATTGTCATCCCTCTGTGCATGCCTGTGTTTACAAGGTATTCTCTTTTATAAGGATACCAGCCATATTGGATTAAGGACCCATCCTACTCTAGTATGACCTTATCTGAACTACTCTGCAATGAGCCTATTTCCAACCAAGGACCTGTTTTGAAGTACTATGGGTTACAGTTTTGACACATCTTTTTTGGGGGACACACATTAACCTATAGCAGTGACTTTCTCAGTTTTTGCTACTTTAGGCATTAACACAATGAAAATACTTATGTGTACATCTTTGTGTATGGGTATGACAGTCTTCAGATAGAGGCTCCTAAGAGGAATTGTTCGGTCAGATGGTAAGTACCTTAAATGTTTTAGAATATTCTGCTGAATGGTCTTCCCAAAAACATTCATTTACCATCTTCCCAACATTGCATGAGAGAGTTTGTTTCCTTACATTCCTGTGAACACTTACTGTTACAATTGTTAAAAATTGTCCTTCTGTTGGAAAAAGAGTCAGATAGAATATATTTCTTTTTGCCTTAAAGTAGCTTTCATTGTATTCTAAATCTTTTAAAGCAAATTTTGATAATTTCTTTCTGGAAGCTCTCTCTACAAAGGGCAAAAACACCTAGCCTTTGAGTCTCAGTAGGAGACAGACTCACCCCTTCCTTTTTGTCTCCTCATCTGTTCCCTGGGCTCTGCTCCAATATCAAACTCTACGTTTCTATGAACAACAACAACAACAACAACAACCAAAAATGAAATAACCTCCTAGACACATCAATTGATTTAAGTAGGTTTTGGGGATGGAGGTTGAAAAGTACTATTTTAACTAATAATCCCCGGTGTCAGTTAATCTGGTAAAAGGTCCATTGTGCACCTCCTACTTTTCTATTTAAATTTTTGTGGACTCCTGCAGAAGTGTCCATTATAGTCAAAGAATTCATCTTCAGAGTTTGGGGCTGCATGGCGGGGTAACAGGGCATGTGTGTGCCGTGATACTTTGTCAAAGGGCAGTGACTCCCACATATGATTTACCATCTCTTCTGAGGCTTCACGGTTCCTGTACCTGCACTTAGTACCTAGAACTCCAGACACATGTGATCGGAGCATGAATAAAGGGAACTTTTAACATCTGAGTCACCCACATTAATTCCTTCTCCTCTTCTGACAGGTGAATATTTCCTCCTGTTTTAGAGGTAGGATTCCCTTTCTTCCCTCTGGGTGGCTCAGCCTTTACAAAGGTGGTAATAGAGTGTTTCAGAGATGTGAATGGGTCAGGATATCCCTGGTTGCTGGGTTGTCTGGTCCTTACTCTCTGAGTCAGTTTCAAAGAAGGTCAGGAATAAAGCCTTGGATTCTGTCCCAGAATTCTTTCTCTTCATCTAGCTGTGATACCTATGCACTGGACTAAGGAATGGAGAGGGAGCTTTTTTCAACAGGTAACTTCTGGCTTTAATTATTTCAGCCAGTCGCCTTGATTTGTTTTGTTCACTTTTGGCCTGTGTTTTATATACATGTAGTGACCATTTTCAGTCATCAGTGCCCTTCCTGCAACTCTAGGAATTGCCTTCCAGACTGCCTTAATGCCCGCTGCCTTAGTGGTTATAATTTATTTCTTAGAAGGTTATCCAAATATTCACATTCCTCATTTACTCCAATGGGACATTTGTGTTTTCCTTATAAATTTTAAAAAATGGAGGCCAAATCCAGTGGGATCATTTATCATTGTGTTATAGATTTGTATCTGAAATATTAATGCTGATTCCATTGAATCGTCCCTCAATTTTTCCAATCAAGTTTGTTCTTGACTATCTGCTTATGAAGAAAATAAAACTATGGGCACAGTAACTCAGGGAATGCACTGCATTGAATGCTGATATGCAATAATGAAGAAAAAAATAACCTCTTCATAATCAAAAGAATTATGTCAAGTATTGTTGAGGGTTGGATTTTGTCCTCTAAAAAGACATGTTGATGTCCTAACATGTTTTCTCTGTGACCGTGACTTTGTTTGGAAATAGCATCTTTGAGATGTAAGTGAGTTAAGATGAGGCCATCCTCAATTAGGGTGGGCCCTAATCCAGTATAACTGGGGTGCTTATTACAAAAAGAAAACAGGCTGGGCACCGTGGCTCACTCCTGTAATCCCAGTACTTTGGGAGGTTGAGACAGGTGAATCACTTGAGGTCAGGAGTTTGAGACCAGCCTGGCCAGCACAGTGAAACCCCATCTCTACTAAGAATACAAAATGTAGCTGGGTGTGGTAGTAGGCACCTGTAATCCCAGCTACTTGGTGGGAGGCTGAGGCAGGAGAATTGCTTGAACCGGGAGGTGGAGGTTGCAGTGAGCTGAGATCATGCCACTGAACTCCAGCCTGGGTGACAGAGCAAGACCCTGTTTCAAAAAACAAACAAAACAAAACAAAACAAAACAAAAACCAAAAGAGATTACAGACACACTGGAAGGAGAAGAACACCATGTGAGGACAGAGACACAGAGGGAAGATGGCCATGTGAAGATGGAGGCTGAGAGTGGGGCTCTGCTGCTGCAAGGAAAGAAATACCTGAAGCTGTCAGAAGATGAGAGTCAGGGAAGACTCCTTCCCTAGAGCATTTAGAAGAAGCTTGGTTCTGTCAACCTGCTGATTTTGATCAAGCCTCCAGAACAGTGGGAGAATGAACTTCTTTGGTTTTAAACCACTCAGTCTGTGGTACTTTGTTACAGCAACCATAGGAAATTACTAGAGGTATTCTTAAAAAGTAGATTTTAATAACCAAAGGAATCTATAATATATATTATACTTCCATGAACAAATTTCTTGAATCCTTTAGATATTTTCAATATCTTCTAAACAAATACTGCAAATCCTGTATGTTTTTTCATATGTATATCTGAATCTATGTTCAGATGTGTATTTTCCCTCATATACTGTGACTCTTCTTGCTTTCAAAATATATACTTCATCAGTTCTCAAACATGTATTATCAATCTTCTGAAGTTTGTTTACATGTGAGTACAAGAGCCTTTCTCTCCTGTGGGTTACAAAACAAACAATTCTTGGAAATCTATATGTGGGGGATCTAGGGTTGTACTCAGTATAAAAGAAAACCCGTGAAACTGCTGTGTTAAAACTAAGTGCCATAGTCACCAACTTCTACTTGGTAGTCAATCCCTCTCATTTCTTCCTGCATGGAAGACGTAAGTAAACAACAAAAAGGATGTGCCAAAATTTCTGGAATTTTGGTTTTATTTCAATAATAGTTACTTGATGATTTTGTTATTGACTTAAAAAAATAAAGCAGGAACACGTTTTTCATTTGCTATGACATTGCTGGCTATCCTAGCCAGCTGCTTCCTTCAAAAAAAATTCTGATAAAAACAGTAAGTCTTATATTAGGTTTACTGTTCTTTCTCCAGATGTTATAATTCTCAGAAAAATGAGACAGTAGTCTTGTGGCAAAGCTAGTTGTTTCCATTGCCCTTGCATAGGAAAAGTATCACATAAATCATTAGCAGTTTATGCCAGCCTGGAAACAGAATCCTAGTTTCCCTTGAGAGGAGATTTTAGAAACTACAGGAACCTTTGCATGTTGTGATATGGCAAGGGGCAAGTCCTTTAAATGACAAACTGCTATGGAGTACTAGTCATCTAGGTACAGAGGGTATGTGATATTACCAAACAAATACCTATATGTATCTCACATATTTATCCTTAAGCTTATTAAATCTCAATATTTTCAGTTTGAAAACCTTAATATATATCTTATTATTAAGAAAACTGAAAGAGATCTCTTTTGATCTTATCTACCATTATCATAAGCAGCAGGCATTCATTGCCACCTTTCATGTGTAGGAGCTAAAGAGTAGCAATATATTCTTCCTCTCACTAGCAGGCCATACAACTTAATTGAGATGATGCAAATACCTTTCCATATAATTAAAATAGACATTTTTTTCCTTTTCCTAATTACAGCACTATATGGGGGTTTGGGTACTCCTTCCTAGAGATTCATTTCTTTCCTTCTGGATGGGTAATAGATGGTATCTTTAAAATCCCATTAGTAAGAATAGACATAAAATTGTATCATTTTGAAATAAACTCTATAGTTTATTTTACAAGACTGTATAGTGTTTCTCCCACTTTTTTTTAAGTTTTATTTTATTATTATTATACTTTAAGTTTTAGGGTACATGTGCACAATGTGCAGGTTAGTTACATATGTATACATGTGCCATGCTGGTGTGCTGCACCCATTAACTCGTCATTTAGCATTAGGTATATCTCCTAATGCTATCCCTCCCCCCTGCCCCCACCCCACAATAGACCCCAGAGTGTGATGTTCCCCTTTCTGTGTCCATGTGTTTTCATTGTTCAATTCCCACCTATGAGTGAGAATATGCGGTGTTCGGTTTTTTGTTCTTGCGATAGTTTACTGAGAATGATGATTTCCAATTTCATCCATGTCCCTACAAAGGACATGAACTCATCATTTTTTATGGCTGCATAGTATTCCATGGTGTATATGTGCCATATTTTCTTAATCCAGTCTATCATTGTTGGACATTTGGGTTGGTTCCAAGTCTTTGCTATTGTGAATAGTGCTGCAGTAAACATACGTGTGCATGTGTCTTTATAGCAGCATGATTTATAGTCCTTTGGGTATATACCCAGTAATGGGATGGCTGGGTCAAATGGTATTTCTAGTTCTAGATCCCTGAGGAATCGCCACACTGACTTCCACAATGGTTGAACTAGTTGACAGTCCCACCAACAGTGTAAAACTGTTCCTATTTCTCCACATCCTCTCCAGCACCTGTGTTTCCTGACTTTTTAATGATTGCCATTCTAACTGGTGTGAGATGGTATCTCATTGTGGTTTTGATTTGCATTTCTCTGATGGCCAGTGATGGTGAGCATTTTTTCATGTGTTTTTTGGCTGCATAAATGTCTTCTTTTGAGAAGTGTCTGTTCATGTCCTTCACTCACTTTTTGATGGGGTTGTTTTTTTCTTGTAAATTTGTTTGAGTTCATTGTAGATTCTGGATATTAGCCGTTTGTCAGATGAGTAGGTTGCGAAAATTTTCTCCCATTTTGTAGGTTGCCTGTTCACACTGATAGTAGTTACTTTTGCTGTGCAGAAGCTCTTTAGTTTAATGAGATTCCATTTGTCAATTTTGGCGTTTGTTGCCATTGCTTTTGGTGTTTTAGACATGAAGTCCTTGCCCATGCCTATGTCCTGAATGGTAATGCCTAGGTTTTCTTCTAGGGTTTTTATGGTTTTAGGTCTAAAGTTTAAGTCTTTAATCACACTTGAATTAATTTTTGTATAAGGTGTAAGGAAGGGATCCAGTTTCAGCTTTCTACATATAGCTAGCCAGTTTTCCCAGCACCATTTATTGAATAGGGAATCATTTCCCCATTGCTTGTTTTTCTCAGGTCTGTCAAAGATCAGATAGTTGTAGATATGTGGTGTTATTTCTGAGGGCTCTGTTCTGTTCCATTGATCTATATCTCTGTTTTGGTACCAGTACCATGCTGTTTTGGTTACTGTAGCCTTGTAGTATAGTTTGAAGTCAGGTAGCATGATGCCTCCAGCTTTGCTCTTTTGGCTTAGGATTGACTTGGCGATGCGGGCTCTTTTTTGGTTCCATATGAACTTTAAAGTAGTTTTTTCCAATTCTGTGAAGAAAGTCATTGGTAGCTTGATGGGGATGGCATTGAATCTATAAATTACCTTGGGCAGTATGGCCATTTTCACGATATTGATTCTTCCTACCATGAGCATGGAATGTTCTTCCATTTGTTTGTAACCTCTTTTATTTCATTGAGCAGTGGTTTGTAGTTCTCCTTGAAGAGGTCCTTCACATCCTTTGTAAGTTGGATTCCTAGGTATTTTATTCTCTTTGAAGCAATTGTGAATGGGAGTTCACTCATGATTTGGCTCTCTGTCTGTTATTGGTGTATAAGAATGCTTGTGATTTTTGTACATTGATTTTGTATCCTGAGATTTTGCTAAAGTTGCTTATCAGCTTAAGGAGATTTTGGGCTGAGACAATGGGGTTTTCTAGATATACAATCATGTCATCTGCAAACAGGGACAATTTGATTTCCTCTTTTCCTAATTGAATACCCTTTATTTCCTTCTCCTGCCTAATTGCCCTGGCCAGAACTTCCAACACTATGTTGAATAGGAGTGGTGAGAGAGGGCATCCCTGTCTTGTGCCAGTTTTCAAAGGGAATGCTTCCAGTTTTTGCCCTTTCAGGATGATATTGGCTGTGGGTTTGTCACAGATAGCTCTTATTATTTTGAGATAAATCCCATCAATACCTAATTTATTGAGAGTTTTTAGCATGAAGGTTGTTGAATTTTGTCAAAGGCCTTTTCTGCATCTATTGAGGTAATCATGTGGTTTTTGTCTTTGGTTCTGTTTATATGCTGGATTACATTTATTGATTTGTGTATATTGAACCAGCCTTGCATCCCAGGGATGAAGCCCACTTGATCATGGTGGATAAGCTTTTTGATGTGCTGCTGGATTTGGTTTGCCAGTATTTTATTGGGGATTTTTGCATCAATGTTCATCAAGGATATTGGTCTAAAATTCTCTTTTTTGGTTGTGTCTCTGCCAGGCTTTGGTATCAGGATGATGCTGGCCTCGTAAAATGAGTTAGGGAGGATTCCCTCTTTTCCTATTGATTGGAATAGTTTCAGAAGGAATGGTACCAGTTCCTCCTTCTACCTCTGGTAGAATTCGGCTGTGAATCCATCTGGTCCTGGACTCTTTTTGGTTGGTAAGCTATATTACCACAGTTTCAGAGTCTGTTATTGGTCTATTCAGAGATTCAACTTCTTCCTGATTTAGTCTTGGGAGGGTGTATGTGTCAAGGAATTTATCCATTTCTTCTAGATTTTCTAGTTTATTTGTGTAGAGGTGTTTGTAGTATTCTCTGATGGTAGTTTGTATTTCTGTGGGATCGGTGGTGATATCCCCTTTATCACTTTTTTATTGTGTCTGTTTGATTCTTCTCTCTTTTCTTCTTTATTAGTCTTGCTAGCGATGTATCAATTTTGTTGATCCTTTCAAAAAAGGAGCTCCTGGATTCATTAATTTTTTGAAGGGTTTTTTGTGTCTTTATTTCCTTCAGTTCTGCTCTGATGTTAGTTATTTCTTGCCTTCTGCTAGCTTTTGAATGTGTTTGCTCTTGCTTTTCTAGTTCTTTCAATTGTGATGTTAGGGTGTCAATTTTGGATCTTTCCTGCTTTCTCTTGTGGGCATTTAGTGCTATAAATTTCCCTCTACACACTGCTTTGAATGTGTCCCAGAGATTCTGGTATGTTGTGTCTTCGTTCTCATTGGTTTCCAAGAACATCTTTATATCTGCCTTCATTTCTTTATGTACCCAGTAGTCATTCAGGAGCAGGTTGTTCAGTTTCCATGTAGTTGAGCGGTTTTGAGTGAGTTTCTTAATCCTGAGTTCTAGTTTGATTGCACTGTGGTCTGAGAGACAGTTTGTTATAATTTCTGTTCTTTTACATTTGCTGAGGAGAGCTTTACTTCCAACTATGTGGTCAGTTTTGGAATAGGTGTGGTGTGGTGCTGAAAAAAATGTATATTCTGTTGATTTGGGGTGGAGAGTTCTGTAGATGTCTATTAGGTCCTCTTGGTGCAGAGCTGAGTTCAATTCCTGGGTATCCTTGTTGACTTTCTGTCTCGTTGATCTGTCTAATGTTGACAGTGGGGTGTTAAAGTCTCCCATTATTATTGTGTGGGAGTCTAAGTCTCTTTGCAGGTCACTCAGGACTTGCTTTATGAATCTGGGTGCTCCTGTATTGGGTGCATATATATTTAGGATAGGTAGCTCTTCTTGTTGAATTGATCCCTTTACCATTATGTAATGGCCTTCTTTGTCTCTTTTGATCTTTGTTGGTTTAAAGTCTGTTTTATCAGAGAGTAGGATTGCAACCCCTGCCTTTTTTTGTTTTCCATTTGCTTGGTGGATCTTCCTCCATCCTTTTATTTTGAGCCTATGTGTGTCTCTGCACGAGATGGGTTTCCTGGATACAGCACACTGATGGGTCTTGATTCTTTATCCAATTTGCCAGTCTGTGTCTTTTAATTGGAGGATTTAATCCATTTACATTTAAAGTTAATATTGTTATGTGTGAATTTGATCCTGTCATTATGATGTTAGCTGGTTATTTTGCTCGTTAGTTGATGCAGTTTCTTCCTAGCCTTGATGGTCTTTAAAATTTGGCATGATTTTGCAGTGGCTGGTACTGGTTGTTCCTTTCCATGTTTAGTGCTTCCTTCAGGAGCTCTTTTAGGGCAGGCCTGGTGGTGACAAAATCTCTCAGCATTTGCTTGTCCGTAAAGGATTTTGTTTCTCCTTCACTTGTGAAGCTTAGTTTGGCTGGATATGAAATTCTGGGTTGAAAATTCTTTTCTTTAAGAATGTTGAATATTGGCCCCCACTCTATTCTGGCTTGTGGAGTTTTTGCCAAGAGATCAGCTGTTAGTCTGATGGGCTTCCCTTTGTGGGTAACCCGACCTTTCTCTCTGGCTGCCCTTAACATTTTTTCTTCATTTCAACTTTGGTGAATCTGACAATTATGTGTCTTGGAGTTGCTCTTCTCGAGGAGTATCTTTGTGGCGTTCTCTGTATTTCCTGAATCTGAATGTTGGCCTGCCTTGCTAGATTGGGGAAGTTGTCTTGGATAGTATCCTGCAGAGTGTTTTCCAACTTGGTTCCATTCTCCCCGTCACTTTCAGGTACACCAATCAGATGCAGATTTGGTCTTTTCACATAGTCCCATATTTCTTGGAGGCTTTGTTCATTTCTTTTTATTCTTTTTTCTCTAAACTTCCCTTCTCATTTCATTTCATTCATTTCATCTTCCATCACTGATACCCTTTCTTCCAGTTGATTGCATCAGCTCCTGAGGCTTCTGCATTCTTCACGTAGTTCTCGAGCCTTGGCTTTTAGTTCCAACAGCTCCTTTAAGCACTTCTCTGTATTGGTTTATTCTAGTTATACATTCGTCTAAATTTTTTTCAAAGTTTTTAACTTCTTTGCCTTTGGTTTGAATTTCCTCCTGTAGCTCGGAGTAGTTTGATTGTCTGAAGCCTTCTTCTCTCAACTCTTTCAAGTCATTCTGTGTCCAGCTTTGTTCCGTTGCTGGTGAGGAACTGCGTTCCTTTGGAGGAGGAGAGGCGCTCTGCTTTTTAGAGTTTCCAGTTTTTCTGCTCTGTTTTTTTCCCCATCTTTGTGGTTTTATCTACTTTTGGTCTTTGATGATGGTGATGTACAGATGGGTTTTTGGTGTGGATGTCCTTTCTGCTTGTTAGTTTTCCTTCTAACAGACAGGACCCTGAGCTGCAGGTCTGTTGGAGTTTGCTAGAGGTCCACTCCAGACCCTGTTTGCCTGGGTATCAGCAGCGGTGTCTGCAGAACTGCGGATTTTCATGAACCGCGAATGCTGCTGTCTGATGGTTCCTCTGGAAGTTTTGTCTCAGAGGAGTACCCGGCCGTGTGAGGTGTCAGTCTGCCCCTACTGGGGGGTGCCTCCCAGTTAGGCTGCTCGGGGGTCAGGGGTCAGGGACCCACTTGAGGAGGCAGTCTGCCCATTCTCAGATCTCCAGCTGCGTGCTGGGAGAACCACTGCTCTCTTCAAAGCTGTCAGACAGTGACATTGAAATCTGCAGAGGTTACTGCTGTCTTTTTGTTTGTGTGTGCCCTGCCCCCAGAGGTGGAGCCTACAGAGGCAGGCAGGCCTCCTTGAGCTGTGGTGGGCTCCACCCAGTTCCAGCTTCCCAGCTGCTTTGTTTACCTAAGCAAGCCTGGGCAATGGCGGGTGCCCCTCCCCCAGCCTCGCTGCCGTCTTGCAGTTTGATCTCAGACTGCTGTGTTAGCAATCAGCGAGACTCTGTGGGTGTAGGACCCTCCGAGCCAGGTGCGGGATTTAATCTCCTGGTGTGCCATTTCTTAAGCCCATTGGAAAAGTGCAGTATTAGGGTGGGAGTGACACGATTTTCCAGGTGCCGTCTGTCACCCCTTTCTTTGACTAGGAAAGGGAACTCCCTGACCCCTTGTGCTTCCCGAGTGAGGCAATGCCTCGCCCTGCTTCAGCTCACGCACGGTGCGCTGCACCCACTGTCCTGCGCCCACTGTCTGGCACTCCCTAGTGAGATGAACCCGGTACCTCAGATGGAAATGCAGAAATCACCCGTCTTCGGCGTCACTCACGCTGGGAGCTGTAGACCAGAGCTGTTCCTATTCGGCCATCTTGGCTGCCCCTCCTTCTCGACCCAGATCTTAAGAAATGTGATTGAGGGGCCCAGGAGACAAAGAGGAAGGCCCAACCCCACACCAGCCCCCACCCAAAAGAAATTTTTTCCCACTTTTGATCAAGATGTATGAATAGGGACTGGATAGTTCCTTCTGCTGGAAGTAATTAAAATAAAAATCCCAAATAGACAAATACATGAAATGATGATTTGCAAGACATTGGACATAAGGCCACAAAAGACAATGATACCGGAGAGAACAAGAGGTAAGCCCTAGGACTGCTTCAGCTTATTGCTGTGAGAGAATTGCCAGGCTGTGGCACAGGATGGGAGAACTCAGGGGGTACCTAGCATGTTCCTAGAGTTAAGGAAATGGAATTAAGAGGTCAGAGAGATTGAAGTGGCTAGAGTTTGCAGGAGAGAAATCTGACTAGATTAAAGCTGCACAGTGACCTCCAGATATCTGCAGAGGGTCATTCTAAAATCCTCAGCTGAGTGTTGATCAGCACAGACATGTGAGGAAACTGCCTGAAGCTGGGGAAATAATCTATCAAAAGGATTAGAGGTAACAACACCCAGGGCTCCCATAGGGGTAGGAATAGGGCCTGCTACCTCAGTGAGACTAGGAAAGCTCCTAATTTATAGGGTCTTGGATAAAGTAGTTTAGTTCTAGATTACACACAGCTCTAGCCCCACCTAACAAATTTAAAAGCAAGACCCAAAAGTTTAAATAAAACTAAAAATGTTTATAAGAACACAAAAAACATCGAGTGACCAATAAGATAAATTTCACAATGCTGAGGCTGAATAAAAAATTACCAGGCACACCAAGAAGCAAGAAAATATCATGCATAATGAGGAGAAAGATCAATCAAAACTCATCCAGAATGACACAGCTATTAGCATTAGCAGATAAGGACAGTTATTAGAACTATATGCCATAAATTAAAAAAGCTAAAGGAAAGATAGAATGTGTTGCAACATAAAAGAGATGAAAATTTCTCCAAATTTTGAGAGAAGAAAACTATAATTTCTAAGATAAAAAATACACTGGAAGCAGCAAGCGGTGGGGAGTGGGGGCCGAGTTGGGAATAATGGAAGACTGAGTATTGTAGAAGAGCGTCAAACAGAAGTGAAGAGATGTTAATCACTATAAAATCATATAAAAGTATAAAACTCAGTGGTAGAGGTAAACTCATAATCAAGTTCAGAATAATCCATTACTTTAATGATAGTATATAATCTTTCAAATCTCTAGAGTGAAGGTTAAGTGTTAAAGTGGTCATTGATAACCATAGCTACAACAAATTGTTAAGGAATATACAATATGAGAAGATATAAACTAAGATAACAAAATTACGAATTGTGGGGAAGAGAGTAAAAGTCTAGAATATTTGTATGTGACCAAAGTTCAATTGTTATCAGCTTAAAGTAGTCTTTTATTACTATAAGATTTTTTTGTAAACCCAGAGTACCCACAAGGAAAAAATTTACAGTGGATACACAAATGAGAAAGAGAAAGGAATCAAAGTTTATCACTATAGAAACAAACCAAACCACAAAGGTAAACAACAAGAGAGGAAGAAAGAAACAAAAGATCTACAAAATAACCAGAAAAAATTTAACAGAATTGTAGGAATATGTCTGTATTTATTAATAATAGCCTTAAATGTAAAAGAATTAAATTCTGCAGTTAAAATAGAGTGGCTGAATGGATTAAAAAAAAAAACAAACCCACTCAAGTATATGTTGCCTACAAGAGACTTACTTCACCTGTAAGGACACACATAGACTGAAAGTAAAGGGATGGAAAATAATATTCCATGAAAATGGAAGCCAAAAGGAGCAGGAGTAGCTATATTTATGTTACATAAAATAAACTTTAAGTCAAAAACTGTAAAAAGAGACAAAGCTATCATTACATAATGATAAAGTGGTCAATTTAGCAAGAGAATATAACAACTATAAAAACATTTGCCAGGTGCAGTGACTCACGCCTGTAATCCTAGCACTTTGGGAGGCTAAGGAGGGTGGATTGCTTGAGCCCAGGGGTTCAAGACCAGCCTGGGAAGCATGACAAACCCTGTTTCTACTAGAAATACAAAAATTAGCTGAGCATGATGGTGCACGCCTGTGGTCCCAGGCCCCAGGAGGCTGAGGTGGGAGGATTGCTTATGCCCAGGAGGTCAACACTGCAATGAGCCATGATTGCACCACTCCACTCCAGCCTGGGCAATGGAGTGAGACCTTGTATCAAAAAAATAAAAAAATTTTAAAAAAGTAAAGAAAGAAAAAAAGAAACAAATAATCTGCACCCAACACCAGAGCACTAAAATATGTAAAGTAAATATCATTAGATCTAAAGAGAGACATAGACTTCAATCTAATAATAGTAGGGAAATTCACCACCTCACTTTCAGCAATGGAGAGATCAGCCTGACAGAAAATCAACAAACAAACAGTGGATTTAAATTGCACCGTAGCAGGAAAATCACTGGAACCCAGGAGGCGGAGGCTACAGTGAGCTAAGATCATGCCACTGCACTCCAGTCTGGGTGACAGAGCAAGACTCTCTCAAAAAAAAAAAAATTGCATTCTAGATAAAATGGTTCTAACAGTCATTTACAGAACATTCCATCCAACAGCTGCACAATACACATTCCACTCACCAACACATTAAACTTTCTCTAAGATAGATAACATGTTAGGCACAAAACAAGTCTCAACAAATTTACAAAAACAGAATTTATGTCAAGCATCTTTTCTGGCCATAATGGACTGAAATTAGAAATCAATAGCAGAAATAACTTTGGAAACTCTACTCCTATTAAACATAGTATTGGAAATCCTGGTCAGGGCAATCAGGCAAGAGAAAGAAATAAAGGGCATCCAAAAAGGAAGAAAGGATGTCAAATTATCCCTGTTTGCAGACGACATGATCTTATATCTAGAAAACCCCATAGTTTAAGCCCAAAAGATCTTTAAGTTGATAAACAACTTGAGAAAATCTCAGGATACAAAATCAATGGCAAAAATCACTAACGTTCCTATACACTAGCAACAATCAAGCTGAAAGCCAAATCAGGGACACTATCCCATTTGCAACTGCCATAAAAAGAATAAAATACCTAGGAAGACAGCTAACCAAGGAGGTGAAAGATCTCTACAAAAAGAACTACAAAACATTGCTCAAAGAAATCAGAGATGACATAAACAAATGGAAAAACTTTCCATGCTCGTGGAGAGGAAGAATCAATATCATTAAGATGGTCATACTGCCCTAAGCAATTTATAGATTCGATGCTATTCCTATTAAACTACCAATGACATTCTTCACAGAACTAAAAAAAAAACTACTTTAAAATTATATGAAAGAACAACCAAAAAATCCTGAATAGCCAAGGCAATCCTAAGCAAAAAGAACAAAGCTGGAGACATCACACTACCCAATTTTAAACTATACTACAGCTACAGTAACCAAAACACCATGGTACTAGTACAAAAACAGACATACAGACTGATGGAACAGAATAGAGGGCCCAGAAATAAGGCCACACACCTACAACTATCTGATCTTCCACAAAGCTGACAAAAACAAGCAATAGGGAAAGGACTCTCTATTCAATAAATGGTGCTGGGATAACTGGCTAGCCATACGCAGAAGATTGAAACAGTACCTCTTTCTTACACCATCTACAAAAATTAACTTAAAATGGATTAAAGACTTAAATGTAAAACTAAAAACCTGGAAGACAATGTAGGCAATACCATTCTGGACATAGGAATAGGCCAAGATTTCATGATGAAAATGCCAAAAGCAATCACGATAAAAGCAAAAGTTGACAAATGGGATTTAATGAAACTGAAGAGTTTCTGCACAGCAAAAGAAACCATCGACAGAGTAAACAGACAACCTATAAAATAGGAGAAAACATTTGCAAACTATGCATCTGACAAAGGTCTAATATCAAGCATCTATAAGGAACTTAAACAAATTTATAGGAAAAATCCCACAACCCCATTAAAAAGTGGGAAAAGTACATGAACAGACACTTTTCAAAAGAAGACATACATGTGGCCAACAATCATATGAAAAAAGCTCAACCTCACTGATCAGTGGAGAAATGCAAACGAAAACTGCAATGAGATACCATCTCACACCAGTCAGAATGGCTATTATTAAAAAGTCAAAAAGTAACTTGCTGGTGAGGTTGTGGAGAAAAAGAAATGCTTACATGCTGTTGGTGGGAGTGTAAATTAGTTCAACCATTGTGGAAGACAGTGTGGCAATTCCTCAAAGACTAAAAACAGAACTACTATTCAATCCAGCAGTCCTATTACTGGGTATATACTCAAAGGAATAGAAATCAATCTATCATAAAGATACACACACGTGTATGTTTATTGCAGCACTATTCACAATGGCAAAGACATGGAATCAACCTAAATGCCCATCAATAGTAAACTGGATAAAGAAAATGTGGTACATATACACCATGGAATACTGTGTTGCCATAAAAAAGGACAAGATCATGTCCTTTGCAGAAACATGGATGTAGTTGTAGGTCATTATCTTTAGCAAACTAACACAGGAACAGAAAACCAAACACTGCATGTTCTCACTTATAAGTGGGAGCTAAAACGTGAAAACATATGTACACATAGAGGAAAATGAAACACGGATTTATTGGAGGGTAAAGGATGGGAGGAGGGAGAGGATCAGGAAAAATAACTAATGGGTACTAGGCTTAATACTTGAGTGATGAAATAATCTGTACAACAAACCCCCATGATATAAGTTTACCTATACAACAAACCTGCACATGTACCCCTAAACTTAAAATAAAAGTTAAACAAATGTTTATAATCTTGAAGATATACCATATTCTTTAAATTAAAGATTTCTAAGATTAAAAGCAATGTCTTGAGACAAATGAAAATGAAAAAAACAACATACCAAAATTTATGGGACACAGCAAAAGTCATCTTAAGAGGAGAGTTTATAACAATAAATGCCTCCTTCAAAAAATTAGAAAGATCTCAGTCTAATATTGCAACTTAAGAAATTAGAGAAATGAGGATAAACAAAACCCAAAAGTAGTAGAAGGAAATGAAAATGATCAGAGCAGAAAAAACTAAAATAGAGATTAAAGAAACAGTATAAAAGGCCAAAGAAACAGAGTTGAGTTTTTGAAATGATAAATAAACCTGACAAACCCTTAGCTAGATTAAGAAAAAAGAAAGAGGATCCAAATAAATAAAATCAGAGATGAAAAAGGCAACATTACAACTAACACCACAAAAATCAAAAGGATCATTATGATAGACTATTTTGAACAACTGTACACCAACAAATTGGAAAACCTAGAAGAAATGGATAAGTTCCTGGACACATACCGCCTACCAAAATTGAATCATGAAGTACTGGGAAATTTAAATAGACCAATAATGACTAATAAGATTGAATCAGTGATAAAAAGTCTCCCACCGAAGAAAAGCCCAGGACCTGATGGCTTCATTGCTGAATTCTAACAAACATTTAATGAAAAGCTAATATGAATCTTTTGCAAACTATTCTAAAAATTGGAGAGGAGGGAATTTTTCCAAATTCATTCTTCAAGGCCAACATTACCCTTATACCAAAACCAGACAGGGACACAACAAAAAATCTGCAGGTCAATATCTGTGGTGAATATGGATATGAAATACTAGAAAAACAAATTCAACAGCATATTAAAAAGATCATTCACCATGATCAAATGGGATTCATCCCAAGGAGGCAAGGATGGTTCAACATATGCAAATTAATATATATGATACATCACATTAACAGAATTTAGGGCAAAAACCACATTACCATTTGAATAGATACAGAAAAAGCATTTAATAAAATTCAACATCTCTCCATGATAAATGCTCAACAAATTAGGCATAGAAGGAAGGCATCTCCACACAATAAAGGTCATATGACAAACCCATGGCTAAAATGATACTGAATGGGAAAAATTGGAAAGCTTTTCCTCCAAGATCTAAGTCTTAGCCAAAGCAATAAGGCAAGAGAAAGAAATAGAGCATCCAAATTGGAAAGGAAAAAGTCAAATTGTCCCTGTTTGCAGATGGTGTGATGTCTATGTGTAAAACCCTATTAATTCCACCAAAAAACCTGTTAGTACTAATAAACAAATTTAGTCAAGTTTTAGGATACAAAATGAACATACAAGCAATCGTGGCATTTCTTTAAAAAATTTAAAAAGAAATTTCAATAGCTTTATGGGTACAAGTGTTTTTTGGTTACAGGGATGAATTATATATAATGGTGAATTCTGGGATTTTAGTGTATCTGTCACCTGAGTAGTGTACATTATACATTAGTAGATCATTTTTCATTCCTCAACACCCTCCTACCCTCCCACCTTCTGAGTCTCCAATGTCCAATATACCTGTCTTAGCTTATTTCTCACTTGTAAGTGAGAACATGTGGTATTTGGTTTTCCATTCCTGAGTTATTTTACTTAGAATAATGAGCTCCAGTTCCATCTAAGTTTCTGCAAAATACATTATTTTATTCTTTTTTATGGCTGAGTAGTGTGTGTATGTAAATGTGGTGTATATATATCTATATATCTCTCTATATATACTAATACAAATACATAAAATGTAATGTGTGTATATATATGTGTGTGTATATTTTATATATATATATAACTTTTTAAAAATCCACTCAATAGTTGATGGGCACTAAGGTTGATTCCTCATCTTTGCAACTGGGACTTGTGTTGCAGTGAACACATGTGAGTAGGTGTCTTTTTGATATAATTATTTCTTTTTCTTTGGGTAGATACCCAACAGTGGGATTGCTGGATCAAGTGGTAGATCCACTTTTAGTTCTTTGAGAAATCTTCATACTGTTTTCCATAGAGGTTGTACTAATTTATGTTCCCACCAAAAGTGTATAAATGTACCATTTTCACCACATCTGTGCCAACGTCTATTGGTTTTTGACTTTTTACTAATAGCCAATCTGGCTGGGGTGAGGTGGTATCTCATTGTGGTTTTAATGTGCATTTCCCTGATGATCAGTGATGTTGAGCATTTTTTTATATGTTTATTGGCAATCTGTAAAGTTTCTTTTGAGAAATGTCTACTCATGTCACCTGCCTACTTTTTAATGGGATTATTTGTTTTTTTCTTGCTGATTTATTTGAGTTCCTTTTAGATTCTGGATATTAGTCCTTTGTTGATGCATAGTTTGCAAACAGTTTCTCCTATTCTGTAGGTTGTCTGTTCACTCTGATGATAATTTCTTTTGCTATGCAGAAGCTTTTTAATTTAATTATACCCCATTTATTTATTTTGGTTGTTGTTGCCTTTGCTTTTGGGGTTTGCATCATAAATTCTTTGCTTAGGCCAATGTCCAGAAGAGTTTTTCCTGTTTTCTTCTAGAATTGTTATGGTTTCAGGTCTTAGATTTAAGTCTTTAGTCCATCTTAATTTCTGTATGTGGTAGAGATAGGGATCCAGTTTCATTATTCTACATACGGCTGTCCAATTTTCCCAGCACCATTTATTGAATAGGGGAAATAGGGTGTCCTTTCCCCAGTTAATGTTTTTGTATGCTTTGTCAAAGATCAGTTGGTTGTAAGTACTTGGCTTTATTTCTGGGTTCTTTTTCTGTTCCATTGGTCTATGTATGTTTTTATGCCAGTACCATGCTGTTTTGGTTACTATAGCCTTGTAGAATAATTTGAAGTCAGGTAATGTGATGCCTCCAGATTTATTCTTTTACTTTAGGATTGCTTTGGCCATTCGAGCTCTTTTTTGATTCCATATGAAGTTTAGTTTTTTTTTTCTAATTCTGTAAAGAATGTCATTGGTATTTTCATAGGCATTTCATTGAATCTGTAGATTGCTTTAAGTAGCATGGTCATTTTTGCAATATTGATTCTTCTAGTTAATGAACCTGAGACATATTTCCATTTGTTTGTGTCATCTATGATTTCTTTTAACAGTGTGTTATAGTTCTCCTTGTAGAGATATTTTACCTCCTTGGTTAAGTGTATTTGTAAGTATTTTATTTTTTTTGGCGCTATTGTAAAAGGGATTGAGTTATTGATTTGATTCACAGATCAGTCATTGTTGTATAGCAGTGCTACTTATTTGTGTACATTGATTTTGTAACCTGAGACTGTACTGAATTCATTCACCAAATCTAGGAGTCCTTAGGGTTTTCTAGGCATAAGGTCATATCATCAACAGACAGAGATAGTTTGACTTCCTTTTTTCCAATATGGATGCTGATATGGTTTGGCTATGACCCACCCAAATCTCATCTTGAATTCCCATGTGTTGTGGGAGGCACCTGGTGAGAGGTAATTGAATCATGGGGGCAGGTCTTTCCTGTGCTTTTCTCGTGATGGTAAGTCTCATGAGATCTGATGGTTATTATAAGGGGGTGTTTTCCTGCACAAGCTCTCTTCTCTTGTCTGCTGCCATGTGAGATGGGCCTTTCACCTTCTGCCATGATTGTGAGACCTCCCCAGCCAAGTGAAACTGTGAGTCTAGTAATCCTCTTTCTTTTGTAAATTGCCCAGTCTTGGGTATGTCTTTATCAGCAGCATGAAAATGGACTAATACAGTAAATTGATACCAGTAGAGTGGGGTGTTCCTGAAAAGATAGCTGAAAATGTGGAAGTGACTTTGGAAATGGGTAACAGGCAGATGATGGAACAGTTTGGAGGGCTCAGAGGAAGAGAGAAAAATGTGGGAAAGTTTGGAACTCAATAGATACTTGTTGAATGACTTTGATCAAAAGCCCGATAGTGATATGGACAATAAGGTCCAGGCTGAAGTGGTCTCAGATGGAGATGAGGAACTTGTTGGGAACCGGAGCAAAGGTGACTCATGGTATGTTTTAGCAAAGAGACTGGTGGCATTTTGCCCCTGCCCTAGAGATTTGTGGAACTTAGAACTGAGAGAGATGATTTAGGGTAACTGGTGGAAGAAATTTCTGAGCAGCAAAACATTCAGCTGACTCTCTTTTTGGACTCAGCCCACCTGCACCCAGGTGAAATAAACAGCTTTATCGCCCACACAAAGCCTGTTTGGTGGTCTCTTCACACCGACGCTCATAAAATTTGGTGCCCTGACTCGGATCGGGGGACCTCCCTTGGGAGATCAATCTCCTGTCCTCTTGTCCTTTGCTCCATCAGAAAGATCCACCTATGACCTCAAGTCCTCAGACCGACCAGCCCAAGAAACATCTCACCAATTTCAAATCCAGTAAGTGGCCTCTTTTTACTCTCTTCTCCAACCTCCCTCACTATCCCTCAACCTCTTTCTCCTTTCAGTCTTGGTGCCACACTTCAATCTCTCCCTTCTCTTAATTTCAATTCCTTTCAATTCCTTTGGTAGAGACAAAGGAGACACGTTTTATCCGTGGACCCAAAACTCCGGCGCTGGTCACGGACTGGGAAGGCAGCCTTCCCTTGGTGTTTAATCATTGCAGGGAGGCCTGCCTTGGTCCTTCACCCTTAGCAGCAAGTCCTGCTTTCCTGGGGCAGGGGCAAGTACCCCTCAACCCCTTCTCCTTCACCCTTAGTGGCAAGTCCTGCTTTCCTAGGGGGCAAGAACCCCCCAATTGCTTATTTCTGCACCCCAACCTCTTATCTCTGAGCCCCAATCCCTTATTTCCACACCCTGACCTCTTATCTCTGTGCCCCAATCCCTTATTTCCGTGCCCCAACCCCTTCTCTGCTTTTCTGGAGGGCAAGAACCCCCCACCCCTTCTCCGTGTCTCTACTCTTTTTTCTGGGCTTGCCTCCTTCACTATGGGTAAGCTTCCACCTTCCATTCATCCTTCTTCTCCCTTAGCCTGTGTTCTCAAAAACTTAAAACCTCTTCAACTCACACCTGACCTAAAACCTAAATGCCTTATTTTCTTCTGCAATGCTGCTTGACCCCAATACAAACTCGACAGTAGTTCCAAATAGCCGGAAAACGGCACTTTCAATTTTTCCATCCTACAAGATCTAAATAACTCTTGTCGTAAAATGGGCAAATGGTCTGAGGTGCCTGACGTCCAGGCATTCTTTTACACATCAGTCCCTTCCTAGTCTCTGTGCCCAGTGCAACTCATCCCAAATCTTCCTTCTTTCCCTCCTGCCTGTCCCCTCAGTGCCAACCCCAAGCGTCGCTGAGTCTTTCTAATCTTCCTTTTCTACAGACCCATGTGACCTCTTCCCTCCTCGCCAGCCGAAGCTAGGTCCCAATTCTTCCTCAGCCTCCACTCCTCCACCCTGTAATCTTTTCATCGCCTCCCCTCCTCACACCTGGTCTGGCTTACAGTTTCGTTCTGTGACTAGCCCCCCCCACCTGCCCAGCAATTTACCCTTAAAAAGGTGGCTAGAGCTAAAGGCATAGTCAAGGTTAATGCTCCTTTTTCTTTATCCCAAATCAGATAGCGTTTAGGCTCTTTTTCATCAAATATAAAAACCCAGCCCAGTTCATGGCTCGTTCGGCAGCAACCCTGAGACGCTTTACAGCCCTAGACCCTAAAAGGTCAAAAGGCCATTTTATTGTCAATGTACATTTTATTACCCAATCTGCTCCCGACATTAAATAAAACTCCAAAAATTAAATTCTGGCCCTCAAACCCCACAACAGGATTTAATTAACCTCGCCTTCAAGGTGTACAATAATAGAAAAAAGTTGCAATTCCTGGCCTCCACTGTGAGACAAACCCCAGCCACATCTCCAGCACACAAGAACTTCCAAACGCCTGAACCGCAGCGGCCAGGCGTTCCTCCAGAACCTCCTCCCACAGGAGCTTGCTACAAGTACCAGAAATCTGACCACCAGGCCAAGGAATGCCTGCAGCCCAGGATTCCTCCTAAGCCGTGTCCCATCTGTGCGGGACCCCACTGGAAATTGGACTGTTCAACTCACCTGGCAGCCACTCCCAGAGCCCCTGGAACTCTGGCCCAAGGCTCTCTGACTGACTCCTTCTCGGCTTAGCGGCTGAAGACTGACGCTGCCCGATCACCTCGGAAGCCCCATAGACCATCACGGATGCCGAGCTTTGGGTAACTCTCACAGTGGAAGGTAAGTCAGTCCCCTTCTTAATCAATATAGAGGCTACCCACTCCACATTACCTTCTTTTCAAGGGCCTGTTTCCCTTGCCTCCATAACTGTTGTGGGTATTGACGGCCAGGCTTCTAAACCTCTTAAAACTCCCCAACTCTGGTGCCAACTTAGACAATACTCTTTTAAGCACTCCTTTTTAGTTATCCCCACCTGCCCAGTTCCCTTATTAGGCTGAGACACTTTAACTAAATTATCTGCTTCCCTGACTATTCCTGGACTACAGCTACATCTCATTGCCGCCCTTCTTCCCAATCCAAAGCCTCCTTTGCATCCTCCTCTTGTATCCCCCCCACCTTAACCCACAAGTATAAGATACCTCTACTCCCTCCTTGGCGACTGATCATGCACCCCTTCCCATCTCATTAAAACCTAATCACCCTTACCCCACTCAACGCCAATATCCCATCCTGCAGCACGCTTTAAAAAGATTAAAGCCTGTTATCACTTGCCTGCTATAGCATGGCCTTTTAAAGCCTATAAATTCTCCTTACAAATTCCCCCATTTTACCTGTCCTAAAACCAGACAAGCCTTACAAGTTAGTTCAGGATCTGTGCCTTATCAACCAAATTGTTTTGCCTATCCACCCCGTGGTGCCAAACCCATATACTCTCCTATCCTCACTACCTGCGTCTACAACCCATTATCCTGTTCTATATCTCAAACATGCTTTCTTTACTATTCCTTTGTACCCTTAATCCCAGCCTCTCTTCGCTTTCACTTGGACTGACCCTGACACCCATCAAGCTCAGCAAATTACCTAGGCTGTACTGCCGCAAGGCTTCACAGACAGCCCCCATTACTTCAATCAAGCCCAAATTTCTTCCTCATCTGTTACCTATCTCGGCATAATTCTCATAAAAACACATGTGCTCTCCCTGCCAATCGTGTTCGACTGATCTCTCAAACCCAAGCACCTTCTACAAAACAACAACTCCTTTCCTTCCTAGGCATGGTTAGCGTGGTCAGAATTCTTATACAAGAGCCAGGACCACACCCTGTAGCCTTTCTGTCCAAACAACTTGACCTTACTGTTTTAGCCTAGCCCTCATGTTTGCGTGCAGCAGCTGCTGCTGCTTTAATACTTTTAGAGGCCCTCAAAATCACAAACTATGCTCAACTCACTCTCTACAGTTCTCACAACTTCCAAAATCTATTTTCTTCCTCATACCTGACACATATACTTTCTGCTTCCTGGCTCCTTCAGCTATACTCACTCTTTGTTGAGTCTCCCACAATTACCATTGTTCCTGGCCCAGACTTAAATCCGGCCTCCCACATTATTCCTGATACCACACCTGACCCCCATGACTGTATCTCTCTGATCCACCTGACATTCACCGCATTTCCCCAAATTTCCTTCTTTCCTGTTCCTCACCCTGATCACGCTTGATTTATTGATGGCGGTTCCACCAGGCCTAATGGCCACACACCAGCAAAGGCAGGCTATGCTATAGTACAAGCCACTAGCCCGCCTCTTAGAACCTCTCATTTCCTTTCCATCCTGGAAATCTATCCTCAAGGAAATAACTTCTCAGTGTTCCATCTGCTATTCTACTACTCCTCAGGGATTATTCAGGCCCCCTCCCTTCCCTACACATCAAGCTCAAGGATTTGCCCCACCCAGGACTGGCAAATTAGCTTTACTCAACATGCCCTGAGTCACATAACTAAAATACCTCTTAGTCTAGGTAGATACTTTCACTGGATAGGTAGAGGCCTTTCCTACAGGGTCTGAGAAGGCCACCACAGTCATTTCTCCCGTTCTGTCAGACATAATTCCTCAGTTTAGCCTTCCCACCTCAATACAGTCTGATAACAGATGAGCCTTTATTAGTCAAATCAGCCAAGCAGTTTTTCAGGCTCTTAGTATTCAGTGAAACCTTTATATCCCTTACGGTCCCCTGTCTTCAAGAAAAGTAGAATGGACTAAAGGTCTTTTAAAAACACACCTCACCAAGCTCAGCCACCAACTTAAATAGGACTGGACAATACTTTTACCACTTTCCCTTCTCAGAATTCAGGCCTGTCTTCGGAATGCTACAGGGTACAGCCCATTTAAGCTCCTGTATAGATGCTCCTTTTTATTAGGCCCGAGTCTCATTCCAGAACCAGACCAACTTAGACTGTGCCCCCAAAAAACTTGTCATCCCTACTATCTTCTGTCTAGTCATACTCCTATTCACCGTTCTCAACTACTCTTACATGCCCTGCTCTTGTTTACACTGCTGGTTTACACTGTTTTTCCAAGCCATCACAGCTGATATCTCCTGGTGCTATCCCCAAACTGCCACTCTTAACTCTTGAAGTAAATAAATAATCTTTGCTGGCAGGACTATGCTGAACCTCCTTAGGCACTCTCTAATCAGATATCCTGAGTTATCTCAATTCTTAGACCTTTTATACCTGTTTTTCTCCTTCTGTTATTCCATTTAGTTTCTCAATTCATCCAAAACCGTATCCAGGCCATCACCAATCATTCTATACGACAAATGTTTCTTCTAACATCCCCACAATATCACCCCTTACCACAAGACCTCCCTTCAGCTTAATCTCTCCCACTCTAGGTTCCCACACCGCCCCAATCCTGCTTGAAGCAGCCCTGAGAAACATCGCCCATTCTCTCTCCATACCACTCCCCAAAAATTTTCGCCGCCCCAACACTTCAACACTATTTTGTTTTATTTTTCTTATTAATGTAAGAAGGCAGGAATGTCAGGCCTCTGAGCCCAAGCCAAGCCATCGCATCCCCTGTGACTTGCATGTATATGCCCAGATGGCCTGAAGTAACTGAAGAATCACAAAAGAAGTGAATATGCCCTGCCTCATCTTAACTGATGACCTTCCACCACAAAAGAAGTGT
Organism: Homo sapiens; assembly: GCF_000001405.40. Classification (NCBI taxonomy): domain Eukaryota; kingdom Metazoa; phylum Chordata; class Mammalia; order Primates; family Hominidae; genus Homo; species Homo sapiens. The sequence continues at coordinate 94,084,913 of NC_000004.12, read as the reverse complement.
AAATGGCCAGTTCTTGCCTTAAGTGATGACATTACCTTGTGAAAGTCCTTTTCCTAGCTCATCCTGGCTCAAAAAGCACCCCCACTGAGCACCTTGAGACCCCTACTCCTGCCCGCCAGAGAACAAACCCCCTTTGACTGTAATTTTCCTTTACCTACGCAAATCCTATAAAACGGCCCCACCCTTATCTCCCTTTGCTGACTCTCTTTTCGGACTCAGCCCACCCACCTGCAACCAGGTGAAACAAACAACTATATTGCTCACACACACACAAAAAAAAAACAAAACAAAACAAAAACAAACAAACAAACAAAAACATTCAAGAGGTGACTTGGGTGCTGTTAAAGGCATTCAGTTTTATAAGGGAAGCAGAGAATACAAGTTCAAAAAATTTGCAGCCTGACACTGTGATAGAAAAGAAAAAATCATTTTCTAAGGAGAAATTGAAGCTGGCTGCAGAAATTTGCATAAGTAACAAGGAGCTGAATGTTCATCCCCCAGACAATGGGGAAAATGTCTCCAGGGCATGTCAGAGGTTTTCACGGCAGCCCCTCCCATCACAGACCCAGAGGCCTAGGAGAAAATGGTTTTGTGGGCAGGGCCCAGAGTCCCCATGTTGTGTGTAGTCTAGGGACTTGTGCCCTGCATCCCAGCCACTCCAGTCGTGACTAAAAGGGGCCAAGGTACAGCTCAGTCTGTTGCTTCAGAGGGTGCAATCCTCAAGCCTTTGCAGCTTTCATGTGGTGTTGAGCCGGCAGGTGCACAGAAGTCAAGAATTGGGGTTTGGGAACCTCTGCCTAGATTTCAGAAGTTGTATGAAAACACCTGGATGCCTAGAAAAAAGTTTGCTGCAGGGGTGGGGTCCTCATGGAGAACCTCTGCTAGGGCAGCGTGGAAGGAAAATGTGGGCTCAGAGCCCCTACACAGAGTCCTTACTGGGGCATCACCTAGTGGAGCTGTGAGAAGAGGGCCACCATCCTTCAGACTCCAGAATGGTAGATCCACTGACAGTTTGCACCATTCATCTGGAAAAACCACAGGCACTCAATGCCAGGCTGTGAAAGCAGCCAGGATGGGGGCTATACCCTGCAAAGCCACAGGGGCAGAGCTGCCCAAGACCATGGGAAGCTACCACTTGCATCAGCGTGACCTGGATGACAGACATGGACTCAAAGGAGATCATTTTGGAGTTTTAAGATTTGACTGCCCCACTGGGTTTTGGACTTGCAAGGGGCCTGTAGCCCCTTTGTTTTGGCCAATGTCTCCCATTTGGAATAGCTGTATTTATTCAATGCCTGTACCCCCATTGTATCTAGGAAGTAACTAACTTGCTTGGAATTTACGGGCTTATGGGGAGAAGGGACTTGCTTTGTCTCAGATGAGCCTTTGGACTGTGGACTTTTGAGCTAATGCTGGAATGAGTTGAGACTTTGGGGGATGGTTGGGAAGGCATGATTGGTTTTGAAATGTGAGGACATGTGATTTGGGAGGGTCCAGGAGTGGAATTATATAGTTTGGCTATGTCCCCACCCAAATCTCATTTTGAATTCCCGTGTGTTGTGGGAGGGATCTGGTGGGAGGTAATTGAATCATGGGGGCGGGTCTTTCCTATGCTGTTCTTGTGATAGTGAGTAAGTCTCACGAGATCTGATGGTTATTTTAAGGGGGAGTTTTCCTGCACAAGCTCTCTGTCTCTCATTTTTTTTTTTTTTTTTTTTGAGATGGAGTCTTGCTCTGTCACCCAGGCTGGAGTGCAGTGGCATGGTCTCAGCTTACCGTAAACTCCGCCTCCTGGGTTCAGGCGATTCTTTTGCCTCAGCCTCCCAAGTAACTGGGACTACAAGTATGTGCCACCATACCTGTCTAATTTTTGTATTTTCAGTAGAGATGGGGTTTCACTATGTTGGCCAGGCTGGAGAAGCTCTCTTTTCTTGTCTGCTGCCATGTGAGACATGCCTTTCACCTTCTGCCATGATGAAGGTCTTCCAGCCACATGGAACTGAGTCCAATAAACCTCTTTATTTTGTAAATTGCTCAGTCTGGGGTATGTCTTTATCAGCAGCATGAAAATGGATGAATACAGATGCCCTTTATTTCTTTCTCTTGCCTGATTTTTCTGGCTAGGACTTCCAGTACTATAATGAATAGAAGTGGTATTCTATTGTTCCAGTTTTTAGGGGAAATGCTTTCAACTTTTTCTTATTCAGTATGGCATTGGCTGTGGGTTTGTCATATATAGCTTCTATAATTTTGAGGTAGTTCCTTCTATGCCTAGTTTGTATAGGATTTTAATTGTGAAGGGATGCTGGATTTTATCAAATGCTTTTCTGCATCTATTGAGATTATGGATATTGTTTGGCTGTTTCCCCACCCAAATTTCATCTTTAATTGTGGCTCCCATAAACTCCACATTTTGTGGGAGCAACCTGGTGAGATGTAATTGAATCATGGGGTGGGCTTTTTCCCATGCTGTTCTCACGATAGTGAATAAGTCTCATGAGATCTGATGGTTTTATAAAAGGGCAGTTCCCCTGCAAAAGCTCTCTTGCCTGCCACCATGTAAGGCGTGACTTTGCTCCTTCTTTGCTTTCCTCTATGATTGTGAGGCCTCCTCAGCCATGTGGAACTGTGAGTCCATTAAACCTCTTTTCTTTATAAATTACCCAGACTTGGGTATGTCCTTATAGTAGCATAAGAATGAACTAATACAGTACACTGGTACTGGTAAAGGATAGAGTGGAGTGCTGCTGTAAAGATACCCAAAAATGTGGAAATGACTTTGGAACTGGGTAACAGGCAGAGGTTTGAACAGCTTGGAGGGCTCAGAAACGATAGAAAAATGTGGGAAAGATTAGAACTTCCTAAAGACTTGTTGAACAGCTTTGACCAAAGTGCTGGTAATGATATGAACAATAAGGTCCAGGCTGAGGTGGTTTCAGATGGAGATGAGGAACTTTTTGGGAACTGGAGTAAATGTCACTCTTGCTATGCAAAGAGACTGGCAGCATTTTGCCCTGGCCCTAGACATTTGTGGAACTTTGACTTCAGAGAGATGATTTAGGGTATCTGGGGAAGAAATTTCTAAGTGGTGAAGTGTTCAAGAGGAAGCAGTACATATAAGATTGGAAAATATTCAGCCTGACAATGCAATAGAAATGAAAACCCCATTTTCTGGGGAGAAATTCAAGCTGGCTGCAGAAATTTACACAAGTAATGAGGAGCCAAATGTTAATCACCAAGACAATGGGAAAAATGTCTCCAGGCCATGTCAGGGACCTTCACAGAAGCCCCTCCCATTACAGGTCTGGAGGCCTAGGAGGGAAAAATTCCTGGGCAGGTCCCAACGATCCCCTGCTCTATACAGCCTCAGGACATGGTGCCTGGCATCCCAGCTGCTTCAGCTCCAGCTGTGGCTAAAAGGGGCCAATGTACAGCTCAGGCTATTGCTTCAGAGGGTGCAAGCCCCAAGCCTTGACAGCTTACATCTGATATTGGACCTGTGGGTGCACAGAAGTCAAAAATTAAAGTTTGGGAACCTCCACCTACATTTCAGATAATGTATGGAAATGCCTGGATGTCCAGGCAGAAGTTTGCTGCAGGGGTGGAGCCTTCAAGGAGAACCTCTACTAGGGCAGCGTGGAAGGGAAATGTGGGGTTGGAGCCCTCACACAGAGTCCCAAATGGGACTCCACCTAGTGGAGCTGTGAGAAGAGGGCCATCGTCCTCCAGACCCCAGAATGGTAGATACACTGACAGCTTGCACTGTGCTCCTGGAAAATCTGAAGACAGTCAATGCCAGTCTGTGAAAGCAGCCAGGAGGAGGGGTGTGCCCTGCAAAGCCACAGAGGCAGAGCTGCTCAAAACCATGGGAACCCACCTCTTGTATCAGCGTGACCATGATGTGAGACATGGAGTCAAAGGAGATTATTTTGAAGCTTTAAAATTTGACTACCCCACTGGATTTTGGACTTGCATGGGGCCTGTAGCCCCTTTGTTTTGGTAATTTCCCTCATTTGGAATGGCTGTATTTACACAATGCCTCTACCCTCATTGTATCTAGGAAGTAACTAACTTGTTTTTGATTTTATAGGCTCATAGGTGGAAGGGACTTGCCGTGTCTCAGATGAGACATTGGACTGTGGACTTTTGAGTTAATACTGGAGTGAGTTAAGACTTTGGGGGGCTGTTGGGAAGGCATGATTTTTTTGAAATGTGAGGATTTGAGATTTGGGAGGGGCTAGGGGGTGGAATCATATGGTTTGGTTATGTCCCCACCCAGATAATGGACAAAAATAATGGAAAAATATTCTTTGTTCACGTATTAGTAGAATTAATATTGTTAAAATGTCCATACTACCCAAAATAACTACAGATTCAATGTAATCTCTATCAAAATACCAATGACATTCTTCACAGAAATAGAGAAAAGAATCCTAAATTTTGTATGAAACCATAAAAATAGCTAAAGCAATTTTCAGCAAATGGAATAAAATTGGAAGCATCACACTACCTGACTTCAAAATATATTACAAAACAATAGCAACCAAAACAGCATGGTATTGACATAAAAATAGACATGTAGACCAATGGAACAGAATAGAGAACACAAGAATAAATCCATGCGCTTATAGCCAACTTATTAGTAAGAAAGGCACCTAGAAAACACATGAGGAAAAGGATTACCTCCTTAATAAATGGTGCTGGGGAAACAAGATATTCACATATAGAAAGATGAAACTAGATCCCTATCTCTCACCATATTTAAAAATCAACTCAAAATGAATTAAAGACTTAAATGTAAAAGCCCAAACTATAAAACTATTAGAAGAAAACATAGGGGAAGTACTTAATGGCATTTGTTTGAGCAAGGATTTTTTGTATACGAACTCTAAAGCACAGAAAACAAAAGCAAAAATAACCAAATGGAACTACATCAAACTAAAATGCTTCTGCATAAGAAAGGAAACAATCAACAGAATGATGAGAAAACCAATAGTATGGGAGAAAATATTTGCAAACTGTGCATTTGCCAAGGGGTTAATATCTAGAATATGTAAGAACAAACAACTTTATTCTGTTATACAGAATAAGAAAAAAATCAATAGCAAAAAAAAAAATCAATAATCTGATTTAAAAATGGGCAAAAGACCTGAATAAACATTTCTCCAAAAAGGACATACAAATGGCTAACAGATATATTAGACAATGCCCAACATTACTAATCATCAGGGCAATACAATTCAAAACCACAGTGATGTATCACCCCTTACCCCAATTGGAACGGTTATTATCAAAAAGACAAAAAATAACAAATGCTGGTGTGGACGTGGAGAAATCTGAACTTTTATGTACTGTTGGTGGGAACGTAAGCTAGTATAGCCATTATGGAAAACTATGATGGTTCCTCAAAAAATTAAAAATAGAATGGCCATATGATCTAGCAATTCATTACTGGGTATTTATTCAAAGAAAATGAAATCCATCTGTCAAAGAGATACCTGCTTTCTCATGTTTACAGTGGCACTATTTGCAATAACCAAGGTATGGAACCAACCTAAGTGTCCATCAACAGGTGAATGGATAAAAATAATTGATATATATCCACAGTAGAATATTATTCAGCCATAAAATAATAAAATCTTGTTATTTGTGGCAATGTGGTTAAACCTATAGGACATTTTGATAAGAATAAACCAGACACAGAAAGACAAATATTGCATGATCTCACTCATTTGTGGAATCTACAAAAGCTGATTTCATAGAAGTGCAGAGTAGAATAGTGTTTACCAGAGGCTAAGGAGGATAGTGGGGAGGAGAGGATGGGAAGAAATTGGTTAATGGGTCCAAATTACAGTTAGATAGGACAAATAAGTTCTGGTGTGGTAGTGCATAGTAGGGTGACTATAATTAACAATATAGTATACTTCAAAATAACTACAAGAAAAAATTTTGAATGTTCTCACTATGAAGAAATGATAAATATTTGAGATGATGAATATGCTAAACACTTTTGTTTGATCATTATACAATGCATACATGTTTTAAAACATCATACTGTATCCCATAAGTTTGTACAATTACTATATGTCAATTAAAGATAAAATACAACTTTAAAAAATTGTCCAAAATGAAACATACAGAAAATACTTTAAGAAAAAGCAAAAGAGCATCAATGAGTCAGTGAGTTATGGAACAACTTCAAGACACCTAATATACACGTAATTTAAGTCCCTGAAGAAAAGGGGTGTATAAAAATATTTGAAAAAATAATGGATGAAATTTTAAATATTTGGTAAAAACCATAAAACTGTAGATCTAAGAAGCTCAATAATCCTAATCACAAGAAACATGAAAAGGCTGGGCGCGGTGGCTCACGCCTGTAATCCCAGCACTTTGGGAGGCCGAGGCGGGTGGATCACCAGGTCAGGAGATTGAGACCATCCTGGCTAACACGGTGAAACCCTGTCTCTACTAAAAACATAAAAAAAAAAAAAATTAGCCGGCGTGGGGGCGGGCTCCTGCAGTCCCAGCTACTGGGAGGCTGAGGCAGGAGAATGGCGTCAACCCAGGAGGCGGAGCTTTCAGTGAGCCGAGATCGTGCCATTGCACTCCAGCCTGGGCGACAGAGCCAGACTCTGTCTCAAAAAAAAAAAAAAAAAAAAAAAAAAAAAAAAAAAAAAAAAAGAAACATGAAGAAAATGACTCAAAGGCACATTATCAAATTGCTGAAAACCAGTGATAAAATCTTAAAAGCAGCTAGAATAAAAAGACATTATAGACAGAGGAAAAAAATGAGTGATAGCAGATTTCTTTTCAAAAAACAATGCAAGGAAGAATACAGTTAAGAACACTTTTGAGGTACTGGAAGACAAAATTAGAATTCTGTACCTAGCAAAAATGTCTTTCAAAAATGACAGTGAGTTAGTTTTTCAGATACACAAAAGCTGAAAGTATTTATTATCACTAGATTGCAGTGCAAGAAATGCTAAAGGAGTACTTTATAAAGAAGGAAAATGTGGTAAAACCAGAGGATTAACAAGAAATAGCAAAAAAGAATGTAAATTATAAGAATAAAAATGTAAAAACTAAAAAGCAAAAAAGAAGGAAAATGACACTAGGCAGAAATATGGAATGGAAATGCCAATTGCAGAGGTAAATATATAAGACTTTTTTCTTATTACTTAAATTTTAAAACATAATCGTCTAAACAAAACATACTAATGTAGTGTGGGGATTATATGTCTATAGAATTAAAGTGTATACCAAAGATAGCACAAAGTCTGGAAGGGAGAAATGGTAGTACACTGTATGTCAAGTGGCATAATATTGCTTGAAGGCAAAATGTGATAAGTTTAAGATAGAGTCTATAAGCCCTTATGCTACTATTAAAATAATAAGACAAGGATGTATAGCTAATAAGCTCACAAAAGATAAAAGAAAAAAATGGAATCATAGAAAATAATTATCCAAAAGAAGTCAGAGAAAGAGAAAAAGAGAACAAAGAATAAAGGGGACAAACAGAAAACAAACTTAAAGTTGGTAATTTAAACCTAATCCTACCAATAATCACATGAAATATAAATGGTCTAAGGTAATACAGGGCATTATACAGGTGCAGGTACTTGTCACTGATATCCTTTATCCCTTTCTTACAAAATAGAATTCCTAAGGTTTACCTGTGTACATGATTGCCAAACAGAGACTATATTTCCCAGCCACCCTTGTAGCCAAGTGTAGCCATGTGATTAGGTCCTTACCAAAGATCCAGGAGTGTTATGTACCATTTCTAGGATGGGCTGTGCCCTTAAAAGAAATTGTCTTGGGCGCTCTGCTTTTCCTCCTTTTCCACAGTCTGGGAGCTGGTGAGAAGTGGACCAGCCAACTTGGGCCATCCTGTAATTGGGTACAGAAGCTACAGGTCAAGAATGGCAGAGCCACCCTATTAGCCTTTGACTATATGCCTCTGAACTGTTCAAAGAATGAGTAATATGCTTCTATCACATTTAAGCTGTTTTTCTTGATTTGGGTTACCTGTAAAGCATACTTTGAGGCAAGGACTTGGATGCAGTTAGTTTTTGGGGGAAGTCATCTTAGGAAGCAAAGGCAGGAGAGATAAGGTAATAAAGAATGCAGTAACGTGTGGGTAACTGCTATGGTCACATCCCATTGGGGATCCTCCAAGAAGCTCCCCTTAAAATCACCCATCAGTAGGTGGGGATGTGGAGACATTTATCAACTGACTCTTACCCACTGGATGAGGGTGTCTCCTCCTCAGGGTATTTGCTACCTAAAATTGTCAGCATTCTGGAAACTATCATCATGTGCTGCTGCAGGTGAAGTAGTCAGTGTTAAGGGTGGCATAAATGGTGCTTTAGTAATAGCATATTATTCTTGGAAGTATGTTTTCTCAAGTAAAAATAGCGCAGCTATTGTAATTAAAATTGACTACTTCTAACAAGGAAATTATAATTTTTATTGTTTTGTTCCTGAGATATGGGACTCCATCTTTTTCTTTTTTTTTCTTTTTTCTTTTTTTGAGACGGAGTCTCGCTGTCGCCCAGGCTGGAGTGCAGTGGCGCGATCTCGGCTCACTACAGGCTCCGCCCTCCGGGATTCACGCCATTCTCCCGCCTCAGCCTCCCGAGTAGCTGGGGCTACAGGCGCCCGCCACGGGACTCCATCTTTTTAAAAGGTATGTACAGAATGAAGAATACTACTTTATGGAATAAGAATAAGCATAGTAGTTTTTTAGCCACAAAGTCTTGATTTATTTACATTAACTTCAAAAATTTAATGTGAAAACTTTGACTCATGGCTGTAATTTAAGTAATTAACAACTGTTCATTATTTGGTTAAATTTTCAAGGTCTAGTTGATGATTTCTTCCACTGTTTATTTTGGACATTCTGGCCTCATGGATTAGCTAATTGTACCATACATTCTCTGTTTTATTTTTTTAAATTTTTTGTTTTTTTGGTCATACTGCAAATTCCCAGGCATCATACCTCAAATATTTGTCCTAGTAAATATAAAATCTGTTTCATGTTGGAGTAAAAGTTATGTGCTCAGTATGTGGCCTTTGACTTCTCATTTAAGGGCACAGTAGGTGTAAATTAATATATCACAGCACAGCTTTTCTGAGGGCTATAACTAGACTGTGCCTACTGCTGGTTTGCAGTGGAGAAAATTGTCTTCTAAAAGAGCAACAACTTTGTGCTTGCATCCACAATTTAAAGATATCTTTCTCGGACGTAGCATATGTTTAACAGCTTCTACTCTGTAGAGCTTTTAAGAGAGGTATTGGAGAAGTTCAAGAATTTCAGGTAAGAAATTATTTATCCTTACATTCCTAACAATTAGGAGGCTTAATTTTTTCTTACTAAAATTTGAAAAATACACACTTTGGGAGATATTAGTAAAAGATCTGATAAACATCGCAAAGTTATTTCAGAGGGACACGAGGAAATGCCAAAAATATTTTGAAATTCTTTTTAGAAAAAAGGATATAAATGGAAACCAAAGAATCCCATTAAAAATGAATGACCCCTTTCTTATTTTTTTGAAAACAATTCTCTGATTACTACATTTGGAAGTACCATCAAAACTAGTTTTAACATACACCTAAGATTCTGGAAACTAGATTATATAGTTATTTCCTCCATTGCAATGGGAGTGACAAAATCCCTTACTACTAGATTTTGTAGCTAATGCCCAAGCCATGCCTTAATGCCCATTATTCCTTAAATATTGAACATTTAAATATCAACTATATAACTAAGGTAAACACTTCTAATGGCAAGAATAACATGGAAGAATACATGATCAAAGTGTGATAGCTAACTCTGAATAAAATGGTGTTGGTGTTTGCTTTCAGGGTAAATACTTTATAACTATAGAATATCCTACAAGATAAAGTTGTGGGAAGAGTTATTTCTGTACATTGTTTATGGGAGTATCAGTTGGTGTAAATTTACATATAGAATAATTTGGTAATATCTCTCAAAATTAAAATAAAATGTATTTGGCCCATCAATCTGCAACTTTATCCTACTTGAATCAATAATACAAAATATTACAAAACATTGTATTACAAAAAAGTACAAAAATATGTGTACATGGATGCTCATTTCAGCAAATTATAATGTGAAAACTTGAAGCAACTTAAGTATACATCAGTAGGAAACTGTTGAGTAAATTATGGTAAAATCATATGTGCAATAACATTTCACTATTACAAAGAATGAAGTCTAGTTTTATGTGCCAACATGAAAGGCTTTCCAACATGTATTTTTAAGGGAGAAAAGATGATGCAGAACAACAAGCACATTATATTTCCACATGTATAAAATAAGTATATGTGTGTTTGTGAGTCTGCGTATTTGTAATTTGTATATGTACCCAACATTTCTGTAATGAGACCCAAGAAACTATTAATATTCAGAGAATGAGACTGGAGGTTGAAGTAGAGTGAGCTCTTTATTTTTATTTTGCTGCCTTCAGTCTATTTGAATTTATTTTTAAAAAATCATGTGCCGTAAAAAAATAAACAGTTACATGTTTTGAAAAACAGCTATTTTTATAGACCACCAACTTATTAATGAAGGGAATATGGAGAAACACAGAAACAGAAGCTCATTGATACACTAATATTATTTAACTTCCCTAAGAAAAGACTTAGGTAAACCTATACTTGATAATTTTCTGTTCTTTCTAATTTTATTTCTTTTCATTCGGTTTGGTTTGATTATTTAGCTTTGTTTTGTAGATATTTGTCCTGATCCTTTCTTTATAAAATTATACTATCTTACTAAAGAAGTCTTATATAAAATATAACCAAATTTAGCAGAAACGTGTTAGCATTTTTCCATTATGTTGTTATAAAACAGTAAATAACAAAAAAAGCCACAGGCAAATTCCATTCTGGCATATTCTCCATTGTGAGTACAATGATAGGGGGGCCATGGAGTTACCTGGCGATTTGTTGACAGTGGCCTTGGTGGGAATGATGGGCTTCTGTCTTTCCTTATTGTACTTAGGCTCTGAAGATGTAGCCTAACTATGATGTAAATAAACTGTCTCGGAAAATTCTTCACCAAGAAGGGTCCTGCTTTGCCATCCAAGTTACATGGGTCCTTTGAGAACCACTTCTAGTTTAGAAGGAGAAGCTTATTTGTTTTATGAAATTTCTATTAGAGAAATATTTTAAAATACTTTTATTGTAATTTATATTTTGGAAAGTGCTGAAAAGCATAAAGGGGCAAAAGGCAATCCTTCTGTTCATCAATCTTAGTCAAATACAATCCTACCATCCAGAGACAAGTGTTACTATTTCATGATATAACCATTCAGTATTTTAGTGCATTTTTAAAAATCCTGTATTACGTGCATCATCTTAGTGCTTAAATTATCATATGCATTCCTATTATTGTTAAAATCTTTTTCCTATACATATTTTTTCATGGATTTTTAATATTTCACTCTGAATTTATCATAATTTGGGTAATCATTCATCTAAATTTGGATATTTAAGTCAATTTCATTTAAAACAATTTAGCCATTATAAAGAATGCCACCACAAGCCCTTTTTATTAATAATTTTTATTTAGAGTTCTGATTATCATTTTTATTTCATTTACCTTTTTTAATTTTGAAAAGAATGTTTAGTAATTTTAGTTTTAGAATAACTAGGGTTAAAGTGCATGAGCATTTGAAATGATCTGAATATATATATATATGTATATATTTATACATTATGTATCTATATCAGTGGTTCTCAACCAGGGACAATTTTGCTCCTCTGTCCTCCCCTCCTCCCCAAGAGGCATGTGGCATTATCTGGAGACATTTTTGATTGTCATGACTTGGGGGTTCTACTGCTGCTCCTGCCTAATGGGCAGAAGCCAGGGAAGCTACTAACCACTCAGCTTCCCACAATGAAGAATTATCCACTCCAGAAATAGCAATGGTACTGAGTTCGAGAAACTCTAAGATAAATACCTATATATCTGTATATATCTG